>NC_000002.12:12464047-12770803 GCF_000001405.40 Homo sapiens
CAAAAGCAGTACTCAGAGCAAAAACTATACCTTTAAATAATAGAAAACATACTGATGAATATAATGCAATATTCATCTTTCTTAAGATATTGGGAAAAATATTAAACAAAACATAAAATGTTGGAAAGGAGAGAATTATGGAAACAGAAAATAATGATATTACCGTTTTTTAAAAAACACAAAAGAGGATTCAAAAGAACATAAGTCGGTTCTTTGAAAAAAAAACACAATGAAAGACAAACACCTCTTACGATGATAAAAATGAATGTGCAAGTACACATAAACCGTATTAGAAATGAGAAAGAATTAACCCTAAATAATGCAGACTTTAATAAGATACTATGAACAATGTTATCACACTAAATTTGAGAAACTTAGGTAAAATTGATAAATTCCTCAAATATGTTGTATACATTACTCACCAGAAAACCTAATTCTCCCTAAAGTTTTGTTAATGGAGGATAAAGAGGACAAAAAATACTTTGGACAGCTAATCTTTGTATTCACAGGACACACAAAAAAATCAAAATATTTTCAAATAGAATACTTAAAGTTTTAAGCTAGCTTCAAGGGCAGTCTTAATTATCATTGTCAGTAGCTATTTGCAGGGACCTAATGTTCTATGCTATCTAACATAGAACCATAATTGTTGAATGAATACAGGAATAGATAGATTTGTTGTTGAAAATATCATTTCATATTATTAAATTCTTGTAACACTGAAGGATGCAGAATAGGTCTAATTGTCATTCTGCAGAAAAAAGAAACAAAGACTAGGAAAGGTTAGGTGATCTGCCCAAGGTCACATAGCCTGTGTGATATGTGGGTTAAATTCCAATCCATGCATCCTGTATGTGAGACAGTATCTTTTGGGCTACAGTACTTTTAGGGCCATTTATTCACGCACCTAGTTTAGAAATTTACAGCAGTTCTGCTAAAGCAAATATTTGCTTTGTCCCTGCTATAAGAAGAGTGGGGGGGCCACCTCTTCATACTAAATCTAATAAACTGTTATAAGAATTTTAATAATTACTAATGTTTTAATTCATTAATGCATATCATGCTACTGATATTTCTTAAGAAATATTTAAAGTCCTGTTTCCATTAAGGTATGCACTTTGATGTAATTAAAATGTTTTCTCCTACATTTCCAAACCAAACCAAATTTGTAACAAATAATGTAGAGAGAAAATTGTCACTCTATATTTATGTACGCTTTATTCAAATCAATAGGAAAAACCTCAAACATCAAGATCAAAGGTATGGTCTTGAATTTTTATACAAAAAATACGATCTAAAAAATCGCAATTCAATTTTCATCTATCATATTAGTAAGATTTTTTTTTAATTATACAAGGCACACATAAAATGATGGTCAAAATGTTAATTGGTAACAATTTTTTAAAAGATATTTGATAATATGTAGCAAAAATCCATTCAACCCCTTTGACCCAGTAATTTCATTAGGGGGCTTAATTTTAAGAAAGATCTCAAAGTTGCAAAGTTGAAAAGAAATGGTATTTATTGCAACAATATCATGGCAGTTTTTCCATGACGTGCATGAAACAATGGATACAAATAGTTTCTATGATAAATATGTTGTTAAACACTGTGGAATTTTTAAAACTTTGTATTTTGAACTAAATTTAGACTTACAGAAAAGTTGCAAAGATAGTACAGAGGGTTCCCACATATCTGTCAAGCAGTGTCCCCTAATGTTAACATCTTACATAACCACAGCACAATCAACAAAACCAGGAAGTGAATGTTGCTACAATACTATTCCCTAAACCTCAGAGTTTAATAGATTCACTTGTTTTTTCCATAAACATCCTTTTTCTATTCCAGGATCCTGTCCAGAATCTTGCATTGCAAAAAAACTGTTGTTATCTTCTTGGTCTTTTCCAATTAGTACAAGTTCCTTAGTCTTTTCTTATCTTTTATGATAAGGGGAAATATTAATGGCTTATATTGTTTGAGGAAAGCAGGGCACAGAACAGGACACACACACACATACATGTGCGCACGCGCGCACACACACACACACACACACACACACACGCACACCATGATCTCAACTACACAAAGAGAGAGCTGACTAGAAAAACATCAAGAGAACCCAAAATGTTAAGAGTTCTTATCCTTAGGTGAAGGACCTCGGGCAATTATTTTCCTGCTTTTTTTACTTTCTCTATTTTAAAAAATACGTTACAAAAATGTTCATCTAACATTTAAAACCAGAGAGGAAAAAGTACAACATAAAACAAAATTCTCTAAGCCAGAGAATTTTAAGCCAGAGTTTATTCTCTCATTTAATCTGACTAAATATTGTTTTACTGTGTTGTAGGTATACACATAATTCCCTCTTGCTTCTACTTTTGTCTGATGCAGCTTATATATTGTCAATTATTTTTTATTTTATTTTATTTTATTTATTTATTTTTTTTGAGATGGAGTCTCGCTCTGTCACCTAGGCTGGAGTGCAGTGGCGCAATCTTGGCTCACTGCAACCTCCGCCTCCCGGGTTCGCGCCATTCTCCTGCCTCAGCCTACCGAGTAGCTGGAACTACAGGCGCCCGCCACCAGGCCCGGCTAATTTTTTTGTATTTTTAGTAGAGACGGGGTTTCACCGTGTTAGCCAGGATGGTCTCGAGCTCCTGACCTCGTGATCCACCCACCTCGGCCTCCCAAAGTGCTGGGATTACAGGCGTGAGCCACTGCGCCCGGCCGTCAATTATTTTTTTCTGTCTCTTTCTCTCTTCTTCCCTCCTTCCGTCCCTCCCTCCCTCCCTTGCTTCCTTCCCTCATACCTTTCATTTTTCTTTCTTTCTCTCCCCTTCCTCCCTTCCTCCCTCCCTGCCTTCCTGCCTTCCTTCCGTCCCTCTTTCTCTCTTCCTCCCTCCCTCCCTCCCTCCTTTCCTTCCTTCGTATTTTTTTTCTTTCTTTGTCTCTCCTTCCTTCCTTCCTTCTTCCTACCTTTCCTTCTTTTTTCTTTCTTTCTTTCTTTTCTCTTTCTTTCATAATGACAGGGTCTCTCTCTGTCACCCAGGCTGGAATGCAGTGGCATGAACATGGCTCACTGCAGCCTGGACCTCCTAAGCTCAAGCAATCCTGCTGTCTCAAGCGAGCCTCTTGAGTATCTGGGACTAAAGGCATATACCACCATGCCAAGCTAACGTTTTTTTTTTTTATTTTTATTTTTAGAGATGGGGTCTTACTATATTGCCCAGGCTGGTCTTGAACTCCTGGGCTCAAGAAATCCTCCCACCTTGGCCTACCAAAGTGCTGGGATTGCAACTGTCAGCCTCTATACCCACTTCCTTCCTTCCTTCCTCCCTCCCTCCCTCCCTTCCTTCCTTCCTTCCTTCCTTCCTATCTTCCTTCCTTCCTTCCATCCTTCCTTCCTTCCTTCTACTCTCTTTTTTTCTTTCTTCTTTCTTGCCAATATCTAAATACACCAAGTAAACGAGGAGGAGGATCGCTTAAGTCCAGGAGCTCAAGATCATTCTGGGCAACTTAGCAAGACACCATCCTTAAAAAAATAATAATAAAAATAAATAAATATGTGTGCCAAGCAGGAACTACTCAAATATGAGTGGTTTAGAGGTATAAAGCACGGAATGTCACCTTATCTAGAGAGTATTGGAAATACGAATGCTCCCTGAAGACAATGGACAATGTAAGAATCCATCTGAACTGCACTTTCTTCGTCTTCTTCTTTTATTTTAGAGATACAGACTCAGTCTGTCACCCAGGCTGGAGTGCAATGGCGCAATCATAGCTCATTGCAGTTCTAACTCCTGGGCTCAAGCAAGCCTCCCGCCTCAGCCTCCTGAGTAGCTGGGACTAAAACTGCACCTGGCTATTTGTATTTTGTTGAGACAGGGTCCTGTTATGTTGCCCAGGCTGGTCTTAAATTCCTGGCCTCAAGTGATCCTCCTGCCTCTGGGTCCAAAGCACTGGGATTATAGCCATGATCCACAACGCCCAGCCTGAACTGTACCTTTTTGACAGTAGGAAGAATGTTCTTCACCTTCTCTGTCTGAAAACCCCCTGGGAAATCTTGATGAGCACTGAATCATGCCTTTACAGAACAAAGACTGAATAAATATGTCCACTGCAGTCACCTTCTATCCAGAAGGTGCTAGGAACAAGAGACTGATGTTCCTGATCATCGATCATGAGGGCATTTTAGGGTAACACATTCTTGGCTGATTCTTCATAATGGCTATTTTTGTCACCTTCTAGCTTCTCATCAAGGTGAATGACAGCCAAGTCCTAAAAAAGAAGAGCACTCTTTCTTTGCAGGTGGAGAGGACAAGGAGCTCCAGTGACAGGGGCTCTCACTTCACAATTGTGGGGAAGGGACCACAGGCACAGGGAGGTGAGAGCTGCTCCCATTAAAGGCTAGGAAACATTCCTCTGGTGCCATGGAACAAAGGGCAGCAGGAGACACCTGCCTGGCTGGGCCCCAGAGAAGCCTACCTGCAGAAATGGAAAGAACTTGCCATTTTGAGCCAGTGGAGCCTGGGTCTGGATTTTGGCTTACTCACGTGCAATAACATTTGCCATTTATTGAGCACCGATAAGGTTTGGCTGTGTCCCCACCCAAATCTCACCTTGAATTGTAATAATCCCCATGTGTCAAGGGCAGGGCCAGGTGGAGATAATTGAATCATGGGGACAATTTTCCTCATACTGTTCTCGTGGTAGTGAATAAGTCTCATGAGATCCGATGGTTTTATAAATGGGAGTTCCCCTGCACAAGCTCTCTTGCCTGCTGCCATGTAAGACATGACTTTGTTCCTCGTTCACCTTCTGCCATGATTGTGAGGCCTCCTGAGCCATGCTGAACTGTGAGTCAATTAAACCGCTTTTCATTATAAATTACCCGGTCTCAGATATTTCTTTATTCGCAGCATGAGAACAGACTAATGCAAGCACCTACTATATTATTTTCCTCAGTGCTTAATCTGTAACAACCCTGCAAGATAGGCAACATAAATCCATTTTATATCCAAGGAATCTGGGACCCTTATAGGGTATGTAGCAGTGGGCTTTGTAATCTGAGATTCCATTTCCCCCTCTGTCTGATGAGAATAACACTCCCTTTCTCCTAAAGCTGTTGGGATTAAAGGAACCACACAGAAGAAGCACTGAACGTATTTCCTAAAACCCAGTAGGCACTAAGGAGGAGTCGTTCTTTGATACTCAGATTCCACAGTGATGATGTTTCTGGGATGCTACGCCTGAAGTGTGATCTGGTTTAGATTTTTTAATGTAAGCCTAGAATCCCAAGGATCTGCCAGCAACAGAAACTCTTCTTGGAATCTTCTTGAAATGCAAACAGTTTAAAGGTCACTGAAAACTTCATCCAGCATATATTTATATTTGTCTGGTAAGCTCTTGAGGAGAATTTTCCAGGAGATGGTGACATCCCAGGAGACTTCTTGCTGAGGCTCCTGTAACTCATTTTCTGTGTTTTTTGGCCTCTGCCTTCTGAAAGGAAAAGGGAACTCAGTAAAAAATGTTAAACAAGGCCAAAGATATAAATATTTTTTTAAAAGCACTGAATAAAAAGTGTTAGAAGCCACTGTTGCAGGGAGGTTTTTCAGCCACCAGTGCCAAACAGAAGACTCATCTTAGCACCCAGGAATGTTCTTCCTTCAGGCTTCCTGGGGCTCCAGGCATCTAGAATGAGGGGTGTTCTGTGTCCTTATTGACATGCATTTGGAGACATGAGAGGCGGGTAAATCAAGTGAGCTGTCTGCAAAATGCTCCAGCAGGCGAGTGTAGGGGATGCTCCAGGCTTCTGTACTACAATTATTGTTCTTTGAATATAAACAGGCAGTTAAGAATGATAGATAGGTAAATTAGATAGATAAATAGATAGATGGATAGATAGATATGGGTGGATGGATAGATACATAGATGGATAGATAGATAAATAGGTGAATGGATAGAGAGATGGATGGATAGATAAATAGATGGATAGATATAGATAGATACAGATGAATAATAGATATAATTATAGATACATACATAGATTATTATAGATAAGTAGATAGGTACATAGATCAATAGAGTTAGGTAGGTAGGTAGATAGGACAGACTAAAAATGATCAGTTTTTAATTTATTACTAAGTGTGTGCTTTAAAACAAACCCACAGAGTTAAATTAACTTAAAACTTCTTTTTGGAGTAGAGTTCTGTGAGATTTAACACAGGTATCCGTTCATGTTATCACCACCACAATCAGAACGTAGAATGCTGCCATCACCTCAACAAACTCCTTTATGCCACCCCTCTGTAGTCACACTTTCCCCTACTTCTAAGCTCTGGCAACCCCTGATAATTACTCTATTGCTACAGATTTATCTTTGTGAGAAAGTCATATAAGGCTGGGCATGGTGGCTCATGACTGTAATCATAGCACTTTGGGAGGCTGAGGTGAGTAGATCACCTGAGGTCAGGAGTTCGAGACAAGTCTGATCAACATGGAGAAACCCCATCTCTACTAAATACAAAATTAGCCAGGCGTGTTGGTGCATGCCTGTAATCCTAGCTACTCTGGAGGCTGAGGCGGGAGAATGGCTTGAACCTAGGAGGCGGAGGTTGCAGTGAGCCGAGATCTCACCATTGTATTCCAGCCCAGGCAACAGGAGTGAAACTCTGTCTCAAAAAAAAAAGAAAAAAATATATATGTATATATATGGAGCCATACATTATAACAGTATATGACCTTTTGAGCCTGACTTCTTTCATGCAGCCTAACACTTTCAAGAGTATGCAAATTGTTGCACATACCAATAGTGTGTTCCTTTTTGTTACTCAGTAGTATTCTATTGTATGCATGTGTGGTGGAAAGAATAGTTGCCCCAAAGATGTTCTCATGCTAATCCTAAAAAGCCCAGAACATGTTACCCTGCATAACTAAAGGTACTTTCTGGAAGTGATTAAGGATCTTGACATGGGGAGATTTTTCTAGATTATCCAGGTGGTCCCAAGGTAATCATATGAGTCCTTATGAGAGGGAAGAAAGACGTTTAATTAGAAAAATGGCTGTGACAAGAGAAACAGAGGTTGGAGTGCTGTGCTTTGAAGAAAGAGGAAGGAGCTGAGTGCCATGGGATGCAGGAGGCCTCTGGAAGTTGGAAGGATGGACAATAGTTTGTTCATTAATCCGTTGAAGGATATATGGATTATTTCAAGTTTTAGGTTTTTCTAAATAGGAATTTTATGAAAATTTATATAGAAGTTTTTGTGTGAACCTAAGTTTCTAATTCTCTAGGGTCCTGGGCCCTCTATTAAGTATATGTTTAACTTTATAAGAAACTGTCAGAAATGTCTCTTAGATGGCTGCACTATTTTTCACATCCAGTAATAACAAATGAGAGTTGCAGTTTCTTTTTATACTTGGCAGCGCGTGGCATTGTGTGTGTGTGTGTGTGTGTGTGTGTGTTGATCGTTGCAATTCTAGTAGGTGTACTAGTGATACATAAATGTGATTTTATTTTGCATTTCCCTAATGGCTAACAACATTCAACATCTCATACTTATTTGCTATCCTTAGATTTTTGTTAACATGTCTGCTTAAATCTTTTTGCCCAAGCTTTAAAACTGAATGTTTTTTGTCAGTTTGTTTGTTTGTTTTTTGGGGGAGTGGTTTGTTTCTGTTTTTGTTTTTGTTTTTTTGAGACAGGGTCTGGCTCTGTCACCCAGGCTGGAGTGCAGTGGTGTAATCTTGGCTCACTGCAACCTTGCAACCTCTGTCTTCCAGGCTCAAGCCATCCTCCTACCTCAGCCTCCCGAGTAGCTGGAACTACAAACGTGCACCACCATGTCTGGCTAATTTTTTATTTTTTGTAGGGATAGGGTCTTACTTTGTTGCCCAGGCTGGTCTTGAACTCCTGAGGTCATGTGAGCCACCTGTTGCAGCCTCCCAAAGTGCTGGGATTACAGGCATGAGCCACTGCACCTGGCCCATTGTTTGCTTATTGTTGCGTTTTTGAGAATTACTTGAAATTGTAGATGTAAGTCTTTTGTTCTAGATTTGTGATTCATGAATACTTTGTCTTAGCCTGTAGCTTATCTTTTTTGATATTTAAAAAGTTATCTTTTATAGAGCAAAAGTTTATGATAAAATCTAATTTATGATAAAATCTAATTTATTATATTTTCTTTAGTGGATTATACTTTTATTTTTGCCTAAGCCCGTATATTAGTCTGTTCTCATGCTACTAATAAAGACACATCTGAGACTGGGAAATTTATAAAGGAAAGAGGTTTAATGGACTCACAGTTCAACATGGCTAGGGAGGCCTCACAATCTTGGCAGAAGGCAAAGGAGAAGCAAAGGCATGTCTTACATGGCAGCAGGCAAGAGAGCTTGTGTAGGGGAACTCCCCTTTGTAAAACCAACAGATCTCATGAGACTTATTCACTACCAGAAGAACAGCATAGGAAAGACCCACCTCCATGATTCAGTTACCTCCCACCAGGTCTCTCCCACAATATGTGTGAATTATGGGAGCTACAATTCAAGATGAGATTTGGGTGGGGACACAGTCAAACCATATTAACCCATGTGAGATTTTTGTTCTATTTTTATTGTAAATAGTTTATAGTTTTATGTTTTACATTTAGCTCAATGATCCATTTTGAATCAAGTGTTTAATAAGATGGGACTATTAGATCTAGGTTTATTGCTTTGTATGAGGATTTCCAAATTTTCTAACCCCTTTTGAAAATATTGGTTTTTTTTTCATTAAATTGCTTTCACCTCTGTGTAGTCTTATTTTTGGATTCTGTGGTATATTCCATTAATCAATGCATCCCTTTACCAATATTACAGTGCCATGATTACTGTAGCTTTTTGGTAAGTCTTAAAGTTGATTACTATAATTCTTCCATCTCTATTCTTTCCCAAAATTGTTTTTGTTAGTACCTTTGTATTTCAACATAAATTTAAAATTATCTTTTCTATACTGGAAAAAAAACCCTGCAGGGATTTTAAATTTGATTGATATTGCATTAAGACCACATATTAGTTAGAGGGAATGGATTTTTTTTGCTACACTGAGAATTTCTATCTATAAATGGTGTATATCTCTCCAATTATTTAGGTTTTCTATGGGTTTTTAATCAGCATTTTTAAGTATGTAGAAGAATATGAATCCTGTGCAAGTTTTACTAGATTTACATCTATTTTATTTATTGACACTTTGGAAAATTACCTTGCTCTTTTACTTTTGATTCCCAATCATTTGTTGGTATTGTAGTGTAGTCTTTGTGTGAAGACCATATATTCTATGAGCTTGCTAAACTGACTTATTAGTTCTAGGAGTTTTTCTATCAATTATTGGGATTTTTCTATGCAGAAAATCATGTACTCTGAAAGTACAGACATTTTAAGTTCTTTCTTTACAATATATGTGTCTTTTTTTTCTTGCCTTATTGTACTGAATAGGTCTTTCAGAATGGCATTGGATAGGAGTAGCGAGACTGAACATCCAGCATTTTTTTTCCATTATAGTGGAAAACATTAAATTTTTTGTCATTAAATATGATGTTACCTATAGTTTATTTTAGATGCCTGCTATCCAATTGGGGAAATTCTTTTTCAATGTTAGTTTGCAAGGAGTTTTTCTCAAGAATGTGTGCTGAATTTTTTCAATTTTTTTTGTATCAAATAATATGATAAAGTGACTTTCTCCTTTATGTTTCTATATTGTAAATGACTCGCTTGATTTTCAAATAGTAATCCAGCTTTGAATTCCCAAGAAAAACAATTATTGGTTGTGATAAATGATTTTTAAATATACTGTTAGAGTTGTTTTACTAATATATTTTTATAATTTAGGTATCTATATTTTTGAGGGATATTGGTCTGAAGTTTTCTCATTCATACAGTCTATTTCTAGTTTTGGGATCAAGGTAATGTAGGCCCTATAACATTAATTGGGAAGTATTCTTTTCAGTTCTATTAACTGAAAGAGATTTTTATAGAATTGGTACTATTGGGCCCATGGGATCTACATTTTTGGTATATTTTTTAAGCTAATAATTCGAATCTCTTCATAGTTATTGTATTATTCAAATTACCAATATAATCTTGGTTGTATTACAGTTGTTTTAGTTGTTTTTGAGAAATTGGTCTGCTTCATCTAAGTTGCCAATTGTATGCACACAGAAGTATTTGCAGTATTTCCTTATTATCCTTGTAATATTTGTGGGCTCTTTAGTGGTATTCCTTCTTCCATTTCTGATATTGGCAATGCATATCTTCTCTCTCTCTCTCTTCTCTCTGTCATCTTTCTGTCTCTGTTTCTCTCTTTCTCCCTCTCTCTCTCTGTCTCTCACTTTTCTGTCTTGCTACAGGTATAACTATTTTACTCTTCTATTCAAAAAAAAAATTTTGTTTCATTGTTTCTCTTTATCATTTTTCCATTTATAATATATTGATTTCTGTTCTTAACTTTATTCCCTTCCTTTTGCTTGCCTTGTCATTATTTTGTTCTTTTTCTATTTTTTGACAGTAAAAACTTATATAATTGATTTGAATCTTTTCTTTCTTTCTTTTTTTTTTTTTTTTTTTTTTGAGACGGAGTCTCGCTCTGTCGCCCAGGCTGGAGTGCAGTGGCGCGATCTCGGCTCACTGCAAGCTCCGCCTCCCGGGTTCACGCCATTCTCCTGCCTCAGCCTCCCGAGTAGCTGGGACTACAGGCTCCCGCCACTACGCCCGGCTAATTTTTTGTATTTTTAGTAGAGACGGGGTTTCACCGTGTTAGCCAGGATGGTCTCGATCTCCTGACCTCGTGATCCGCCCGCCTCGGCCTCCCAAAGTGCTGGGATTACAGGCGTGAGCCACCGCGCCCGGCCTCTTTTCTTTCTTTCTTATATAAGCATTTAATGTTATCAATATTCCTCTAAGTATTTTTAACTATATCCCACAATGTTATGAAATGTTTTATTTTCATTTTTATTCATTTTTCTTATTTACCTTGTAACTTCCTCTGTGTCTTGTTTAATTTGCACATGTTTAGATATTTTATTATCTCTCTGTTATTGTTTCCTAGTTTAATTCTACATGGCCTGCAGTGGTTTGAATTGTGTGCCCCCAACATTTATATGTTGAAGATATAATTCCCCAGTGCCGTAGAATATGGTTATATTTGGAGGCATGGCCTTTAAAGAAGTACTTAAGTTAAAATGGGGTAATTAGAATGGACCCTAATCTAATATGACTAGAACCCTTATAATAAGAGGAGATTCAGACACAGACAACATAGACAAGGGGATGACCATCAGACACAGAGAGAAGGAGGCCATCCTCAAGCCAAGTAGAGAGAAGTAAGAAAAAACTGTACCTGCCACCCCCTTGATCTTGGACTTCTAGCCTCTGGAATTGTGAGAAAAGACCATTAAGTTGCTTAAGCTACCCAGTCTATAGTTTTTGCCACCCAGTCTGTGGTTTCGTTACGGCAGCCCTAGCAAACGAATGCATGGTTCAAGAACATACTTTGTATTATTTAATTATTTGTTAAGGTTTGCTTTATGACCCAAGAAATGGTCTCTCTTGCTTCATGTTCTACACACACTGGAAAAGAACATGTACTCTGCCAGCCTGACCAACATGGGGAAACCCCGTCTCTACTAAAAATTAAAAAAAAAAATTAACTGGGCATGGCGGCACGTGCCTGTAGTCCCAGCTACTTGGGAGGCTGAGGCAGGAAAATTGCTTGAAACCGGGAGGCAGAGGTGGCAGTGAGCCAAGATCGCACCACTGCACTCCAGCCTGGGTGACAGAGCGAGACTCCGTCTCAACAACAACAGCAACAAAAGAATGTGTACTCTGCTGTTGCTTGGGTGGAATGTTCTGTAATTGTCAGTTAGATCCAGTTGGTTAATGTTGTTCATTCTTCTACATCCTGTGCAATTTTCTTTTATTTTGCTTTGTCAATTATTCAGGGAAGATTTTTGCAGTCACAAGCTATTATTCTCGATTTGTCTATTTTTTTCTTTTAGTTTTGATGCTCTCTTATCGGATACAAATCCATTTAGGACTATTGTGACTTTTTCTCATTTTTTAATATTCCACATTAACCTTGGTGTTTTTCTTTGTGCTGAAGTCTATTTTGTGTATATTGATATTGCCACATCAGCTCTCTTTTCTTTTTTCTTTTTTTCTTTTTTATGAGATGGAGTGTTGCCCAGGCTGGAGTACAATGGCACGATCTCGGCTCATTGCAACCTCCGCCTCCCGGGTTCAAGCGATTCTCCTGACTCATTCTCCAGAGTAGATGGGATTATAGGCATGTGCCACCATGCCCAGATAATTTTTGTATTTTTAGTAGAGATGGGGTTTCCCCATGTTGGTCAGACTGGTCTTGAACTCCTGACCTCGTGATCCACCTACCTCGGCCTCCCATAGTGTTGGAACTACAGGCGTGAGCCATTGTGCCCGGCCAGCTTTCTTTTTATTTGTGTTTGTGTGATGTATCTTTTACACAATTTTACCTTGAAACTACCTATTATTATATTTGAAATTAGTTTCTTGTTGTCTCATATAGATGGTGCTTTTTTACTTTAAGATGCATAGTAAATTCCACCTTCATCACAACTCTTTTTCTGATAAAATCAGCCAGAGGCCATGTCGTGACTATGTCTCACTATTTGAAACACTCTTACATCCTTCATGACATTCTTTTGCTGCAGGCATTACTTGTAAGCATCTTGAGGGCAGGGAAGATTCATTACTTCTACATTTGCTACAGCTTCTGGTACAGATTCTGTTTTCTTTCATTTTAAAATATCAAATGATTCAATTAGATTGTCTTGATGTTGATCAGCAGGATGTACAATGGAGCTCAAGAGACCTGAGTTCTAGACTAAGGTGCATTTTCAGGATTTGACAAGATGGTGCACAGTACACAAGGGAAATGACAAAACACTATATACATGTAAAATATTATATTTTATATAATAATACTTGAATATGATTTTATTTATATATAGTCACAAGTCAAATACTTTATTAAGAAAATAAAAACAGTAAAGGGAGCTTTTCAGATGTAATTGTGGAAACTGACTGGCCCCAGGCTCTTATGAATCTTAGTATTTGGCTTAAAAACTATACAGGAACTTTTTCTTTCCACCCAGACCCAAGTGGATGAAGTCAGACAGTTACCTCTAAGCTTCTATCTATGGGATGGTTCTCTCTTACTGGTTCACCCTATAAGACTATTAGCATTTGGGTTTGTGCTCAGCTTTTGTTTACTCATCCTCAAGTGCATGTGTGGCTGTTGAGAGTCAGGTACTAGCCCACCAGGGATCGGAAAATACTGCCAGAGCTCATATCAACCTCTCTGCTTTTGTGTTTCTCCTAATCTCTGGACTTTAAACATTTATCTTATTTTCTTGCCAGCCCAGCCACCTATTTGAAAAGATGATTTTAAAAACTATTTTATGCAGAGTTTATGTCTTTTATACCAAGAAGAGTTCTTTGGAGAGATGGGCTATTCTAAACTCAATATGAAGCCAACATCGTAATTAATCATGAAGAATCTTTATTTATTTATTTTTTGGCCTGACTAGTTACAAGCAAGAAGGTAATTAATATCTTCCAAAATGTATTTTTAAAAACAAGAGAGGGACCAGGAATGGTAACTTATGCATTGTTCTGGGTGTGTGAACACGTATGTCTGCAATATATACAGTAATGCACATTTATCAAAAAATTAACTGTTGATTACAAAATATTTAAGGGTATCTCTTATGTTCATGATATGAGGTTGAAAGATGACAATTTACTCACAGTTCCTCATTGTTTTTTAGTCCCATGTCCCTGTACATCCATGCATTCTGTTTATAATTTCTCCCTTCTCTATCAACTAAGGGTACAATAATTATCTAGTAAGTGCTGTTCATGGACTGATACAAGCACCAGTAGGGATAACTGTTGAAAAAGCAGGAAGTCATGGAGTCATCACCACAAAAAAATAACATGTAACATGTGCCATGTGCCAGGCATGGTGGTTGTATGTTTCATTTATTATTTTCTTTATTCCTTCTCTCTCCTATGCCGAGACCTATTAGGTAGGTATAAATACTATTATCTTAAATATGAGGAAGCTAAGTCTTAGAGAGATTAAACAACTTTCCCAATGCCACAAAGTTAGTAAGTATCCTGATGAGATGTGAGGTTAAGTGGCTTGAAACCAATACTTGTGCTTTCAGCTCCTGGGCTACAGCTCTCAGTTCCATCGCAATGCAAGGAGAGCATGCACTCTGTTACGACCCAAGCAAACATCTCCACCAGAAACTGAGGCTTTTACAATAACGCCAGAAAATAAAACCACGATGACACACTATTGGGAAACATTTTTTATAGAAAACTGGAAAATATATTTCTCTTTTATTTGAACCTCTTGGCATCCCAAACTTCACTGCTCATGAACATTCTTTGGCATAACCATGATACGATTGGGGCTCACCTTGTAGGTCGCATTCTTCATGATTTAATCTAATAGTCAATGCATGGGGCCAGGCATGGTGACAGAGCTATGCTTAGCCAGATAACCTGCAGTTAAAAGTCCAGCTCCCACAGTTATTATGGAACTTTGTGTAAATCATACTGTTTTTCTGTATCCTCACTTATGAAACAAATGGTGATCTTTATAGGTAGGGCAGTTAAAGCACTAAAGAAAAACTATGTGCAACACTCAGAATAGTTCCTGGTACATAGTAGGCTTTTAAAAATTATTAGCTGTTTTTTTTTATTAGTTCATGATTTTTGTGCTCAACAAGCCTTTAGAGGAGGCATGGGGTAGTATTCATGTTTAAAATCAATAAAAGGTAAAGGTGATGCTTATTCAGCAAGCATGTGTCCAGTACTCATCCAGCATTGACCACATGCAAATAGAGTTATTTCAGTCATGACCCTGGCTCATAAGTAAAGAAAACATGAGATAAAGGAGCCCGACTTTAGATACTCACTCGGAAAATCGGAGGAGCAGGGGATGTAACGTTACTGTACTCTGAAAGAAGGGCTGAATGGCCTTGGAGACTGATTAGATTTTAATGTTCAAGGGGCAAAAAGTCAGGCTGACTGGGCTTTTCTGAGCCAGGGCAGTCTGAAAAATAGGGAACCTTAACCAAGGGAGGAGGTGTAAGAGAAACAATGTGGTTTTTTTTTTTTTTTTTTTTTTTTTTTTTCTGGAATAAGCTGATGAGTTTAGATTTAGACATGTGGACAGTGAAAAACCTAGGCATGTCTCAACACAATTTGTCTTTTCTTCTTTAATTTGCCATTGCAAAAATAAATTAAGATTGAATAAATAAATAAAAATACTTTGTGTCCTCATAGGAAGAAGTTAAAATAGATCTATTAGTCATCCAATCTAAGTGTCCAACAGGGAAAGGATGACTAATAAAATTATGGCATATTTTATACACTAGAATTATGACATAGAAAATAAGGTTAGCAAAGTTATAATAACATATAAAATTGGGTGGTATAATAATAATCTTAAAGAGTACAATACAAGATGGTATGTAGCATATAATCTTATTTTTGTGAAAATACAGTATGGAGGAAAAAACAAGGAAAACTAAGCCTCTAGTTGTTGCTTACAAGTTGTTAGACTGTGGATAATTTTTTTCTACACTTTACTAATTTTGGATTCTTTTCAAAATTTCTATAATAACAATGCATTAATTTTTAAAAATAAATTAAAGAAGGTAAGGATAACTACAATAATATATGGGAAAAGTTAAAATTGTCTGGGTAATAGTAACACCAATGATATACATGTAGTATCTACAGATACAGAAAATGTTTTATTTTTGAAAAATTGATTAATAAATGAGGTTCTAAGCACTTTGTATTTAGCCAAAGCATTCTAAGGGATTTAGCTAAATTAATAAAATTAATAAAGGATAGTTTATTCTAACATCATTTGGTATGGGAATTATAGTTAATCCAAAGAGGAACAGGATTTTTCATGTATGACAGGCAATGTGCATGGCAGATGAGTAACAAAAAATTATAAATTTAGCCTTGTTGTTTGAGCCTAGTAAATTACTCATTTTTGCTGTGTACCATTTTGTTAATGATAAAAATGTGAACAATAAGTCTTATCTTGTAACATTATTTTGAAGATTGAATTAAAAACCTCTGGCATAATGCCTGCTTTTGGTCTTGGTAAATGATAGCCATCATTAGGTTTCTGTATATATAATTATCTAGCTCCCTCTCTCCCTAGCCTATTTGTCTGTATTATTATATACAATATAGAGTATGTAACTCCCGCGTGCACAGTGACTATTCCTGCCTCATTCAATAGTGTATTCCCACTACATAGAAAAGTACCTGACAGAGAAGGCACTCAATAAATATTTGTTAAATAAGTGAGTGATGATTAAAAACACACATACACAGGGTAGAATTGGGAATGGATAAGGACTGGTGTTGACCCTAGAGGGTCTGCTCAGAGTGAGTCTTGAGGACCTTGTAGAGATGGTACAGGCTCTAGGAACTCTGCCTGTGCAAATATGCACAGATGAGCCCATAGCAGCTCGAAGAAGAAACTGTCATGGCAAAAGGCAATATGAATAGATACATAGAAATGGGATCCTGGTGACCCTGGGGACCCACTGGCTCAGCTTCATCAGGAGCTCTCTTTGCACTACCTCTGCCTTTTTGGGTTCTATTATCCTGTATAACAATTTGAGCTGTTTTCTATTATTAGCGAACAAGTGCTTTCTAGATGATATCCCCTTTGTTAATCTTCTCACATTTAAAATGGGAAGAACAATAACAATTACCTCATAGATTGTACAGTTGTATCAATCTATCTATGATTGCCACATTACTGTCATTTTTAAAACCATCCCCAAATCTCAGTCATTTAGCAACAGACATGTATTCTTGTATTCATGAGTCTTCAGGTCAATATCAGGTGGTCTAGGATGGCCTTGGCTCATGGCAGGGCTGCTTTTGGAGTGTATGGACAACACAGGAATATTTCGTGTGGAGACCTGTCTATATATAAACAATTCTGTTCACCCCAAATCAGCAAAATTCTGGCAGCTTAATCTCACATGATGCCATGAAAGAAATACAGCACTGCCTGGGAGAGCTGTCTGTGATTAGGGGTGGTACTGGCTAGAAGGCTGTTCTTCAGAGCATGATTGTCTGCTACACTGTCTCTGTCATTCTGGGGCCCATGCTAAAGAAGCACTGGCTATCTGGATGACAATTCTCATGGATTATCCTCATCACCATTATCATCATCAGAGCACAAGACTCAAGCCAAACTATACATGTGCATTTAAGCCCTCTGAAATCTCATGGATCAACCCAAATAACATGGAAAATTAAACTCTGCCCAAAGAAGGAGGTATCGAGAACTGAATATATACTGGACAATGATTTAAACTATCACATAAGTCATCCACTCTTCCATTTAGTGAGCATTTACTGAGTACTGATTATGACCTAGGCACTATGCTAGGAATGCAGTGATGAGCAGGATGAGGTCTTCATCTATAAGGAGTTCATAGTCTAGGAGGGGAGAGAGACATGTGAACATACAATTACAATACATTGAATCAGGTGTTAATAATAGTTACTGTGTGTGTAACATAGGCCGGAATCTATTCTAAATACTGTGCATGCCTTACCTCATTTAATCACCTTATCAACTCTCTGAGCTGTAGATGGGTTAAATAACCTACTCAAGGCCACACAGCTGGTTAGTGACACATCAGAACTCAATACCAGTCTATCGCCTCTGGAATCCTTAATCTCAATTGCCGTGAAATTAACACCAGCCAAGAATTTGGAAGGAAAAGTAATTTAGCAAGTATAAAATACCATATAAAAGTCAACTGTTATTCTTATTGTCTTTCAAATATTTCTCCAAATTGATTCATAGAATTTCCAAGTTGAAAAATATCTTAGAGAGCGTATGGTCCTGTTACCAAACATCTGCCTTTTGTGAATAAGGACACTGAAGTCCAGAGAGAGAGACTGCTCAGGTCATAAGACTGGTTAATGGTGAGTCTGAGAAGAGAACCCGGCGCTCTTATCTTCAAGCCTGGGTCTGTATCAAGTTACCTTTCTAGAAGATGACATGCTACCTACACTGAGATACAGGGTTGATGCTATGGAAAAGAGATACACACAACCACCTAATACTGGGGCTCTGTCTTATAGGACAAATGTGCAGCTATTAGCCTTTGTCCATTTTAGAGTTAGAACTATATTTTAGATAAATGACCAGAGCTCTGTAGGCCTCAACTCTCTGCCTACCAGCCACACCTCTCTGGACTAGCTCAAAAGGAATGGGGGCTAAATGACGGTAGGTATTGGAAACTGGGCCATCACACCCATTCATTCCATACTGAAAATGGCTTTTTGAGGTAATTTTTGCAAGCTCAAAGATTGTTAGAGTGCAATGGTTTTTGAACTTTTTGATCACAGAATGCTTTTACTCTCTTTAAAACTACTGAGGACCCCAAAGAGCTTCTGTTTGTATGGGTTATATCTACTAATTATGTTCTGTATGAGCAATTAAAACTGAGACAGTTAAAAATATATATGAATGCATGCAAATATGACAATATAAGCCTATTACATATTAACATAAATAACGTATTTTAATAAAGTAACTATTTTTAAAATAAAAATGAGTGAGAAGATATATATTGTTTTATACTTTTATAAATTTATAAATTAAAGTCAGCTTTAATATAAAATGACCGAATTTTGTATCTGCTTTTGCCTTCAATATGTTGTGATATGTTGTTTGGTTGAAGTATATGAAGTAATGTAATAAAATATGAAAAAAAATCACTTATGGACAGGCACAATGGCACACGCCTGTAATTCCAGTACTTTGGGAGGCCGAGGCAGGCAGATCAACCGCTGGGCGGTGTTACGAGTTCAAGACCAGTTTGTCCAACATAGTGAAACCCCATCTCTACCAAAAATACAAAAATTAGCTGGGTGTGGTGGCACACGCCTGTAATCCCAGCTACTCAGAAGGCTGAGGCAGGAGAATGGCTTGAACCTGGGAGGCAGAGGTTGCAATGAGCCAAGATCGCGCCACTGCACTCCAGCCTGGGAGATAGAGTGAGACTCAGCCTGGGAGATAGAGTGAGACTCCATCTCAAAAAAGAAAAAAAAAAATCACTTATGTGGCTTCAAATTCCACATTCCAACAACTATTTAAAAAACTACTACATGCCAGTTTTTAGTGCAGTATCAAAGGAGAATAATTATTATCTCCTAAATTATTAGTTATCTAAACTATCTAATTATCTTAAAAGGCTATTAAAATACTTCCACCTTTTCTCACTACATATCCGTGTGAGGCTGGATGTTTTATAGTATACATTAGGTAAAAGTCAAGCTTATGCTGGTAGACAGAAGCTTCCTAACTGATTTTTGCTTAGAAACGTGACAAGTATTATTGACGACAATTTGTCGGTTGTGTTCTTTGAAGTGGCAGGCTCACTTAGTTTATTTTTGATAAAATGTCTTTAAAATATCCAAGTCTGAATAAACATTCTTTTCTGACACTTGTTCATTCTTTTCTGTAAAAAAAAAAAAAAAAAAAAAAAAAAAAATGCATTCCAGGAGAAGAGCTGCTAGTTTAGCTTGCAACTCAGATGCACAAGTACTTTTCCTTGAGATGACCACTGTGACCAGTGTGAGTGCCTTCCATTTCATCACACAGAGGAGTAAGAAGACCTGTGGGATGAAATTGAATTAAGTTAATAACTTTCATTTCTTCAGCAAGGATAGTTTTAGGTAAAGCTGGGGCATTGTTTTTGTTTGTTTGTTTTTTGCTTTTTTGTTTTGTTTTACTGTGAATGTGTAATATTGAAGAATACAATGACAACTGCTATTTCAGTTTGGTGCCACTTCCTTGATTCGTGCTGAGGCATCCAGTTTTACCCACCATTACTTTTACACCATCATTGTGGATGTCCACACAGTGAAAATGGTAAATAACATGCTCATGCTAATATGAAAATGTTTTTTACCTCATTGGCTTCCTAGAAAGATCTCAGGATCTGCCAGGAATACCAGGACCACATTTTAAAAATTGATGCTACTGTGTATCATACTTAATATTTTAAAGCGGTGATAGTTGTGATAACTGCCAGGCTTCATTACACTGCCCACAGGTTGTTCTGATGACTTGTCTTGTAATCTCTTCAAACCTAGGGTCTTTCATTAACTTGAGACAATATGGGAGCAGGGGAGAAAGAGAGAGAATAAGATTGTTTGCAAAAGAAACCAAGCAAAACAAATTGCTTAAAACCTTTTTTTGTTATATCACACAAAACTTAACACACAATGTAGCTTCTCATTTATTTTGTGTTCTATTCTGGAAACCATAAAATAAAGGATAGACGGGATTGTTGATAACACGATAGTACAAAAGGCCTGGGAAAATACTTGAAAGATACTTTTAAATGTGAAAGACAGACAACCCCAAATTCTTATTTGAACACACACACACACACACACACACACACACACGTGTGTGCTCAAATAAGAATTTCCTGTCTTAAATAGAGTTTCCAATTTGAGAATGTCTCAAAGGGTATATTTGATTCAAAAACAGCCTTTCCTTGGTGAACATCCTGATGACAAATTCCAAGGAATTTGAGGGAAAACTATCTCAGGACTTGAGGTCAAAAAGTCCTACATTGCCAAAAACCAAACAAACAGAAACCAAACAAATGAAAAACTCATTTAAAACACATTAATTGAGGTTAAAATGACAATGACTAATATCCACCAAAATGCTTTAAGGGAATACCACTTTAAGAAAGTTTCTAGCTAGATCAGCACTTTGCCTCAAAGGAATTTCCACCAGCTCCCTCCAACTGTTCATTCTGCTTTTTAGCAAACATTTGTTCAATACTTCCTATAGATCAGGTTCTGTGGCACCCTCGGGGGACAGAAGCGTCATTCTCACTGATGGGGCAGTATCACACCAGTGACTGGGGCAGGGTGTGGGCAGGTGCAGGTTCACAAAGGGAGAAGAAAGGCGATGACTGATGGTGTGCAGTGTAGGGTGCAGAGTGGTCAAGGAAGGCATCCAAGAGAAGGTGATGCCCAAATGGAGGTGATGTTCCACTCCTGCGAACGAGGAATAGGCTTTGCTAGGAGAAGAACACATGCTTTCGGCAGAGGGAAACACAAGTACAAAGACCTGGAGCCATGAAAGAGCAAGGCATGTCTGGGAAATGGTGAGAAGTTAGAAATTTATTGTCTTCTCATCTCTGCCATCAGTAATGTGAAAACGGGTTATGGAACTTGCAGGGTTTCCCCAGCCTCTGGACAGTTGGATAAGCCACAGGTGATATCAGAGGTAAAATGCCCCAGCTGTCAATGAAATGTGAGATTAGAGCAACCTAGAACTCTCTGTGACAGCTGGGTATGTCCCCTCTGAATCTGGTTGGCCAGCAGGTCCACCTTCTGCACCAGAGTGAACTGGAGAAGGAGTAGAAACGGTAAGGGAGGCCCCAGGCAGATCACAAGGCCCTGCTGGGGATGATGACTTAGGGTTGCAAACTATAATTCCAAATCAATTCACAAAAAAGATTTTCGTCGGGGTTTCTTAACCTGAAGTTCGCAGATTGTTTTCCAAAAAACTCTGTGAATACCCTGACATTTTACAGAAAACTTCCCATTTGCATATGTGCAGTTTTTGTGGAGAAAGTCTGACCATATTTTTCACCACATTTGAAGAGAAATCTTGGTAGCCCCAAATATTTGTGATGCATTCATCTGGATGTAGTGATTCAGAAATAAATAAAACCTTGGTCTGTCAAAACAGTTTTTCTGCTTGGCAAAACAAAATAAGAATCTGAAAAGCAGATAGTCTTGAGTTCACATTCTAGACATAAGTTAATTCTGTTCCTTATTAACTGTGTGACTTCAGCCAATTACCCAACCTCTCTGTTTCCTTTTCTGTAATAATATCTACTTAGATATTTTGGGGGAACAGTGGGTGAGGCATAAAATTAAATAATATAAACAAATGACTAGCACATAGGAGGCAATCCTATATCATAGTAATTATTTTTACTATTTTATTGCTAATATGCTGGGGTTGCTCAGGGGACAGAGAAACTTTCTGACTGAGTTTTTGGTGACAGTATTTAGAGAAAAAACAGTGTCTGGCTGAAGGCCCTGTCTCCAAATGTTCTGGCAATGTTGCTTTTGGCTGTCCCTGGCTGGTGTCTGTCTTTACCTTGAACTGCCCTAAGATTAGAATTTCTTGTAAACGGTGACTTAATTATTCGCCTGCATCCTTTTACAACGTCGGGCTGCTTCCCCCTGTGCTCAGGGAGTTGCCTCTCTGGCTGCTGCTTAGAGTGGACTGGAATTGACTTGTCTGACTGCTCTTTTTGAGGGCATTATCTCCAGTCCCTGAAGGTAAGTGTGGAGGTGCACATACATTTTAGGCCACTCCACTCAGGCATACCCACCTGTTTTTGGTGGCCTTGTGCAGGCACTCATGTAGACTTGGCGTGGGCTTTTTAGGCAAGAAAAGTGGCCAGAATGAAGCACATCCGAGAATGAAAAAGAGAAGGTCACCACGAAAAGCTTCAGCAGCAAACCAGTGAACTAGCTGCAGATGAAAGGGAATTCCAGTCTGACTCATCATGGGATCAAGGTAGATTCTTCACTAAGTAAAGCTTGTGGTGAATTTCTGTGCTTAAGAAAGTGTTTTGCAATTGGAGAATTCCTATGCATCCTCAAAGCAAATATCACCTCCTTCCCAAAGCCTTACCTGAACCCCTAGACAGAGGGGGATGTTGCTTCCTCTGTCCTGCATGAACACTAGGACATAGCCCTACGTCTATCTAGCCCTCCTCCCCTGGGAGCTTATTCAGATGTCTGTCTTCCATTAGGCAGTGGTCGTATGCCTTACCAAACACCTTTATTTCTTTTCTTTCTCTCTTTCTTTCCTTTTTTTGTTTTTTTGTTTTGGAGTCTTGCTCTGTTGCTCAGGCTGGAGTGCAGTGGCATGGTCTCAGTTCACCGCAACCTCCACCTCCCAGGTTCAAGCAATTCTCCTGCTTCAGCCTCCTGAGCAACTGAGATTACAGGCACCTGCCACCACGCCCGGCTAATTTTTTGTATTTGTAGTAGAGATGGGCTTTTGCCATGTTGGCCAGACTGGTCTTGAACTCCTGACCTCAGGTGATCCACTCACCTCGGCCTCCCAAAGTGCTGGGGTTGAGCGAGAGAGGAAGAGAGGAAGGGAGGAAGGGAGGATGGAAGGAAGGAAGTCCTGTTTCTGAAGTGAGAAAGACATGAGTTCTGTTTCCATGTCCACAACTCACTTTATGCAAAGCCTTAAACAAACTTGAACTTCTCTGAGGTTTAGCTTCCCCTCCTCTAAAAGGGGAACATGCTGGTTGTCTTGCAGGGTTGATTTAGGGATCAAACAAAGTCAATAGGTGAAAATAAAAAGAAATGGGGTGGAAGTAATTACGAATCAGCTCCTAATTAAGAAATAAACAATGTGTTTCTCTTTCCTCTCCCTAAATTCAGTTGTTTCCCAGGCATTCGCCCCATGTGTGGACTGCAGGGATAATGTGTCTCTGGACAGAAGTCTCTCTCGTTTGACTGCTGTGGATTCCCGCAGACTCTAGAACACCAGTCTCCCTCCTCTCCTGGCCATCCTGCAGGGAGCCACCCTTGTAGTCTTTCTAGAACCCACATGTCATGCTCATGCTGAATAACACCCATGAGTTCTCCAGTGTCATCAAGATGAAATCCAAGCTCCAGTGCATGGCCCTCTGCCCTCCGGACCGGGCCTGACTCTCCTCCTTTCTCTCCCCACATCAATCCAGGGCTCCCTGGAATCACCATGCTGCTTTTGTCTTTCTGCCTCAGCCTGGGCTGCAGCTTTAGCCAGGACACGTTCTCTGCCTTTTTCTTATTCATTTACCAGGAAAACTTCTAGTTTCCTTGAAGACTCACTTCAAGGCTCTCTTTCTCCTGGAAACTTGGTTTCCTCCCAGACAGAATTCACTGCTCTTCGTCTGAGATCCTGTAACACCTTACACATATCACCATCTTGGCTCCAACCTCCTGGCTTTGTAATTATTCCTGATTTGTCTCTCCCAGTAGCCCACTATCCTCAAGGAGAAGGCCGAGGCTTATTCTTGGTTGAGTTCCCAGTTACATGTTAACGTGTGAATGAGTGAATGAATGCACCTTGAATGCCTCCATCCTTTCCAAAGACATTGGAAATGTCTCTCCTCTGAGAGAATTCTTGCCTCACGTGTGAATCAGAGCCTGACAAATCATTTATTTCTTCGGCCTGGCATCCTACCTACCGAATGGCATGGGCTTGCTCTTGCAGCCCCAAGCAGAAGCTCTTTTGTCCACACTTCCTTTCTTGTTGTTTTAGCTTCCTTTCCCTTCACTGCTAGACTGTGAGCTTTTTAAGGGCGGGGCCACATCCTGCTCATTTACACCCTTGCGTCCCAGCATCTAGCCTGGTGACAGAGCAGAACGTGGCTCTCCTTCAGACCAAGCTTACTCTCGTCTTTAAATTGTTGCAGAAGGACAAGGGAGCAGACTAAAAGGAGCCAGAGATGAAATGGTACGCTTGCCTCTTCCATCATCAGATGTTGTGAACTGACAACGTAAATATTCAGGCACCTCCAGCATCTCTTGCCCAGCTGCTCTCTGCCTAGTGCAGGTGACCCAGTCCAACTCCTCTCAATTTGCCTGCCTTTCCGCTCTCTCTTTCATCTTCTTCTTCCTTTTCTAAAAGCAGGCACTGCAATAAATTAAACTTTCATGGTTCCATTCCCTCTTTTCCCATTGAGGAACCCTAACATATTTCCTTAAGGAAATACTTTGGAAATTGTAATTGAAACACAATAATTCATAACGGAAGCGGGAGGAGGAGAGTAATAGATTTAGCTCTTGTTTCTGGTGGCAGACATGTTAATTACATTTTCTATTTCCTCTCATTACCAGGGAGCATGTCTCCAACAGGCCAGCCTGCTACTCTCCCTCCTCTCCAGCCAGCCCCACCCTGCTTCACACCCTCAGTGGGCCTGGAGGCAAGTGGAATGCACAACTGACCATGTCACTGTTTTGTTCTGAGCTCCTTGGAAGAGTTACAACCCAGCAACTCAGGTCCAGTTTCCTTAGTGGGAATCAGAGAGCCCCAAACTCTACTCTCCTACCTTAAGGGACAGCCAGACTGAGATCTCTGAATTCACATAGCCTCTTCTTGCTTCTGGGAGTCTCCATATGCCACCGAGGCCCCCGTTTCCCCTGGAGTGAGTCAGGAGGACCACTACTGCCTACCTGCTTGTGCATCTGCCAGTAACACCTGCTCCCCTATCTGTCCTGTCTCACTGCCCTTTCTAGTAACATTGCCTCGGCCGGAGAAGGCAGAATGTGTGGCTCCTGACTCCTCTGCATTCCTGTTGTCCCTTTCACACTCATGATGCCATAGTATGATTGTCTTTTACTCTCCATCTCTTTATCCCCTGCCTCAACCCCTCCCAGTGACACACAAAAAAGTATGAGAAACTGGAAGCATTGGGAGGGCAGGGCATTTATCAGGAAATTTATCAATTTCTGAACTATGTAGTACAGTGCCTGGTTCAGAACAAATTCTCAACAAAATATTTGAATAATGTACGTCTAGGCAGACTTCTTGGATCGAGACTCTCTGACTAGTGGGTGGGGAGTGGAGTCCTCAGGGTCCTTTTCTGCTGACATAAATCTTCTCTGCGTAGTAAATCCTAGAGCAAGTGTACTTTCTGCAGCTTAGCTGCACAGTCATGTCAGTGCCTGAGCCAAAAGAAACGATGGAAAAATGTGTGCCCCATACATACTTATGAAAATATTCTACCATATTTTGATCCATATAGAAAAAGCTAAAAAAGATTTGAAATTTTATGAAAATGACTTTACAAAAGCCCTGTATTGTCCAGTCTGTTCTTGCGCCGTGCTTAACCCTCCTCCTAAGCTCACCCAGGAGGGACTGTGAGGACCACGAAGCCTTGGAACCATGGACTGACGAGAAATGATTGTTCCCACTGCACAATGAGGCAGGGCTACAAAGTATGACAACAGCCTGGTTTTAAAAAACACAAAATTCAATATTATATTTATCTTGGAGTTTTGAATTAATTTTGATTTTTTGTTTGTTTGTTTTTGAGATGGAGTCTCGCTCTGTTGCCCACACCGGAGTGCAATGGCACGATCTTGGCTCACTGCAACCTCCACCTCCTGGGTTCAAGCAATTCTCCTGCCTCAGTCTCCAGAGTAGCTGGGATTACAGGCACCTGCCACCATGCCCGGCTAATTTTTTTTTTTTTTTTTAGTAGAGATAGGTCTTGCCATGTTGGCCAGGCCAGTCTCAAACTCCTGACCTTTAGTGATCCAAACTGCTGGGATTACAAGTGTGAGCCACTGCGCCTGGCCATAACGTTGACTTTTTTTTTTAATATGCCACATTCAAATATTTATCTTGATTTCTGAGTTTTTGGCATACTTAAAATTCACACCCAAGACAAATGTTTTACTTACCTCACTCTAATGCCAATCCTGCCCTTAAGGGACTTCAAAGGGAACTCCTCCCACTTCTCTCCTCCTCCTCTGAGCTCCCTTTCCTCAAAGAGCATCCAGTCCAATGGGGACGTGAACACATCAACACTCAACTCCATTATATCACATGGTAAGGTGAATGAATACAACAAAAATAGGCGTAACTGAAGTGCAGGTGTAAGCTGAGAAGGGCAGGGCTAAACACGACTGTACATTTGGGAAGCCTGGAGGCAGAATGAGGCAATGGTAAAGGCCCTGAAAGATAAGTAGATTTCTAATAAATAAAGAAGTGTAAAATGCATTCTGAGCAGAAGCCGTAGATGAACAAAAGCTTAGAGGCATTGTGTTAAGTGAAATAAGCCAGACACAGAGAGACAAATATCGCACGGTCTCATTGAAACGTGGAATCAAAAACACTCAAACTCGCAGGAACAGAGCAGAATGGTGATTTCCTGGGGCTGATGGGGGTTGATGAGAGATGGTCAAAGAGTACCAAGTTTCTTTTATGCAAGATAAGTAAGTTCTGGAGGTCTACTATACGGCAGTACCCACAGTTAACGATACTGTTTGTATACTTACTCTATGTTAAGAAGGTAGATCTTTTATTAAGTGTTCTTAGCTCAGAAAATGAAACAAAGAAAATCCAATAATAATAATGATAGAAGGGGTGGGAGGAAACACTTGGGAGGTGATGGCTAGGTTTGTGGCCTTGATGGTGATGGTTTTGCGGTTGTACATTTACCCCAAATGCATTGAGATGGATACATTAAATATGTATAGCTTTTTATAAGGCAATCATACCTTAATAAGAGATTTTTAAAAGGAAAAACTTTAGTGAGAGAAAAACATTCATGTGAGTGCAGGGTCTGGAAAGGCCCTTTCATGGATGTGGAGAGCGTGCAGGACAAGGGTGCTCTGCTTGGTTGACAGGTGCCGGACTGGCCTGGCCAGGATAGAGAGGCAGAGTCCAGGTTTCTTGGAGAGACTTCACAGACCAGAGCTGGTTCTGTCAGATGTGAGTCCTTGTCAGGAAAGGAGCAGGCTCCTCCCTAAGCTCTGCATAGCAGCCCCTCTGTAGGCCCCAAGTGGTAGTACCCCCCACCATGCTGGCACCTCTGTCTCCTGAGAGCCCCTTCTGTGGTCAGGAGCTGCCTACCAGACCCCAGGCAGCAAACTCAGGACGAGGAGAAAGTTCTCTTCTCAGCATGTTACTACCAGGAATGGAGCTTTCTAAAGAATGTGTCTTTGTCCAGTCTATCATTGTTGGACATTTGGGTTGGTTCCAAGTCTTTGCTATTGTGAATAATGCCGCAATAAACATACGTGTGCATGTGTCTTTATAGCAGCATGATTTCTAGTCCTTTGGGTATATACCCAGTAATGGGATGGCTGGGTCAAATGGTATTTCCAGTTCTAGATCCCTGAGGAATCGCCACACTGACTTCCACAATGGTTGAACCAGGTTACAGTCCCACCAACAGTGTAAAAGTGTTCCTATTTCTCCACATCCTCTCCAGCACCTGTTGTTTCCTGACTTTTTAATGATTGCCATTCTAACTGGTGTGAGATGATATCTCATAGTGGTTTTGATTTGCATTTCTCTGATGGCCAGTGATGATGAGCATTTTTTCATGTGTTTTTTGGCTGCATAAATGTCTTCTTTTGAGAAGTGTCTGTTCATGTCCTTCACCCACTTTTTGATGGGGTTGTTTGTTTTTTTCTTGTAAATTTGTTTGAGTTCATTGTAGATTCTGGATATTAGCCCTTTGTCAGATGAGTAGGTTGCGAAAATTTTCTCCCATGTTGTAGGTTGCCTGTTCACTCTGATGGTAGTTTCTTTTGCTGTGCAGAAGCTCTTTAGTTTAATTAGATCCCATTTGTCAGAAAATGTGGCACATATACACCATGGAATACTATGCAGCCATAAAAAATGATGAGTTCATGTCCTTTGTAGGGACATGGATGAAATTGGAAATCATCATTCTCAGTAAACTATCGCAAGAACAAAAAACCAAACACCGCATATTCTCACTCATAGGTGGGAATTGAACAATGAGATCACATGGACACATGAAGGGGAATATCACACTCTGGGGACTGTGGTGGGGTGGGGGGAGCGGGGAGGGATAGCATTGGGAGATATACCTAATGCTAGATGACGAGTTAGTGGGTGCAGCGCACCAGCATGGCACATGTCTACATATGTAACTAACCTGCACAATGTGCACATGTACCCTAAAACTTAAAGTATAATAAAAAAAAAAAAAAAGAAAGAAAAAAAAAAAAAAGAATGTGTCTTTGGATGGCCTTCTGGGGAAACCGGAATGTGGTGGGATGCCAGTTAGAAGAAGACAAGAGCTCCTAGCCCTAAGACGCCTTGTATGGGGCCGCCTTGCGAGGGTGGAACCCGCCCTTGTAGCCCGGGGAGAACAGGCTCTTTGAGGCCTCTGCTTCCTCCCTTGCCCAGTGCTATGCTGTAATCAGGAGATGAGTGTGCTCCCCTTTCAAGCTTCTGATGAGTAACAGGACCAAGGCAACACGGGAAGTCAGGGTGGGGATGGGAGGTACTTTGGCTTTCCTCGCCAATGCCTGGGACCTTTCCTCTCTGAGGGGTTTGGCTGATAGGCTCTTCACTCCACGCTTGGCCTCCTTCCCTGTCACACCAGGTGGCTTTCAGAAAACACATTCCACATCATTCTTATCTCTTGTGTGAGTCGGGCTGCCTCCTCCTCTGCACTCCCCAATAGTTCTAGTGTTGGCTCAGAGGCTCTGCTCCCTTCTCCCTGTAGGGACAGCTCACCCATGCACTGAGAGGGAGAGGGACTAAATGTTTATGAGTATCTTTCTGTGTTGGGCACAGAGCTACAGTCTCTCTCATGTGCGTCTTCTTAAATCACATCAATACTGAACAGTGGTGGGTTTAATTTATGTATTTATTTTTTTACAAATAAAGAGGCAGAGACTTGTTGAGGTCACATAATTTGTGCAAGGTGATCCAGTAAGACTCAGATTGTCTGGCTGCTGAACCAGCACCTTTTCTTCCATAAAGTGGGACTTTATTCTTGAGGTCACAAGGCCTTTCCTGGAGAGAAACTGAGGCGTGTAAGAGGAGGAGAAAACATATCTGAAGAAAATGTCAACTGCTCTGAGAGAAGATTCTTTCAGCTGAAGCCATTAGTTCATTCAGATCATATGTACAGAGAGTCTCCTAGCACTGGCCAGGCTGCTGCCCTCATCCACCAAACCTCCCCACTTGACAGGCTCAGCCTTCAAGGAGTACTTGAAAGTGAATTCTTCTGTGTTGTCTTCCCTGACACTGCCCCAAATTGAGGCAAAGTCATGGCTTCCTCCTCTCAGCTCCCAAAACAAGTTGCATACACTTTGCACTATGGTTTTTAATGTTAATTTAACTATGTTCTGTCTTCTAAAAATGAGAGACAAAAGGTGGGAGAAAGAGAGAGAGTGTGCGTTAATGTTATGTGTCAATATGATTAGGTAACACAGTACCCAGATATTATTTGGTTAAATATCATTCTGGGTGTGTCTGTGAGGGTGTTTCTGGATGAGATGAATTCATAGACTGAGTAAAGCACAATGCCCTTCTTCATATGAGTGGGTCTCATACAATCAACTGAAGGCCTGGATAGAACATGAAAGGGGAATAAGAAAGATCACCTCCCTCTGCCTGACTCCGAGTTGCCACATTGGTCTTCTGCCTTTGGACTCAGGCTCAGACTGGAACTTATATCGTTAGCTTGTCTGGTTCTCTGGCATTTGGACTCAGACTAAAATTATACCATTGGCTTTCCTGGGTCCAGAGAGATCGATCCATTAATATATAAGTATATAGGATACTATTACTAATAGGATATATATTTTACATATATACACACACATATATATATAGTATGTATATCTATTAGTATATAGAATACTATTACTAATGGATAAAAATTAGAAATAAAAGATATATTTTTATATATTTATGGATATATATTATAATGGATCCATTACAATATTTATAATATATACCCAATAGTAATAGTATTCTATATACTAATGGATATACATATATAATATATATCCATTATTTAATAGATACAACATAACTCTGCATTTAGGAAGGTTCCATATATCTATATCTACATGTAGATATACTACATATACACTATATATACATATATGGTATTCTATATACTAATGGATATCCATATATAATATATAATGGGTATATATTCTTTCTATATTCATATATGCTATATAATGGATATATATTCATTACTATATAGATTATACTATCTATTATATACTATATACTATATATGATATACATACATATAAAAAACGGAAATACATATCTGTAATATATATATATATAATGGAAATATATATCCATAATACATATATAATGAATATATATTCTATAGTATTCTAGATACTATTGCTAATATGATATATATATTTTATATATATCCATTAGTATATAGAATATGATTACTAATAGTACATAAGTATAGAAAACTATTAGTATATAGAATAATATTACTATTGGGACATATATATGTAATAGTAGTTCTATTTTTCTGGACAACAGAGAGAGAGAGAAAGAGAGAGAGAGAGAGAGAGAATGGGATAAATGAAGAGGGAGCAGCGGGAGACACTCCCCCACTGTTTCAGTCAGTGAGCGCGTGTCCTAGGTGGAAAATGAGACTCTGCAGTTCTGTCTGTGGGTATGAGTGGCTGCTGCCTCGAGAGGCCAAGCCCCTCACCTCACCACGAATCCTTCTAGGTCCATTGCTTTCTCACAACCTGGATCCTGGAATCAATGTAACGGCTTCACTGGGGGTTCAACTAAAGAAGGGATAACCTAGGGTCATTTTGACTCTATGTGACTTTCATTTCATCTGCATCATTTAAGAATATTGTCTTTGTGTGTAATGTGGTTCCACTATGTGTTTTTGTACATGGGTGTGCATGTGTGTGTATAACAGGAAGTAATGGGTACATATGTGACTCACTGGAATTTTTTGCCTTGACACCAAAAGCAATGTCGTTTCCTCAGTTTCCTGAGTTTACTTACAAGCAGGTTATATGAGTGACAACTTTTCTAAGATAGCTCTAAATTATGTTTGTACTTGAAGGGGACTTATACCCTAGAACAGCACTTCCATCCACAACAGCAGCTCCCTAAGAAGCAAGGCATGTGAGTGGGAGGGATGTTGCTTGCTCTTGTCATTAGCCAAATCTTACAGATGACGGTTACTTCATCTCTTCAATCCTGTGGCCATTTTTAAAAACCTGCTAATAATGGATCTGATTGGATAAATAAATACTTTGGTTGAATACACGTTTGTCTTGTTAAGAGAGAGAGAAAGACAGACTTTCATATTCCATTGAAAGTAGAGGTAATCTGGGGTTAGAATATTCATAATCTCTGTAGTTACAGGACACATTCCATCAAGCACAACCCAAATCTGTGTGTCATAGGAGCTCCAAGATACACGCTCTGACATAAAAGTTGAGTAAAAGATAAATGATTTCTGCCCCACAGAGGAGGCCTGGTGAAGGCTGATGCCGATACACAAGCACCGTTCCAAATTAAGTTTCAATGTGTAGAAAGGAAGTCGTGATACTCACTTGTAGCCACGTAGCTTATTAGATTTTCAAAGACCTTTCCCATGCTTATTCTCCCTGATCCTCAGTCCTCCAGCAGAACTGAGAAAGTTCTGCTTTCAGAAAGTTCAGGAACCATAGTTTTCTGCACCAATTCCATAAATATTTGTTGAGTACTAATATGCACTAACTTCTTTGCCTAAGACTGAGGATATAGAAACAAATAAAACTGTCACCATTCTTGACCTCATGAAGCCTACATTCTAGTGGGGAAGACAGTCTGAACAAAGAATTATAAGTTGGCATCTGTCACCTAAGGAGAATGGGTTGCTATAGAAGAATATTGGTAGGGGATCTAATAGTGGTGGTCATGGATGGAATAATGGAGAGAATCACATTTAAGCTGTGTCCCCCCGAAGTTCTGACACATGGAGTGAATAAACGGAGCCATTGCTAACTGGGGAAGTAAAGTTTGTTCATCAAAAGGCAGGTGTATTAGTCAGGGTACTTTAGAGGGACAAAACTAATAGAGTATTAGTTTTATTAGTGAGAACTAATTTATATAATAATAAAATATTACATATTATATAAATAATATATATTTCATATATATACTCCTATATATAGGAGTATGTGTGTGTATATATATATATTATATATATATACATATATTATATATATGAAATAGAAGGGGAGTGTATATATACATATAAGAGTTTGTTAAGTATTAACTCACATGATCGTAAGGTCCCACAATAGGTCGTCTGCAAGCTGAGGAGCAGGGAAAGCCAGTCTGAGTCCCAAACTGAAGAACTTGGAGTCTGATGTTCAAGGGCAGGAAGCATCCAGAAAGATGTAGGCTGGGAGGCTAGACCAGTCTCTCTTTTCACGTTTTTCTGCCTGCTTATATTCTAGCCGTGCTGGCTAGAATATTAGATGGTGTCCACCCAGATTAAGAGTGGGTCTGCCTTTCCCAGCCCACTGACTCAAATGTTAATCTCCTTTGACAACGTACTCACAGACACACTCAGAATCAATACTTTGCATCCTTCAATCCAATCAAGTTGACACTTAGTATTAACCATCACAGCAGGCATTTGATACTTCAGAACACAGCTTTGGTACACCCTGGATTGGAAATTGTGGTTATATGTTAGTACCTAGTACATCTAATGCCCTGTGATAGATTCTGTGATTGTAATAGTGAATAACTAAAATACATCAGAGTATTCAAAGCTAAGTATTTTATCATCATTTTATATAATAACAAAAGCTATCTCAAATTTTCTTGTGAAAATTAAATAGAATGAGCTGTGTATTCTGGGACATAGTAAATGCCCAATAAATGGAGCTTCAAAAACATCACCATATGCAATGTGTAAATCTTAAATAGATCCTGACTTAAAAAATAAAAACTATAATGAACATCCTTGGGACAGTTATGAAAACTTGGATTTGAGTTGGATATTCAACATTAGGGCATTATTGTTAGCTGTCTTATGTGTGACAATGACATTGAGGTTGTGAAGGAGAATATACATGCTCTTAAATCATGCATGAGCAAGTATTTATGGGTGAAGTGTCATGACGGTTGCAACTTATTTTCAATGGTTCAGAAATATAGTGAGATAAAGAAGAATGTTACTAGTAGTTAAATGTAGGTTGTTGGTTTATGGGTACTCTTAATCTATTCTTTCAACTTTTCTGGATATTTGAAAACTCTCAGAATAAAAAAACTGAGGGAGAAAAAGAAATTGTGGTTTAGACTTGAAGTTCAATTGGGACTTCCTGTCTTTGAATTTAAATTTTAGATCTGTATACCCAGGTATGCTGAGGTCTTCAGAGAAAATTGGTGGTGGAGAGTGGTGGGTAGCAGGGAGAGAGAAAGAAAGAAAGAGGGAGAGAGAGAGAAAAAGAGAGAATACCTTGATTCAGATTTATGATTTTGCAGTACAGAAGTTGAGAGCCGTGTATACCTTTGGAGGTGTCAGAATACCAAGTGAGAGCTGCATTTAACACAGAGACCCTGCCTGCTAGTAAAATATAGTTTAATAAATTCGAGTTCTCACTAATTCGATTAATAAAAAGTCTCTTTTTGGGAAAATGGGAGCTGGTGGAGCATTTGTAAACCTACTCCCCCAATAGGAAGAAGGAAGAATTATTTTTCACTGAGTTCACATTGCTAGTGAGGAGAAAGGGAAAAGGCATCACATGCCAGCCTGTGCCTTTTCCCTACCCCTCATGCAGGAGTGAGTGGGACTCTATTTGCAGATGGCCTAGGAACGTAGGCAATCCTCAGATATGGTAGACCTTGTGAGTTTGGTCAAGGAGTTTGGATATAAACCTCTGAAGATTTCTAAAGAGCATAGTTGCAGGATAATATGTGCATTTTAAAATCATCATTCTGGTGTGGTAACAAATATTTGTCAGAAGAGCAAGAGACCAAATTAAGATTCTGTTATAAAAATTTAAGGAAGAGACAACAGTGGCTTGCTCTGGGATAGAGGCGGTGGGACAGGAGAAAGGTGAATGTCTGAGAGGTCCTCAGGAGGTGATTGGATGTGAGTGGGATGAGTCAGAGAGAGGAGTCACAAGACACTTCTGTGGTTCCAGCTTGAGCAGCTGGGTGGATTGTGTTGGGACAATAGCTGGGGAGCTGTTTTGGAAAGCAGGAAAGTTATGGGATAGTCAGAGACATCTCAGGTTTTAATTAACTCTGAGTCACCCAAATGAAGTTGCCTTAACATTGCTGGATACATGGGTATGGATTTCAGGAGGAAAGACTATACTGGAGCTAGGGATTTGGGAGATGTTAGCATATACATAGTAAATGCATTCAGGGACTGAGGGGTTTTTCTGAGAAGCACGATTTTTAGTGCTAAAACCAGGAGCATCCTGACAAACCAAGACGAATTGGCCACCCTACTCATAAGTAAATGTGCTAGTGAGGAAGGCATACGAAAGAGATGAGGAGAAGATATTCCAGAGATATATTCTCAAATATGAGGCAGCAAACAAGGGGAGCTTTACTAACAGTCAACAGAGTCCTGTCCCTAATGGGGCATGAATCTCTATATGCCCAGAGAAATGCCTGTCCATGTGCCCACTAAATGCCTGATTATTGTAATTAATCTTTTATTTGCTCACATGAAAACGTCAATACTTCACTCAAAACCATTAGATTTAGGGTCTTCATTGTCTAGAGAACAGTGTTCAAATTTCTTGTTTGAACACTTACGTTTCTCAGCAAATATAATGTGGATTTTGCTTCTTCATTTCCCCTTCATAATCCCAGCTCTCCAGCTACATGGATTAATTTTTCATGCTTGGAGTATCTATTTTCCATTCATCATTTATCTGTAGAACTTTGGAAAGGCCCTCCCTGCCTCCAAAGTGCCAGCATTATTTGTCCATCTCAATGTCACCTCCTTCGTAAGACCTTCCTCATCTCATCATGCTCTTAGCATCCCCTCAACAAGCATTCATGATGCTCCCGTTGTTCAGGCTCTGTGCAAAGGTCTGTAGATAAATATATAACTAAGGGACAAGCGTTGTCTTTAAGAGGAAGCTTTGGGTTTCACCTTCCTTCTTGGTGCCCCCAGAGCACTTACTTTTTATGTACCATCTGCTCTGCATTTTAGCTGCTTTGGCATTTGTCCAAAGGAAGAAGGTGCTTTGGACAGAAGGCTGGACTCGGGAGCCAGGGCACCTGGTTCACCCCCTGCTCTGCTGCCGCCCCTCCATTAGTTGCCCAATGTCTTTTTTTTCTTTTTTCTTTTTTTTTTTTTTTTGGTTTTTGAGATGGAGTCTCTCTCTGTTGCCCAGGCGGGAGTGCATTTTTCATGTGATCTCGGCTCACTACAACCTGTGCTTCCTGGGTTCAAGCAATTCTCCTGCCTCAGTGTCCCGAGTACATGGGATTACAGTCACCTGCCACCATGCCTGGCTAATTTTTTTTTTGTATTTTTAGTAGAGGCAGAGTTTCATCACATTGTCCAGGTTGGTCTCCAACTCCTGCCCTCAGGTGATCCACCCTCCTCGGCCTCCCAAAGTGCTGGGATTACAGGCATGAGCCACCGCACCCAGCCTGCCCAATGTCTTAGAGCCTCCGTTATCTCGTTCATATCATAACCTCATAAAGTAGCAGTATGGATCCGATGAAATAATTGATATAAAAATGGCTTCTTTACTGTGAAAAAATGCATATATATGTATATGTCCTCATTTGCTGCTCAACGTCAGAGAGCATGGGTCAGCTTTATACCACACAGCAAACTTGCCTCATCTGTTTCTGGTATAGACTCAAAACTCCATTAATGCCAAGTAACATCTGACGGTGTATGGGTGGAAAGGAGACAGTCTCAGGTGCTGAAAGAAGAGGCGATCAAACTTAATGACAAATTTTGCTGTGTTCTTTATGAATATGCAGAAAGCTTGGGAAATGTCCTTGAATTTATAAAATTAGGTGAAAGGAATGAGATAAGTCTCGACATGTCTGACTTTTCATGCCTATAGGCACCCATTTTTCTGCAGACACATGGGGGCTGTGCATCTTCTTGTTCTGCTGGGTCTTAGAATTGTGGAAATGCAGCCTCCCACAACTCACGGGGCATTGAAGAGACCCTGACTCTCTTCCAATGTTTAGGGAGGAAACTGAGCTCCTGAGAAAGGACTGAAGAATCCAAGCTAGAGAGAGTTAGAGGAACAAAGAGTCTACAAGTTTGAGCTTCAGCTCTCAACAGGGCCTTTCACCTCCCTGCTACCTGGGGGCTCTGTCTTAGCTGTCACAGTGCAGCCAGCACTGTCAATGATCTATCAATTGGCAGCTCTCTTATGTTTTGGTCTGGAGCCACTTTAGATGTGATGAACAAGATTAATTTTGAAAAATAATGCTGTGTTCCAATAAAAATGGCTCATGTACTGTCAAGACCAATTGGAGTCCTTTTTTTTTTTTTTTGCCTTAGTAGGGAGAAAAGGTATTCCATGTCGTAAGTTACATGTTAAATTAGTAACAATGGTTAATTTTAACAATCATTGTCTAAAGCTGAATAGGATGCAGATATTTATTGATGCCACTTTCTGTTCTGGTAGTAATTTTGTATTACTGATGTACTCTTGCAAGTAGTCAGGCAATTTTGACTTGTTAAAATAATTTTAAAAACACAGAAAGAAGGACAGTTGACAATTTAACAAGATGAAAGATGGTTTTAAGTTTAGGATCAGGCAATAAGAAACACAAAATACATGAAACCCTTACTCCTTTGTTTGCTGGTGCAGGTTTGAGGTCTCTGCTGTTAGGCAGGAAAGGGTGGGAACTCTCCTCCACCCTTCCCCTTCCTGCCCCTCCACTGACTGAACAGGCAAAAGAACATCAGGACGACTCATACCGAAAGCCGGGGGTGCTGGGGCCTTGCAAACCAGGTCACCTGACAGAGCTTTTGCTTCTATGAGCCTGGATGAAACCAGCTATACAATAAAGCCAATAAAAAGAAAAGAAGATGCCTTAGTGCCACATAAATTTGGCAGAAGTGAACATCTCACTGATTAAAAATACATTTTAAATAGAAGAATTATATGGCATGTGAATTATATCTCAGTCAAGCAGTTGTGAAATATATAACACCCCCTGCTTACACACACATGCAACTACTACATCACATGCAGGCACTTGGCCTCTCTGCCTATCAAAAGTAGCTTGCATTTGTACAGCTCCTTGCAATTTACACAGGGCCTTCATACGCCAGTGGTTTCACACTTAGGAATTGAACAGAGAAGTAGGAAAAAGGAAACAGAGAGTTTACCCTTACAAGATAATTGATGTTCCTAAGGTCATACAGTGAATGAATGTCAGAGACAGAGCTTGAGTTTTAATCCCAGTATTCTTTACACCACCTCCCTATCAGTGTCTCCGTGGAGGTGAGGGCATGGGCTTTGCAACATTTTAATTTCTCAAGGTTACCATGAACTCTAATAGTAAGGAGGGAATGCTAGGAAGAAGAGAAAACTTATGTCTTGGAGGGAAATTCTAAATAGATGTTTTCTATTAAGTTCTAGAAATATATTCAACACAATTGAAAAAAATTGTGGAATCTCTATTATCTGTCAAGTCTATGCCGTCCTCATTTACTCTCCATGTAAAATTAGTGGATTTCTGAGGATCCTGCATAAGCCTAATATTTAATGAATTTAGATTTCTTAAGGAATCAAAATTTTGTATTGGTGAATTAGAACATGACCAGAAGTCAACCAAAGTCTCTCCCTGAGGGAAAGAGTAACTGAAGCTTGAATAATGTGTGGACTCAGGAAGTCAGGGGAAGGCACTGCTGCTGAGAAGATGAATGTATACAAATCTATGAACTAAAGAATTCAAGAAATGAGTTACCAGACCGAGGTGTGTGCAAGAACATTCTGGAAGGGGGCAAATGGGACACAAAGTTGACATCAGACAACTTGGAATTGAAAAGGGAATTAGAGAATTGGCAACTGGCAGAAAGCTTTCAAATGAAGGACATAGGGCCTGAGGTAGAGGAAGTAACTTGCCCCTTGAAAGCCACACAACAGCAAGACAGAACCAGGGCTGGCCCTGGAAGTCAGGTTCCCAGATTCGTGGTGTGGCCCCCACGATACTGCTCTGCACGTCATATCTGAGCATGAGACGACTCAGAAATCTTTGCTGATTCAACCTTTCTGCCTCTGCATGTAAATGCCACCATGCCTTCCCACATTGCCTCTCTCCCACGTGAAACATCTGGTTTGAGGTTCACCAATAATAGCTTAAAACCACAAGTCTAAGTCAGTGGGACCCAGAATTGTCAAAAGAATCACCCAAAAATCCAGGGAAAAGGAAACAGATGACTTGGGTTTAACATACTTTAATCGTGCTCTCTAGATGACGGTTTTAAATAAGTATGCCATAGAAATAGATAACATGGCAGCCATGATTCTCTTTTTATCGAACAATTACCCTTTAAATTCTCAGGCCCCTCAGTAGGAGCCTACCTTTCAAACTTAAGGGCTCTTCTCTCCGTTATTAGTGACGTGCTTTTCCCATTCCTGTATGTTAATTATTTTATAAAAATTGAAGGGATTTAACATTGAAATCTCTGCCTTGGGCCCTCTGAGTTCCAGGAAACTCTCTTCCAACAGTAGTAGGAGGCCAGCTCTGCCTGGACATCCCACCTGCACTGTGTCCTCATCATGGGGTGAACTAAACTAATCTCCCCCAAGCCATGAAGTTCCCCATCTCAAGGACAGGAATCCCTGCACACCCAGCTATGCAGTGCAGAAAGAAAGACAGGAGTCAGGTAAATAAATACATTGTTAATGGAGTAGATGTTGTTGCTGGAGGTTCTGGCAATTAGTAAACGGGATAGTTACTGCAACTACCTATACAGTAAATTTCTCATCTTTACAATTAAAGCATTAATGTCTATTCATTACAGTGTTTTGAAGAGTAAGAAAATATACTTAATATACTTTGCACAGTGCCTAGTACATATTAAGTACTCAATAAATGCTAGTTGTGTTTATTATAGCTATGGTTCATATCTCGCCGAATCCCATCATTCAGCATGGGACATGGGTACAGTACAGTATGCACATAATAACTATGTGATCCCTAAAAGAATAAATGCATTTGAATCCTGCACACATTCCATGAGCTTAGTAATGACTTAACTCTCCCATGTAAGAAAACTGAGTCTATGTTGGTATATATTTTTCCCTCTGAGATGAGGTCTTGCTATCTTGCCCAGGTTGGAGTGCTGTGGCTATTCACAGCCAAATCATAATGCACTACAGCCTTGAATTCCTGGGCTCAAATGGTCCTCCTGCCTCAGCCTCTGGCGTAGCTTGGACTATAGATGTGTGCCACCACACCGAGCTGTGTTGGTGTATTTGAAATGTATTTTTCTGAATGATACATTTGGTGGCTTTCAACTGTAAAGCTAAATATATGGTTATAATCTAGTAATGATAATGGAGGTTTCATAACCAAGTTAGAAAAGAGATGCTATTCACCCTACCTTGGAATTCTAGGAAGATTCAGGGAAGTTGTAATATCTCCTAGCAGTATTACTAGAGTGCAGACGTTTACCACCCTGGTGTGCCAGATACCATTCTAGTGCTTTCCCATGCTACTCCCTTTAAGTGCTCATCAAAACTTGGGAGTAGTTGATATTTCTTCCAATTACAGAGAAGGGAAGTGAAGTTCAGAAAGTCAGAGTAATGTTTCCATCTTACGCAGCTGTGAGTTTTAGAGTCAAGTTTCAAACCCAGGTTTGGGTGGCTCCAGTGCCCTATTATTTTCCATAACACTACCCTGCCTCCCACGAGTTTCCTGAAATAGAATTAGAAAACTATGTGACTCATAGTCCTCCTGGCCACAAAGTCATTTCAAAAATCTCAGGCTTGAAGATGACTTTGAATGACAACAGGTCAGGCAATCTTCCTCCTCCTCATCTCCTCCCCGATGGTGGAGTCACCTCTGTGGTGTCTACCAAGCAATTTGTACTCCACTTGAGCACGTCCAGGCACAGAGAGCTGACTACATCTGGTAATGGCCAATAGATGGGAGAGGAAGAGAGGTCCTTTGATTCCACCTCTTACTATGTGATAATTGGTGTTGAGGCCCAAAGAAAGGCTAAGAGTTGTCCAGGACCATGCATTGAGGACTGCATGTCCAGATGATGGAGGTTAGTTTTCTAGAGCAGCTTCACCAGACCCAAGGCCACACTGAAAAGATCTGAGAAATAACACTACCAAATCACAGAATATTCATCCCAAAAGATGCATTAAAATAGAAGAAGGTGACTCCAACTCACCATGGGCAAGATCCACACTTTCCAGATTGTTCTCTCACATAGGAACGCGATTGGTCTGAAATGATGTTCTTTTCCCTGCCTGATTCCCTGTAAGAAAAGGCAATAAACGCTACCAACATTTACTAAGAATGTTACAATCGACAAAACCTTCTTCTGATCTTCACACTAATTCTGTAAAGAAGGCAATGCAGAATTAATCTCTATTTGTCAGACAAGGGACCTGAGATTCACTAAGTATTGTATTAGTCAGTGTTACAGGCAAATCGCTACAAGAAAAAACAATCTTTAATATGTGAAGCTACTGGGATATGGGGTCTTTATCACTCACATCGCAGTCTGATGTGAGTTGGCAGCAAGAATGTGGGAGGATTCATTTCCATGCACTCTCGCAGAGATCAAGGATCCTTCTATCTAATAGTTTTCCACTCAATTACCATCCAGTGGTCTACTTGGAGTCCTCCATCACCCTTTGCCTATCCAGCAGAGGAAGGAAGAAACAGTAGGTGGAGGATCACATGGGAAGTTTCAATGGTCCAGGCTTGGAAGTTGAATATGTTACTTTTGCTCAAAGTACATTAGCTAAAATTCAGGCACAGAGTCCCACCTAACTACAAGAGAATTGGGACAGGTCACCTAACTGTGTGCCCAGGAGGAAGGGCGAGCTAATATTGGTGGTTTAATGCACATATAATAGTTTCTGTCATAATCATCTTGATTTCACAGTATACAATGTGTGTGATTTCAACACAATTATTCTAATGATTTTGTGTGGGGTCTTTCTCAGGACTGCATCCTGAAGATATATGAATCCTAAGTATTCGCTTCCAGGTAGTGAAGCAGGGCCCTGTGATTTTTCTCTTCTGCTAACCGTGATTATGACCATCGTTGGTGATTTCCAAGTCCTGGCAATAATTCTTACACCATGGGGGGCTGGTGTCTATCTCTGAGGACTAACCTCCTCCTAGTTATTCAGCATCCTCAGATTCCTCTAGTCTTTGCAAGGTTATCTTTGTTCAACATTTCACTGAGTACTTGCATTGTGTCAGGCAACACAGAAACTCAGGAGACCGGAGATTCAGAAATAAATAAAATGCAGGGTTGTACCAGAAATGCCCTGTTTTTCACAGCTCACACACTGTCTAGTTGAGAAGCCAGGAAGACAAGTGATTAAAAATGAGGCCGACAAGTGTTGTAACAAATGTGAGCACACAGAGTAATGGGAACAAAGGGAGAATAAAAGCAGTTGTGCCTGGGGATAGCTTCAAAGTAGAAACAATTTTTCAGATAAATTTTGAAGGATAAATAATTATTCCCAATGAGAACGCATTACAGGCAGAAGCAAAATTCTGTACCCATCACAAGGACCAGATAATAAGAACAATTTTAGCTTGGATGTTGCTTAGGAGTGTGATGATAAAGAATGGTAGAAGATAAATTTGAATTGAATTTGAAAATTTCAGAGTTTGGACACAGATTGCAAAAAATTTGAAAATCATATAAAGGATTTCAGATTCTTGCCTTGCAGCCTTCAGGAGAAGTAACTGAGCAATAGTTCAAACACTGGTTTTTCCAAACTTGCTTTTTGGTCACTGTATCCATCTGATCTTTCTTCCGTCTTTACTAAAAAAGAAAAAATGAAAATGCTGTTTTGCTAAGGAAACTAAGAACACTTACTGAACCATTCAAATTTCCTTTCTCTCCTTCATTCCCTCTCCCTCTCTTCTTCTGTTAGTCATTTTCAAAGTACTCTCTTAGTGCCGGGTCCTGAGCCTAAGTATTCAGAGATATGTGTAAAATCACTACCTTCAGAAAGTTCACAATCTAATAAGAGAGGCAGATAAATAGACAACTGCAGCCCAGCACATGCTGGTAGAATGTTACTCACAGCTGCTGGGAGAACACTGCTTCCTGACCAGGGTCCAGGAGACCAGAGAACATGAGGAGATGATGCTTGTGTGATTTAACTTTAAAGGAGCCTTGCTTCATTAAATTTCTCAGTAGTAAGGTCTTATTTTGAAGAGGTCCTAATTACACTGCCCTACTAGAGAACAAGTCTGCAGGTTACACTAATACAAAACCTTTCAATGATCTGAGTTAATGGAGTGGCAAATGACATGGATTCGTGGCATTCTAGTATGGCAGCAAGGGTGTCCCTTTTTGGCAGGGGGTCTTTATGGCGTCTTTAAAATTGTTGGTAACTACACATTGCACTACTTTGAAGAAAGCCTGACCTTGACCGCCAGCCAAATAGATACAGAAGAATGGCCTTGGGGGAAGAGTCAATGCTTTCTGCAGGAGCTACACTGCTCAGAAGCCACAAAAGTGATGCTTCATCATCTGGCACCCTCCCACATAAACTGTGCCCCCGGGCCCACAGCCGCCTCTCAGAAGCAATGGCACTAAGCTTTTACTGTCTCCAGCGTGCACCAACCATGTCTTTGTGGTTAGCAGATGCATTGGTTTCGCAATTAAAGGCTAATGAGCCTGAAAGGAAACCATGAGTCTGACCTTAGAAGATTTCGTGTGCTCAACTTCACTGAATCATCAATGAATTTATGAGCCAGGTGAAGGATTTCCAGAGACAAGATGCGCAACCATTCCCCAAAATGTGACTTTGGGGGAAAAGGGAGAAGGGTTAGAGTAGTTAGAGTACCTGTTTTCAGATCTGGGAAGAGTCTCTCAAATTTTCAATCCCAATTTTAATCTTGTGAATCTTTCATTAATCCTATATTCCTTTTTTCACTTTTCAAGTTGTCCTCAGAGAACACAGATTTTATCTGGCCTGACCCTTCTAATTACAGCTGAAATAAAAATCCTTGTCATGAGAGTAACGGCACCTTCACCTTGAATTAAAAGATCATTCTGGATCATTGAAACGAGAAGTACTTTGCTTAACGGAGCATCAGTGGGGGCCAGTTGAGTTTCTGTGCTCATTGGTTCTGTTAGTGTGTTTAGGTTTACAGAACAATGTGAACTCCTTTCTTCATGGGTGCTCATTGTCTTAGCAGAGTGTGACTTCCCTAATCTCACTTCTGACAAAGGTGTTTATTTATCCACAGTTTTATTCCATCTAACTTTAGGAAATTACTCTTGCTAACTTGTTCATTATGCATTCCTTTGCTATTCTTTTAGTGGATACCTAGATATTATACCATGCATCTTGAGATATCGCTGTCTAACACAAATTATTACTTTTACTACTTTCATACTCCTGCTAGAGACTTAGGGCACTTTAATGTCCTTTGCACACTCTTGCCTTGAATAATAGTGACTGTTAGGCCTTTTCATTGGAATTCCCAGGACATTCAAGTTATTGCATTTTTTATAGCCAATATTAATTCCTCTACCTCCATAGTTACCCTTTCCTGTGTTCTTCATTCCCTCATACATTTTCATGTTTCCATCAATAACTATTTTCCTTCTGTAAGGTGATACACTTTTCCAGCTTTTGTTTACCAAAAACATCTTTATTTTATCTATATGCTTCAGGAATATTTTAATTGACCATTAAATTCTAGATGATGATTAATTTTCTTTGTATTTTTGTAGCTTAAAGGTGATGAGCTTCCTGAATATTCGGACTGTCTTTTATCAATTTTGGAAAATCCTTAGCCATCATCTGTTTGAATATTGCTCTAATCTGTTTCCTCTCATCCTTCTAAGACTCCAGTTACACATACGTAAACATGTCTGAGCGTGTCCTGCATATCTTTCCCTTTTTAAAAAAAATCTGTTCCTTCTTCTTTCTTTGTTTAAGTTCTGGAGTACATGTGTAGGGTGCGCAGGTTTACAGAGGTAAATTGTGCCATGGTGGTTTGCTGCACCTATCAACCAAACACCTAGGTGTTAAGCCCCGCATGCATTAGCTATTTTTCCTGACGCTCTCCCATCCCCCACCCACCCTTCCCCAACAGGCTCCAGTGTGTCTTGTTCCTCCCCTTGTGTCTATGTGTTCTCATTGTTCAGCTCCCACTTATAACTGAGAACGTGCGGCGTTTGGTTTTCTGTTTCCGTGTTGGTTTCCTGAGGATAATGGCTTCCAGCTCCAACAATGTCCCTGCAAAGGACATGATCTCCTTTCCTTTTACAGCTGCGTAGTATTCCATGCTGTATATGTACCACATTTTCTTTATCCAGTCTATCATTGATGTGCATTTGGGTTGATTCCATGTCTTTGCTATTGTGAATAGTTCTGCAATGAACATACGTGTGCACGCATCTTTATAATAGAATAATTTCTATTCCTTTGGGTATATATCCAGTAATGGGACTACTGGGTCAAATGGTATTTCTGATTCTAAATCTTTGAGGAATCGCCACACTGTCTTCCATAATGGTTGAACTAATTTACGTTTCCACCAACAGTGTAAAAGCATTCCTATTTCTCCTCAACCTCTCAACTCTTGTTTCTTGACTTTTTAATAACCGCCATTCTGACTGGTATGAGATGGTATCTCATTGTGGTTTTGATCTGCAGTCCTCTAATGATCAGTGATGTTGAGTTTATTTTCATATGTTTGTTGGCCACATGTATGTCTTCTTTTGAGAAGTGTCTGTTCATGTCCTTTGCCCACTTTTCAATTTTTTTTTTCTGTAAATTTGCTTAAGCTCCTTGTGGATTCTGGATATTACACCTTTGTCATATGGATAGATTGCAAAAATTCCCTCCCATTCTATAGGTTGTCTGTTCACTTTGATGATGGTTTCTCTTGCTGCGCAGAAGCTCTTTAGTTTAATTAGATCTGATTTGTCAATTTTTGATTTTTTTTTTGCAATTGTTTTTGGCAATTTCATCATAAAATCTTTGCCCATGCCTATGTCCTGAAAGGTATTGTCTAGATTTTCTTCTAGGGTTTTTATAGTTTTGGGTTTTACATTCAAGTCTTTAATCCATCCAAAGTTAATATTTGTACACGGTGTAAAGAAGGGGTCCCACTTCAATTTTCTGCATATGGCTAGCTAGTTCTCCCAGCACCATTTGTTATATAGGGAATCCTTTCCCTGTTGCTTGTTTTTGTCAGGTTTGTCAAAGGTCAGATGGTTGTAGGTGTGTGGTGTCTGATGTTCTTAATCCATTTTTGTTTGTTTGTTCCTCTGGTTGGTTGTTTTCATTATTTTTTCTCTCTATCTTTTAGTTTGGATAATTTTTCTGTTGATTTGTCCTTCAGTTCACTCATTCTATATTCTTTTGTGTCTAATCTGCTGTGAAATTCATCAGTTGGATTCTTAATTTAATCAATTGCATTTTTTCATTATAAAATGACCATTAGTCTTTCTTGGATACTGAAGTAATATTTAAATCTAAGCAACAGCAACTAGCATGCATACAATAATTTACATTAAGCAAACTGGTATTGCTTATTTGTCCTCATGTAGTATCTATCATTATATTGTATTATCCCCTCTTTGAAGATGAAGATGGCAAGGCTACACAGAGTGTAACAGGTCTGTTTTTAGATTACTGTAGTTTCCCAAAGTAGCTATGAGGAAAGAGATTTCTTTCGTTTGAACTGCCTAGATAGACCATTGCTATTGGTCAATTGCACCAGGATCTTTTATTCCTTGGGCCATATCCACATTGCTGCTATAGATTGGAAGTGTCCCCCAAAGTTTATGTGCTGGAAACGTAATCCTCAGTGCAACAGCATTGAGAGGTGAGACCTTTAAGTGGTGATTTGGTCAGGAGGGCTCTGCTCTCATGAATGAATTAATGCTATTTACGAGGGAGTAGGTTAGTTGTTACAGGAGTGAATTTCTTATAAAAGGATGAGTTCAACCCCCTTTCCAATCTCTCTCTCATGCATGCTCTCTTGCTTTTTTGCCTTCTGCTGTGGTATGATGTGGCAAAAAGTCTGTTGCTTGATGTGGGGCCCTTGACCTTGAACTTCCCAGCATCCAGATTGTAAGAAATAATCTCTGCTCTCTATAAATCACCCAGTCTCAGGTATTGTGTTATAACAGCACAAAATAGACTAAGACAACTGCTGCATCAGGACCAAAGTGGCCAGAGCCTGTCCACATCGCTCTTTGGGGTGTCTCCACAGACCTTTCTGGGTTCCACTGCAGCCCTCTGACACCAGAGTATTCTGAATTCATTCTCCGTTTCTTTCGAGATCACTGTCCAATTAGGCAAGGTTTCTTTTCCATCCTTTTACTTATTTTTTGTTTATGAAATTATTCTTTTCAGATACTGGAAGTTCCTAAATCAGAATAAGGAGAAGTTTTGGTTTCAAGGAAATCTTGCTTCAAACAGCAGTTCTGATACAAGTAACTGTGTGACCTCAGGCAAGTCACAACACCTCCAGGAATTTCCATTTCTTTGGCTGTATACTGAAAATAGTGTTTGTTGCATGGATTAAAGAAAACTATTACAGCATTTAGAAAATTGCATGGCCTAGTGTAGGTTCTTATTATAATGTTATCAACTCTGAAAATGTAAAGGACATATCCTGGATTTTTGAGAACAGCCTAAATAGCAAATAATTGTTTCATTATTAAGTACTGTGTTCCAAGTTTTGGTTCAGAATATGTGGTTACATCTTATATTAACAAGATATCATTATAAGCCACTTTATTCTTGAGAATTTCCTTCCCCCTAATGTTTGTCCTTAAGATCAGAAGTCACAACCTCTAATTATTAATTTCTAAATAGGCTGCATTTTTTATATTATACTCTAAGTTCTGGGATACATATGCAGAAAGTGCAGGCTTGTTACATAGTATACATGTGGCATGGTGGTTTGCTGCATCCATCAACCCGTCATCTACGTTAGGTATTTCTTATAATGCTATCCCTCCCCTTGTCCCCCACCCTCTGACAGGCACCGGTGTGTGATGTTCCCCTTCCTGTGCCCATATGTTCTCATTGTTCAACTCCCACTTATGAGTGAGAACATGTGGTGTTTGGTTTTCTGTTCCTGTGTTAGTTTGCTGAGAATGATGGTTTCCAGCTTCATCCATGTCCTGCAAAGGACATGAGCTCATTCTTTTTTATGGCTGCGTAGTATTCCATGTTATATATGTGCCACATTTTCTTTATCCAGTGTAACATTGATGGGCATTTGGGTTGGTTCGAAGTCTTTACTATTGTGAAAAGTGCTGCAATAAACATAGGTATATGTGTTTCTTTATAGTAGAATGATTTATAATCCTTTGGGTATATACCCAGTAATGAGATTGCTGGGTCAAATGGCATTTCTAGTTCTAGATCCTTGAGGAATTGCCACACTGTCTTCCACAATGGTTGAACTAATTTACACTGCCACCAACAGTGTAAAAGCATTCCTATTTCTCCACATCACCTCCAGCATCTGTTGTTTCCTGACTTTTTAATGATCACTATTCTAACTGGTGTGAGATGGTGTCTCACTGTGGTTTTGATTTGCTTTTCTCTAATGACCAGTGATTATGAGCTTTTTTTCATAAGTTTGGCCACATAACCGTCTTCTTTTGAGAAGTGTCTGTTCATATCCTTTGCCCACTTTTTAATGTTTTTTTTTTTTTCTTGTAAATTTGTTTAAGTTCCTTGTAGATTCTGGGTAATTAGATCCCATTTGTCAGTGTTGGCTTTTGTTGCCATTGCTTTTGGTGTTTTAGTCATTAAGTCTTTGCCTATGCCTATGTCTTGAATGGTATTGCCTAGGTTTTCTTCTAGGGATTTTATGGTTAATAGGCTGTATTCTTTGGCCATCACTGCACTGGCTCTCTGGAGGATGTTCTGACTAATTGTTTTCTGTCTACAAATTCACAAAAGCCTCCAATGTAAGTAAATACACAAATAAATCTTCAGAGTCAAATATATCACAGTAATTATTATTCTTGTGTTTTTTTTAATTATAAAATAAAAACATAGGCATTCATATTGGTAAAAGTATTCTGATGCTATTTGGCCAAATATTCCAGTTTATAGAGAAGAAAATAAGGCTAAAGAGGGCCAATTCTTCACCAAGAAGGTAAAATAGTGGATAGGCAGCAGCATTAGAACTGGGATTCAGTTCCCTCAAGTCCTGAATATTGAAATGCTCACCCCTTCCCTAGTAGGCACTTCAAGTTTTGCATAGGCCTCTTATCAATCCATATGTTCAGTTCCAATATTAGTATTTCTATACTAGAGCTATAGTCATTCTGAATCCATAGTTTTGAGGACAGACACCAAAGTTGACTTATGCACTCATGGACCAAATCCCGGGGACAATTACATTTGGGCAGATGATTTCCTGAAGACAGTTAAACAAACCCCTATAGAGATGTCATGCTCATCTGTCTTTGGTCACTGGGTCTAACAATTGGAACTTTCCCTGGTGCAGCCAGGAGAATTTCCATGCAGTCCAAGACAACATGGCATTCACCAATTCATCAGATGACTCGGTTTGAGGCTCTCCTTAAACCATGGTGAGGCTAGAAGACTTGATTTTCACTTCCAGATTGCTCTCCTCAGTGTGGGTGGGGCTCATCAAATCTGCTGTGAGCCTGAACAGAACAAAAAGGCAGAGGAAGGAAGACTTTGCCCTCTTTGCTTCCTGCCTACCTGCATGAGCTGGGATGTAGGTCTCTTCTTGTTCTTGAACTGGAATTTGTGCCCTTGGCTTCCCTGGTCTCAGCCTTCAGACTTGGCCTGGAATTACACCACCAGCTTCCAGTTTGTAGACAGTGGGATTTCTCAGCCTGTGTAACCTCATGAGGGAATTTGTCACAGTAAATCTCTCTCTCTCCCCTGACTGTCTCCATATCTCCTGTATATTTATAAATATAATTATATATATCCTATATGTTTATATATAAATATATATATTCCATCTATATATAGGTAATTTATATAGAATTACATATAATCCCATATATATCTATATATATTCTCTGCATATTTACAAATAATTACATCTAGTCATATATAATCATATATATTATCATACATATATCGTTCTATATAAATATATATATTCTATTTCTTGGGAGAGCCCTAAATAATACACCACTGCACATATTCGGTTAGCACAGAGCTTGATACCCATTAAACTCTCATTATATTTTGCTGAATTTAGTGAATGGAAGCATTTTTTTAAAACCATTGGAATATGGCATCACAATAACAAATTCTGGAGTGCATGTGTGTGTTTCGAATCCATAAAAAAACAAATCTCTGTCAAATGAATCTGACTTTGTACAGATTGAGTCTAATAAGAAGAGCCTGGGTTCAAATGGATGATGAACTATTAATCCTCAGCGTCAGCTGGGGAAACTGAAATGAATCACTGGAGAGAGATAAGGGCGGGAAGATGCAGCTTCTTAAAAGAATAAAACTAAGAATAAGACAGGAACTCTCATTTCAGCCAGATTCATGCAGGTGAACAGGCTGAAGGTGCTGTTTCTTCTCAAGGGCATATGATGGAAGGAACCTGTCATCCAAGCTGAATTTTCCAGGACTTTTCAGCATGAAGATGTGGTACCAAAACCTGGCTTGAGATTAAGTTAAATCCATCATTTTGCTAGAAAGTGTTCAAGTACCATGCAATAGAATATTTATCAGGAACACTTAAAAGGCTTAAGTGATCCTGAGACAGAAGTTTCCATTTGTTCTCTGGAAGATGTACTCTTGTAACAAGTGAGGAATGCAGTGTGTGTGTGTGTTTCTTCATCTTCCTTCTTCATGCTCCTACAGGTTCAATTCCATAGATAAACTGTCAGCAAAGAACTTCCAATATAAGAGATACAACAGAGTCTCACACTGAGTGTAGTTGGATGGGCGGTGTCTATTCTGTTTGTTTGGTTTTAAATAAACTGCAATGTTCTGAGGGATAACAGTTCAAAGGAAACTGACAGTTAAAAATGAAGGTCAGCTCCCAGCAGCTATCTCTGCTGAATGAGATAACATCAGCACACAGCAGACTAGCTGAGGGAAAGTGTGAGAGCTGGCTTATGCCGCAGGCTGACAGCGAAAACTCTCAGCACAACAGGGGTATCTGGGCAGACAGCGAACAGGGCTGAGAACCTACTATGTGCAGACATGACAGTCTGATTGAATCCCAATAACAATTCTATTGTAATTATTTTACGTATGAACTGTCTCAGGTTCAGAGAAAGCCAGTGACTGGCCTAGGGTCAAACATACCCTATGCGTGTCCAGGCTGAATCTGTCCATGCCAGGAGCCTCTTCTTTTTGCTTCACCAAAACACCCAATGTTCAGTGACTCTTGGCCGACCCACTCTCCTAGACGTGTTGGCTTGAAGGTGTTTGCTGGAAAGTCTGTGAGGGATAGAGTAGAGTGCCTGGCACGTGATAGGGCACCTAGACCAACCTCAAGTCAAGTCTTTGCTGTGAGGAAACTTTTCCTCTCTCCAGAAAAATAATTTTAAGTGAGCACGACAGACCTGCTATACAGTTATAAACAAAACAAGGCTCAGAGATCCTGGTTAAATCACTTGCCTAGGGTGACATGGTCAGAATGGAACCCAACCGTAGCAAGTGACAAAATCTGTGTTCTTTCTACCTCTTTCTAGCTTTTGCTCTACATTAAACGACAGAGAAAAAAAAAAACTCTTCTTGATTCTCATGTTTTTTATATCCATAATTCTGTGTGTGTGTGTGTGTGTGTGTGTGTGCGTGTGTGTGTGTCTTTCACCCTGCTAGTTCTCTCTCTCCCATGCTAAAGAGTCACGACTCTGAGAGCTAGGACTGTGGAGACGGTATTCAGTTTCTTGTCTTGGCTGGTGGCTGCCACAGTGGAGAATAAACTGTGAATAAACTCCTCACTCCCCAACTATCAATCAAAATTTCCTGATTTCATCAGCAATTGTAGTGGTCTGGGCCCACAGTATAATTACAGAAATTAGTCCATAATCTCAAAAGAGATAATTATCTTGAATAAAAAATATAAATTATAACAATGACTGTGGCACTCATTGTCATGATGTTTACTTCAATCAGATAGGATATGATTTTACCTCTGATTAGCACTTGTGGGTATTGTTGCAACACTATCTACAAATCACTGTAAAATGGGCAAAGGTCTCTCCTACTCCTTCCTGACTCTTCCATTGTGTACCTTGCTGCGTCCCTCTACCCTAGCCACAACACATATCCACCCTACTTGTGATACCAGAAGTATATTCCTAGAACATAATCAAATCATGGTCAGATTTATTTATTATGTAAAATATATTCAGTGGTTTATAATTGATTGATTGTGCAATGAAGTCCAAGTGCCATGACCTGGTAACCTGGCATTGGAGACACCCTATGAGAGAGCTTGCTCTGCTTCTACCGTGTGTCCCACTGCCTACCCTTGTGGACCATAAGTTGTAGGCTGGTCAAACTACTTATTACTCAACAACATACCTGCAAGGGTGATATCTTCTTCCCCATGATACCGCTTCCACCATCATTGATGTCAACATCCTGCCCATATGGTATACCAAGCTCTAATAACATTCAAGATGGCTTTTTTCCTCATCTCAGGTTGGAAATCATCTTTCCTGTCTTTGGAGTCTTCATAGTACATAGTTAGATGGATGTTTGAAAAGCACTCGCCATTTTCATGCTATTAAGAGTATTTATGTACAGTCTCACTTCTTCCTCCATTACATCATAAGGTTCTTCTTACTTGTTGGACAATTTGCCCACACTTTCATCAGGACTAGCATGGTGACTTACAGGTATATAACAGGGGCTAAAAAAATTTTGTTTAAAAAATACTTTTGAAACTTTTTAAATCATTAAATTTTCTGCTCTCAGATTAATACTACATTCTGAAGCCTCTAATGCACCATTTTTAATGTACATCTAAAAAAGAAAATGCAATTTATTATCTGCTGGCAATTGAGCTATAAGACAATGCTTTTTGTAACAGAATTTTTATTCTATATTTATTGAAAGAGTTCTTTTAGACATATGAGACATTGTTTTTAATCTCATACCACTTAACCAAATATTAAAAAGAAAATATAACTGAGGTTCATTGGTTAAGTGATCCTCAAAGTATTTCATACTCAAAGCCACTTGTCTGAAATAATTTTCAACTTAGTCGTTGATGTCCATTTCTTTCCCCACAAATTATTATCTTCTGTGCCATCAAGAACTTTCCACAATTGCTTCAAGAAATTTGTTTCCAAGTCAATTATATCAAGTCTGCAACATTTAATGCTGGCAGATTCTTGATCTTACAAAAAGGTGTCAAAAAAAGTATTGAGACAGCAACCAGAATTCATGTTTATTCCTCAAGTAGTCCTTAACTGGTTGTTGACTGAAACATCAAAGACCTGTCATTTTCCTATTATGCTACTAGAATATTAAGCAACTTCTTGCCAGCAGGAGAAATGTAGCTATATGGCAACTGTAAGATGCTTCTAAATGTTATTGGTGTCAAGATGTAATGTGTGCAAAAGTTTATCCCAGAATAAACAATCAAACAAACAAAACCCAGATTGCTAGATATTTATTCAAATACTAGTCATTAAGTTTCTTCTGGTGGAATTTAAGAAATCTATTTTGTTTTTAAAGAACTTACTTACAAGGAGGAAAGCTTGAACATAGCTATCCAAAAGTCATGGTGCAATGTGAAATAAGGGTCATAGGAAATTGACAGATAATTCCAGTGTCTCTGGGTACTATTTCTGGGGCCATAGCAAAACCAGAAGAAAACCTGAAAGAGGGAAGTCCAAAGAGCAAGGAGATCCTTAGGGACCACTGGCAAGTGTCAGTCATAGGTGCCAGATAATGCCAAGAAAAATACAAGGTCTAGCTGACTTGCTGGTATTCAATCAAATTTCATTGCATATTAAAATATACATTGATTTTTTTAACCAGAAACATTTTAGGCTGCTTTTAAGTAAACAGGAAATAATAAGTTTAAAGAAACACAAAAAGTTTACACTTCATTGATTCAATATTCAATTCATTGGTTTCCAGATTTCATTACTATCATATCCAATTGCACTTGATGTAGACATTGAAAGTGATTATTTATTTGATTTTGACAAATTTGCAGAAGTAATTTATTTTTAAAAAAATATTTTTACCTATAAAGATATGCTTTTTCTGCAATGAAAGACAGTGCGTAAGGTATTAATTTTCTTAGAGAGTAAATCTGAACACTATTCTTTTTGTCCTACTGACAGCAATTATGTATCAAGCATTTCATCGAAAATGGGTGCCTCAAAATAAATCCTTAGGACACAACTTGATAACTTTCCAATAGGATGTTATATCTCTAACCATGAGTGTTCTTGTTTATAGCTGCGTGGCATATATATTGATTATGTGAACTTCTTTCAAAATAATTCTTCTATAATTTGATATAACTTTCATATTCACAAACTTTTCATGATTTTTGTCTGTAAGAAGTTTCAGAATTACATTAGAATTTTAAACTGTTAAGATGGCTGGCCTTCTCTATAAATATTCTAGAGATCTCTATTACGCTGGTAAAATGCTATGAGATGCAAAGGCATTCGTTAGTCCAGAGGAGGACTAGTGAAGTTGTCATGAATTGTACTTTTTAAAGAGGCTTATCCATCCAGTCTGATTACATGTCTCCAGCTGGCCAATCACCCAAATCTCATTCTGGAACTGCTCCAACCTTCATGATATGATTTTCAATTTAGTAATTCTCACAGGATAGACCAGACAGACTCAACCCCTTACCTCTAAACACAAACTGTGCCCTAGAACAAAGAAGGAAAACACTGCCACAAACTTATAGCATAATAAACACAAAAACATACTCAATTAGAAAACAGTGGAGAGGAGATTAGATCAGCATGTTGGACCAAGTGCACATACCACTTTCCCTTTTGACCCAAATCCATAAGAATGACAGAAGAAAAAGAAACATCTAAAAATAAATAAAATCATAGCAATACTGGAAATCAAGAAAGATTGCCATAATCTAAACAGAAATTCTTGAAATACAAATTTTCACAGTTGGACAGGAATTCACAAATAAGACGAACAGAGAAGTCAGAATAAACAAACATTTTAGGAAGATAAACTAAATGAAACAGAGAAGCAAACTCAAAAAAATCACACTAAAATTAGAAATAATATAGGAAATGAAGAAAAAGAACTATGCAATCCATAATTTCAGATAGACAAAAGAAAAAATAAACTAATCTCTTAAGAAAAGGAGTCATTTGAGATCTTATGCATGAAAAGTGTGATCCCTGCACAAAACCCACCAGGGCTTAGTAGTAGGTAGGAGACTCCTTAAGAGAGAATTAACAAAGTGGGAGTTTGAACCATGGGATTTCTCTAGAGTGCAGTACGAATGGACTAAGAGCTATGAAAGTATAGAAAACTTTAGAAACATCATGGCCAGATCCAGATGCTACAACAACTTCCTAGCAGGCATTCCAGGTGTATAAAATATAGTAGGAGAAACAATCAAAGTAAGAGGAAAAAGATTTTTCTGGAGTCTTCAAAATTAAAGAAACAAGGAACTGCCAAACAGGATAAAAGAACATCAACAAACATTCAACTGGTCCCAGCACGGTGTGATTTCAGAACAAGTCTAGGAATTAGAATATTTCAGTTATGAATCAATGATGAAGGTTCTCATAGGAAGATCATCACTGAAGCTGCTGGAAGATAATGAGGATTTATTTTCAAAATTCTGAGAAATGTAATGAAAAACTTATAATTTTATTTCCAATAAATCCGTCTAGCATATACATGTAAAAGCAAAACAAAGGTGATTTAAATATTCAAGGCCACAGAACACATAGCAATTACAGGCTATTTCTCGTAGTATTATTCAAATCCGGACTCTAGCAAAATTAAAATTAAATCCGAGAAAGAAAAATACTTGATATAAGAAAGAATGCTGGGACAAAGAGGGTAGTATAACAGTTATAGGCAATTTGTGGAAGAGAAAATACTAAAGCCTGATAAGCATATGAAGAGATTAAGAATATAAACATTTCTATACATTTAGGTACAAACATGAAATAGCAATATGCATTGTGGAAGGCACATATCAATAAAAGGAGACCAATCAAACTATTAGAATAATTGTTGCTAGTGGAGGAAGGATGGCAATGTACCCCTTGTGCAGACCAGTGATCATGGGGGCATGAACTTAATTCAAACCTCTTCACCCCACCAAAAAACAAACGCTAAAGAGAATACATATTTAAATATGAAGATCAAATAAAAAACCACGTTGAGAATTTAAAACTATTTATCTATCAATACACAAAATACCACCTGTCAAAACCTATGAGATACAGATAAGGCGGTGTGTCCAGGGGAATGGATCAGCCTCAAACAAACATGTCAGTGGGAGAGGGAGGGAGGAAGAGAGAGAGAGAGAGAGAGAGAGAGAGAGAGAGAGAGAGAGAGAGAGAAAGAGGCACATAGCTGCAGAAATAAAATAAATGATAGTGAATAAAATAAATGGTAAAATACTAAGAATAGTTTTTGCAAATAATTTTGCCAACAGTTTTTCAGAAAATAATTGCCTAAACAAAACTTACTGATAAAAAGGAAAGGAAAATTTTAGTAACCTGTTTAATATAAATTGACTAAAGAAAACCAAAATAAAGATGTTTTTAAATATCCACGTCCTCAGAATATGTAGTAATCACAGATTATTTCAAATAGTTTTATTCAAATTTTGACTTAGCAAAATACAAATGAAAAACAAAATGTAATTGTTGGAACCTATTTTCACAGTGTCCAGACTGATGTAAAAATAAGTTCCACAAAAGATCATTTCCATTATTTTTCAAATTGATCCACTGAACTGAAAAATAAAGAATTATACCCAACACATTTTATGACACATTATAATCTTGACAGAAGAGAATTGCATGATAAAGGAAAACTAAAGGCAAATCTCACTCTAAAAGAAAAGTAAAAGTTTATAAATAATATAAAACAAAGTGCGGTTAAATAACAACAAAAATACCTAATTAAGTTAGGTTTAGCCTAAGAAAGCAAGGATATTTTAATATAAGAATTGTATTAATGTGATCAATCATATTAATAAATTAGTTCTAAAACATATTTAGTTGACTAAAATATTCAATATAATATAAAGTTTATTCATGATTTTTAAAATCTGAAACCGAGAATAGGAACAACTTCTTCTAACTTGATTAAAATTTGGAACCAGGCCAGGCACAGTGGCTCACACCTGTAATCCCAGCACTTTGGGAGGCCAATGCGGGTGGATCACGAGGTCAGGAGATCGAGACCATCCTGACTAACATAGTGAAACCCCGTATCTACTAAAAATACAAAAAAATTAGCCGGGTGTGGTGGCGAGCGCCTGTAGTCCCAGCTACTCGGGAGGCTGAGGCAGGAGAATGGCATGAACCCAGGAGGTGGAGCTTGCAGTGAGTCCAGATTGCAGCACTGCACTCCAGCCTAGGCGACAGAGCAAGACTCCATCTCAAAAAAAAAAAAAAAAATTGGGAACCAAAGGTACACTACAGATATCGCCTTTAAAACTCAGATTTTCGAGTGAGAACATGTGGTGTTTGGTTTTCTTTTCTTGTGTTAGTTTGCTGAGAATGATGGTTTCCAGCTTCATCCATGTCCCTACAAAGGACATGAACTCACCTTTTTTTTTTTGGAGGGAAAATGGATGACCTTTATTTTTTTATTTTTTATTTTTTGGATTTCTCTCATTTATTATTTATTTATTTATTTATTTATTTTATTATACTTTAAGTTTTAGGGTACATGTGCACATTGTGCAGGTTAGTTACATATGTATACATGTGCCATGCTAGTGCACTGCACCCACTAACTCGTCATCTAGCATTAGGTATATCTCCCAATGCTATCCCCCCCTCCCCCCACCCCACAACAGTCCCCAGAGTGTGATATTCCCCTTCCTGTGTCCATGTGATCTCATTGTTCAATTCCCACTTATGAGTGAGAATATGCGGTGTTTGGTTTTTTGTTCTTGCGATAGTTTACTGAGAATGATGTTTTCCAATTTCATCCATGTCCCTACAAAGGACATGAACTCATCATTTTTTATGGCTGCATAGTATTCCATGGTGTATATGTGCCACATTTGCTTAATCCAGTCTATCATTGTTGGACATTTGGGTTGGTTCCAAGTCTTTGCTATTGTGAATAATGCCACAATAAACATACGTGTGCATGTGTCTTTATAGCAGCATGATTTATAGTCCTTTGGGTATATACCCAGTAATGGGATGGCTGGGTCAAATGGTATTTCCAGTTCTAGATCCCTGAGGAATCGCCACACTGACTTCCACAAGGGTTGAACTAGTTTACAGTCCCACCAACAGTGTAAAAGTGTTCCTATTTCTCCACATCCTCTGCAGCACCTGTTGTTTCCTGACTTTTTAATGGTTGTCATTCTAACTGGTGTGAGATGGTATCTCATTGTGGTTTTGATTTGCATTTCTCTGATGGCCAGTGATGATGAGCATTTTTTCATGTGTTTTTTGGCTGCATAAATGTCTTCTTTTGAGAAGTGTCTGTTCATGTCCTTCGCCCACTTTTTGATGGGGTTGTTTGTTTTTTTCTTGTAAATTTGTTTGAGTTCATTGTAGATTCTGGATATCAGCCCTTTGTCAGATGAGTAGGTTGCGAAAATTTTCTCCCATTTTGTAGGTTGCCTGTTCACTCTGATGGTAGTTTCTTTTGCTGTGCAGAAGCTCTTTAGTTTAATTAGATCCCATTTGTCAATTTTGGCTTTTGTTGCCATTGCTTTTGGTGTTTTAGACATGAAGTCCTTGCCCATGCCTATGTCCTGAATGGTAATGCCTAGGTTTTCTTCTAGGGTTTTTATGGTTTTAGGTCTAACGTTTAAGTCTTTAATCCATCTTGAATTGATTTTTGTATAAGGTGTAAGGAAGGGATCCAGTTTCAGCTTTCTACATATGGCTAGCCAGTTTTCCCAGCACCATTTATTAAATAGGGAATCCTTTCCCCATTGCTTGTTTTTCTCAGGTTTGTCAAAGATCAGATAGTTGTAGATATGCGGCGTTATTTCTGAGGGCTCTGTTCTGTTCCATTGATCTATATCTCTGTTTTGGTACCAGTACCATGCTGTTTTGGTTACTGTAGCCTTGTAGTATAGTTTGAAGTCAGGTAGTGTGATGCCTCCAGCTTTGTTCTTTTGGCTTAGGATTGACTTGGCGATGCGGGCTCTTTTTTGGTTCCATATGAACTTTAAAGTAGTTTTTTCCAATTCTGTGAAGAAAGGCATTGGTAGCTTGATGGGGATGGCATTGAATCTGTAAATTACCTTGGGCAGTATGGCCATTTTCACGATATTGATTCTTCCTACCCATGAGCATGGAATGTTCTTCCATTTGTTTGTATCCTCTTTTATTTCCTTGAGCAGTGGTTTGTAGTACTCCTTGAAGAGGTCCTTCACATCCCTTGTAAGTTGGATTCCTAGGTATTTTATTCTCTTTGAAGCAATTGTGAATGGGAGTTCACTCATGATTTGGCTCTCTCTTTGTCTGTTACTGGTGTATAAGAATGCTTGTGATTTTTGTACATTGATTTTGTATCCTGAGACTTTGCTGAAGTTGCTTATCAGCTTAAGGAGATTTTGGGCTGAGACAATGGGGTTTTCTAGATATACAGTCATGTCGTCTGCAAACAGGGACAATTTGACTTCCTCTTTTCCTAATTGAATACCCTTTATTTCCTTCTCCTGCCTAATTGCCCTGGCCAGAACTTCCAACACTATGTTGAATAGGAGTGGTGAGAGAGGGCATCCCTGTCTTGTGCCAGTTTTCAAAGGGAATGCTTCCAGTTTTTGCCCATTCAGTATGATATTGGCTGTGGGTTTGTCATAGATAGCTCTTATTACTTTGAAATACGTGCCATCAATACCTAATTTATTGAGAGTTTTTAGCATGAAGGCTTGTTGAATTTTGTCAAAGGCTTTTTCTGCATGTATTGAGATAATCATGTGGTTTTTGTCTTTGGCTCTGTTTGTATGCTGGATTACATTTATTGATTTGTGTATATTGAACCAGCCTTACATCCCAGGGATGAAGCCCACTTGATCGTGGTGGATAAGCTTTTTGATGTGCTGCTGGATTCGTTCTGCCAGTATTTTATTGAGGATTTTTGCATCAATGTTCATCAAGGATATTGGTCTAAAATTCTCTTTTTTTGTTGTGTCTCTGCCTGGCTTTGGTATCAGAATGATGCTGGCCTCATAAAATGAGTTAGGGAGGATTCCCTCTTTTTCTATTGATTGGAATAGTTTCAGAAGGAATGGTACCAGTTCCTCCTTGTACCTCTGGTAGAATTCAGCTGCGAATCCATCTGGCCCTGGACTCTTTTTGGTTGGTAAGCTATTGATTATTGCCACAATTTCAGATCCTGTTATTGGTCTATTCAGAGATTCAACTTCTTCCTGGTTTAGTCTTGGGAGAGTGTATGTGTCGAGGAATGTATCCATTTCTTCTAGATTTTCTAGTTTATTTGCGTAGAGGTGTTTGTAGTATTCTCTGATGGTAGTTTGTATTTCTGTGGGATCGGTGGTGATATTCCCTTTATCATTTTTTATTGCGTCTATTAGATTCTTCTCTCTTTTTTTTCTTTATTAGTCTTGCTAGCGGTCTATCAATTTTGTTGATCCTTTCAAAAAACCAGCTCCTGGATTCATTAATTTTTTGAAGGGTTTTTTGTGTCTCTATTTCCTTCAGTTCTGCTCTGATTTTAGTTATTTCTTGCCTTCTGCTAGCTTTTGAATGTGTTTGCTCTTGCTTTTCTAGTTCTTTTAATTGTGATGTTAGGGTGTCAATTTTGGATCTTTCCTGCTTTCTCTTGTGGGCATTTAGTGCTATAAATTTCCCTCTACACACTGCTTTGAATGCGTCCCAGAGATTCTGGTATGTTGTGTCTTTGTTCTCGTTGGTTTCAAAGAACATCTTTATTTCTGCCTTCATTTCGTTATGTACCCAGTAGTCATTCAGGAACAGGTTGTTCAGTTTCCAAGTAGTTGAGCAGTTTTGAGTGAGTTTCTTAATCCTGAGTTCTAGTTTGATTGCACTGTGGTCTGAGAGATAGTTTGTTATAATTTGTGTTCTTTTACATTTGCTGAGGAGAGCTTTACTTCCAAGTATGTGGTCAATTTTGGAATAGGTGTGGTGTGGTGCTGAAAAAAATGTATATTCTGTTGATTTGGGGTGGAGAGTTCTGTAGATGTCTATTAGGTCCGCTTGGTGCAGAGCTGAGTTCAATTCCTGGGTATCCTTGTTGACTTTCTGTCTCGTTGATCTGTCTAATGTTGACAGTGGGGTGTTAAAGTCTCCCATTATTAATGTGTGGGAGTCTAAGTCTCTTTGTAGGTCACTCAGGACTTGCTTTATGAATCTTGGTGCTCCTGTATTGGGTGCATATATATTTAGGATAGTTAGTTCTTCTTGTTGAATTGATCCCTTTACCATTATGTAATGGCCTTCTTTGTCTATCTTGATCTTTGTTGGTTTAAAGTCTGTGTTATCAGAGACTAGGATTGCAACCCCTGCCTTTTTTTGTTTTCCATTTGCTTGGTAGATCTTCCTCCATCCTTTTATTTTGAGCCTATGTGTGTCTCTGCACATGAGATGGGTTTCCTGAATACAGCACACTGATGGGTCTTGACTCTTTATCCAATTTGCCAGTCTGTGTCTTTTAATTGGAGCATTTAGTCCATTTACATTTAAAGTTAATATTGTTATGTGTGAATTTGATCCTGTCATTATGATGTTAGCTGGTTATTTTGCTCGTTAGTTGATGCAGTTTCTTCCTAGTCTCGATGGTCTTTACACTTTGGCATGATTTTGCAGCAGCTGGTACCGGTTGTTCCTTTCCATGTTTAGTGCTTCCTTCAGGAGCTCTTTTAGGGCAGGCCTGGTGGTGACAAAAATCTCTCAGCATTTGCTTGTCTGTAAAGTATTTTATTTCTCCTTCGCTTATGAAGCTTAGTTTGGCTGGATATGAAATTCTGGGTTGAAAATTCTTGTCTTTAAGAATGTTGAATATTGGCCCCCACTCTCTTCTGGCTTGTAGGGTTTCCGCCGAAAGATCTGCTGTTAGTCTGATGGGCTTCCCTTTGAGGGTAACCCGACCTTTCTCTCTGGCTGCCCTTAACATTTTTTCCTTCATTTCAACTTTGGTGAATCTGACAATTATGTGTCTTGGAGTTGCTCTTCTCGAGGAGTATCTTTGTGGCGTTCTCTGTATTTCCTGAATCTGAACGTTGGCCTGCCTTGCTAGATTGGGGAAGTTCTCCTGGATAATATCCTGCAGAGTGTTTTCCAACTTGGTTCCATTCTCCCCATCACTTTCAGGTACACCAATCAGACGTAGATTTGGTCTTTTCACATAGTCCCATATTTCTTGGAGGCTTTGCTCATTTCTTTATATTCTTTTTTCTCTAAACTTCCCTTCTCACTTCATTTCATTCATTTCGTCTTCCATCGCTGATACCCTTTCTTCCAGTTGATTGCATCGGCTCCTGAGGCTTCTGCATTCTTCACGTAGTTCTCGAGCCTTGGTTTTCAGCTCCATCAGCTCCTTTAAGCACTTCTCTGTATTGGTTATTCTAGTTATACATTCTTCTAAATTTTTTTCAAAGTTTTCAACTTCTTTGCCTTTGGTTTGAATGTCCTCCCATAGCTCAGAGTAATTTGATCATCTGAAGCCTTCTTCTCTCAGCTCGTCAAAGTCATTCTCCATCTAGCTTTGCTCCGTTGCTGGTGAGGATCTGCGTTCCTTTGGAGGAGGAGAGGCGCTCTGCTTTTTAGAGTTTCCAGTTTTTCTGTTCTGTTTTTTCCCCATCTTTGTGGTCTTATCTACTTTTGGTCTTTGACGATGGTGATGTACAGATGGGTTTTTGGTGTGGATGTCCTTTCTGTTTGTTAGTTTTCCTTCTAACAGACAGGACCCTCAGCTGCAGGTCTGTTGGAATACCCTGCCGTGTGAGGTGTCAGTGTGCCCCTGCTGGGGGGTGCCTCTCAGTTAGGCTGCTCAGGGGTCAGGGGTCAGGGACCCACTTGAGGAGGCAGTCTGCCCGTTCTCAGATCTCCAGCTGCGTGCTGGGAGAACCACTGCTCTCTTCAAAGCTGTCAGACAGGGACATTTAAGTCTGCAGAGGTTACTCTGTCTTTTTGTTTGTCTGTGCCCTGCCCCCAGAGGTGGAGCCTACAGAGGCAGGCAGGCCTCCTTGAGCTGTGGTGGGCTCCGCCCAGTTGGAGCTTCCAGGCTGCTTTGTTTACCTAATCAAGCCTGGGCAATGGCGGGCGCCCCTCCCCCAGCCTTGCTGCCGCCTTGCGGTTTGATCTCAGACTGCTGTGCTAGCAATCAGCGAGACTCCGTGGGCATAGGACCCTCTGAGCCAGGTGCGGGATATAATCTCGTGGTGCGCCGTTTTTTAAGCCTGTCGGAAAAGCACAGTATTCAGGTGGGAGTGACCCGATTTTCCAGGTGCCGTCCGTCACCCCTTTCTTTGACTCGGAAAGGGAACTCCCTGACCCCTTGCGCTTCCCAAGTGAGGCAATGCCTCGCCCTGCTTCGGCTCGCGCACGGTGCGCGCACCCACTGACCTGCGCCCACTGTCTGGCACTCCCTAGTGAGATGAACCCGGTACCTCAGATGGAAATGCAGAAATCACCGTCTTCTGCCTCGCTCACGCTGGGAGCTGTAGACCAGAGCTGTTCCTATTCGGCCATCTTGGCTCCTCTGAACTCACCCTTTTTTATAGCTGCATAATATTCCATGGTGTATTTGTACCACATTTTCTTTATCCAGTCTATCATTGATGGGCATTTGGGTTGGTTCCATGTCTTTGCTGTTGTGAACAGTGCTGCAATAAACATATATGTGCATGTGTCTTTATAGTAGATCACTGAGAACACATGGACACAGGGAAGGGAACATCACACACTGGGGCCTACAGGGGTGTTGGGGGCTAGGGGAGGGATAGTATCAGGAGCAATACCTAATGTAGATGACAGGTTGAGGGTTGCAGCAAACCACCATGGCACATGTATACCTATGTAACAAACCTCCACATTGTGCACATGTACCCCAGAAATTAAAGTATAATAAAATAAATAAATAGCAAAAAAAAAAACCCTCAGATTTTCTTCAAACAGTCTCCTTACAATCAGAAAATGGAAGAGGATGTCCAATATCACCACTTGTAGCTAACATTGCAGAAGTTTGTATCACACTGTATAATACAGTAACCCCAGCCACATGTGACTATTGACAATTGAAGTGAGGGTAGTCTCAATGGAGATGTACTCTGAGTGTAAAATGCCCTCTGGATTTCAAATATTTAGTAAAAAATAAGATAGATAAAAATACCTTATTTGTAATTTTATATTGATTACATGTTGACATTATAATATCCTGCCTAATAAAATGTATTATTCAATTCAATTTAATTTGTTTCTGTTTTACTCATTTATATGCCTACTAGAAAATTTAAATTTAAATATGACTTATGTTTCTTTTGGACAAGACACTCTTAGACAGTGAAATAAAGGAAGTAAGTAGGACACACCTCAATTGGAAATTAAAAAGCAAAATCACAACTTTTTGCAGTTGATGTGATTATCTGCCTAAAGAAACCCAAAGTATTCATATAAATTATTAAAATTTTTTCAAAGTTCAGCAATTTTGGTAGATTAGAACTCAAAATGTTCCTCTATATATCACCAAAATAATATAATGAGAAACTTTTATGATAGTCCCATTTACAATAATATATTTTTTTAAAAGTCATCTAGGAATGAATCTAAACAAACAGTGTATGTGAGCGTTTGGAAGAAATTATAACTTTATTTCAATTTCAATTTAAACTTTATTTTTATGGAAGAAATTATAACTTTATTTCAATTTCAATTTAAACTTTATTTTTATTAAAGAAAATTTAATAAATGGAGAACTTTAAAAATTTATGTAAGAACCCCCAAGACAAAATCAGCAATTATTGCTAGAGTAACCAAGAAATTCAAAACGAGTGAAAAAAATCCCAAGAATATTTCAAAAATCCAGAGAAGCTGGTTTTAAACGTATGTAGAAGAAAAAGTTGTCAAAAATAAACAAAATGATTTTTGAGCTACATAACAATGTCAATGAACTAGATCTACCAAATACAAAAATTATTATTCATACAGTGAAATATTGCTGTAGCTTATTTGAACACCACAATTGCTAAAACATTTCATGTTTTCAATAAAACATGTTAAATCTTATATAAATTAAGTGAACAGGGAAATATAAGTTATTCATATTGAAAAGAAACCACAGACATCTCCACCCTACACCATATTTATTTATTTATTTCATAAATATTTCCAGTATTTAGGATTAAATACTGGAGATCATCTTTATAGTCTCAGATTTTGAAATGTGTTCTTTAAACAGGATTCAAAATGAGAGCTACAAAGAATGAGTGGTAATTTTAATCTAGTTGAATATTAAAACTTCTGGTGTTAAAAAGAAACTACTAAAAGGAAGACAAAAACTAAAATAATTAGAGAATATGTGATCAACATATATATATATATGACAAAAGCTTATTATTCAGAATATTTTAAAATCAAACTTCTACAAATTATTATGGAAGAGAAAAGCTATTCAAAATAAAAATACGTGAAGGAAATTGAAAGGCAGTTGAAAGAAGAGAATAAACAGATGGTCAAGGAACGTGTGGAAAGATGTTCAACCCCACTGGTAATTACGTAAATAAAAATTACAATGACAACGAGATACAATTTTATGCCTAACAGATTGTCAAGAACAAAAACAAACAAAAAACTTGGCAACACTACACATTGATGGGGATATGGAAGGACATAAAACAAGATGCAAAAATATTGGTGGTTGGATTATTTTTTCCAATATTCTCAAGTCACTGATCTGTGATAAAGTCTAGGAACTGGGATTTTTGTCTTTTAAAAAAATATATATTTCTAGGTGATTTCAATGTTTATCCAATTTTGAAAACAATGCCTTATATTTTCACCCAAACGGGTATACGCACCTCAACTTTTAGATACTTAAACACTACTGTACAATAGCAAAATTAAAGGACTTAACGGAACCTCAAAAATAGAGTGTTCCACAAAAATGTAAGTTACAGAAAAGTAGATACAGTATCACATTGGGTTTTGAGAGCTCCTAAATGGCGCTATCTCCTGGAAACTTGAGTTTTGAAACTATTACAGGATAACTTACTATAAGAAACCATGAATAGTTTAATATCAGAAATACTACAATTCAACAAATTAAAGAATAAAATCATATTGTCATATATTCACAGATCCTAAGAAGATGCTAGATAAAATTGAAAAGCCATAAAAAGATATCTTAGTAAAATATGTGCACAAGAAAATGATTTAACATAATGAGGTTTACTTATCACACACTAACAAAAAACATATTTCTAGCAACAGGAGTGCTAAAACTGCTCTTATTAAATTCCAGAACTAGGATGTCTATTGTCTGTATTACCATTATTCAACATTCCTGGTAAAGTACAATGTTTGTAATAATACAGTATTAAATAATTAGTATAAATACCTTTTATTAATATTTTTTTCTAATGATGTGATTATGTGTCTTGGAAATCCAATGATTGGCCAAAAAAAGATTAGATTGAATAAATTAATTTGGTGTGGGGGCTGAATTAAAGGCACACGAATATCAATAGATTTCCCCAATCCTAGAAATAATCAGCTATAAAAAGAGCTGAAAAATTTCTTTTTTTTTTTTTTGAGACGAAGTATCGCTCTGTTGGCCAGGCTGAAGTACAATGGCACAATCTTGGCTCACTGCAACCTCCGCCTCCTGGGTTCAAGTGATTCTCCTGCCTCAGCCTCCCAAGTAGCTGGGATAACAGGCACCAGTGCCCACGCCTAGCTAATTGTTGTATTTTTTAGCAGAGATGGGGTTTCACCATATTGGCCAGGCTAGTCTTGAACTCCTAACCTCAGGTAATCCGCCTGCCTCAGCCTCCCAAAGTGCGGGGATTACAGGCATTAGCCACTGTGCCCTGCCGAAAAACTTTTTTTGTGAAAATATGCCAAAGCTATAAAATATTTAAGAATGTATTTCACACAAAAGATATAAGACCTATATAGAAAAATATAAAATTTCTTGAAATGAAAACATGTATACTTTTTGAAAACAATTGTGATATCTTAATGCTCATTTTAACAAAACATACATAAAATTTTCATATAATTCCAATAAGAATTTCATTTTTTCAGTGATGAAGGAAAAAGACAAAGATTTCTATAAAAAGTTCTTAAAATTCCAATGCAATGGGATAATAACACAGAGTAAATAAAACTGTGATATAAGAAATTACTGTGGAAAGATTTGTGCTTTTGATGTATTAAAATAACACAAAGTTTAAACATGTTATTTGGAATATAATAATGTCATTTATGCACTTGAATATAAATGCATAAATAGATCAGTGAAAATAAATAAAATCCAGAATGTGATAATCTAATTTATTTCAGATAAAATTTTAATTGAACTGAAAAATGATTTTCTGTTTAATACATTGTACACGAAACACACTGAAAAGATATTTCAGAAAATACCTTTTAAAAATTAAATTCCAAAAAAATTATAAACTGTTATGAAAAATCAATAAAATAAAGCTCTGTAAGTGTAATCTAAGTGTGGTAAAACATTGTAAAAAAGACCTGAAACCTGAATGCTTAAAAAACAAAATAAGTAATATGACAAAAAATAACATGAAATATGAAAATTGATATACCAAAATTGGGAAAAAATTAAATGGCTATGTCAGACAAAATGATGAATTTCCATAAATGATAAAAAAGAGACAAAAAATATAGTCAAAGAATAAATTAGGCAATCATAGAAGAGAAAGCTCTAATTGTCAATTATTATATTTAAAATCACTCAATTTTCAAAGGTTTTCACATCTCTCATCAGATTTATTCCAAGTATTTCATATTTTTGATGGTATTTTAAATTTCTTGGGCATTTAAAATAATTCAAAAATGAGACTTTTCATCTGAAAAAGTCTTTAAACTTGTAAATCCACATGGATATTAATTTTTAAGACATCAAGATTATAGTGACAGGAAATTTTACATGGTTGGTTTATTACAGATGATTTACTGAGGAATAAAATCCTTAATGTGTAGGTAACACAGGCAAAATTATTCAGCAAAAACATAAATCTTTTTTGTCATACTCACAAAGAGTTGTTGGCTTAGTCTTTCTTTTCCAGTAAATTAAGGAATTCTCCACCAGATCTGCTGAGATACGTAGCATCTCAGTATCCTTGATCTATCCAGATACGTAGTATCCTACTGGATACCTAGGTATCCAGTGGACATGCTGAAGTAACATCCTGGAAACACAAGAAAGTTGACTTTTCTCTCCATTCCAAAATATCTTCCATAAAAGCCTATTGGCAGATGACCCTCAACTTCACTGAGACTCAGTTTCTCATTTGCAAAAAGGGAATGGTAACAACCTGATATGTCTTTTGTGAGGCGTAAGTCGGTGATACAATGTCTGAGTCGTATGGCACTTTAGATGATAAAATACGGAAAACAGTACTTTTCTGCTAGATGCTGGTGAATTTTCTTTTAATAAGACATCCGTGAGAAGGAGAAAACCTCCAAAGCTCATGATGGTTTGGCTACCTACTCAGAGAAACTTGGACATAATCAGTATGAGGAACTAATGAGAACAGGAAAGGCTTACTGTGCTTATATCACGTAACATCTACGTGTCATCAAATCCATTGACAGGGCTTTTTCAGCATAAACTTTGTCAGTCTCTTAATCTTGGCTCTTCTACATCAATTTAATAGGGTTGTCTTAAAAACAAACAAATGACAACAACGAAAAAGCCACAACAGATGGTTTATGAAATTGCAGAAGGCTGGAGCAGAAAGAGAGCCATAGAAACAATCTGACCACATTCATCCATTGTAAATGTCACCTATAGCTTCCCTGTCAGGATTACCAAGGATCTCTGTTGATTACTTCCAGTGATAAGAAGTCACTTATGAGACAGGTCATTTTATTTTAATTATCAGTTAAATAATCATTCAACTGAAATCTCCTTAATTTTCCACTCTATGGAGCTACCTAGAAAGCATCAAATTTTACTTTCTCTTGGCAGTTCCCTTATACTTGAAAACGGAATTAGGGTCCCCATTCAGTTTTCTTTCTTCAGTTAAATGTCTCCTTTTCTTTCAGTGTTATCTCCTCATTTGAAGTAGTTTTCTGGTTTTATAATACTTAACATACTAGTTGCTCTTCTCTGGATAAATTCCAAATTGTCAATTTCACTTTTAAACTTTTATGCTCAGAACTGAGTAGGATATAGCTGCTGTACTCGATGCAGAAAACTCATGCAAAAAGTAGCAGTTTTTCTCCAGTGGTTATGCTCAACTGTTTTAATATACTGCTTTGTCACACAGTCATGCCTGGGGCAGTTCAAGATCCTTCAGATCAAGACCTGGGCTCTTCTAGGAAGTAAAATACAAAGGTTTTACTGCAGAGGATACCTCTGACAGAAGTCTGTCTTTCTCTCCCTCCTTTGTATTTTAAGTTGCATTTTGTAGATAACTAAGTCAAAGCACTATTCAGCCCCTGAATAATAGAAGCAAGCCCTCTAAATAATAGAATGCATTAAATAAGAATTCCAAACATTTTATACATATGACACTTGGAAAGAGTTTTCCTGAAAGTAGCCTGAACTGTTAAAAACCTTGGTTCTAGCCATAATATTGATGATCTGTTTGAACTCCTGAGTCATACAATCTCTCATGTAGGTTAGGCTGCTAATATAATACCTTATGGCATCTAACAATGACAAAAATCATTTTGCAGTTGAGTCAAGCTTAACCATACCATGGGCAGGTAAGTTTTTATTTAAAAAAAATTTCCTACTTGAGTGCCCATCAATTCCTCTCTGCCTGGGTTATATTTGTCTCTTTATATTTTTCAATATAGTTCCCAAGAGAAAATTGATCTTATTTCCAGTTCCTAATGAAAATATGAGATTTTAAAAAACTGTAATGAAAGGTTTCAATTTATAGAGGGTGTGTTCTCTTCCTCAATCTGGAATATCTGCAATACCTTCCCTCAAGTGAAATGTTCAGCTTATTTAGAGGATATCAGGATGGTTTGCTATTTCCTGTGCCTCATGACTGCATACGTATTTGCCATCTGATATTTAATAAAGCCATTCAAGGACCATGACATTTCGTTGGATGGCACAGTAAGGAAAGAAGTCTGATGAGACCCAAACATGCGTGGCAGGAATTGGAGGAAGGTACAAGGAAAGTATCTTTGCTTTTGCATTTGGGAGATTCAAAGAAGCAGGTTTTTTGTTTGTTTCTTAGAAAACAACAAAGTTGTCTCTCCCCCCTACTACACAGAACCACTTTCAGAGAAGACTTTCAAAAGCTTCGACAACAACAAAAAACTAAACTAAAACTAAACAAAGGCTCCCCGGCTACTAGAACAGGGTTTGCTTCATCTTCAAGCTGTTCTTTCACAGCCATGTCCTAGTTATGACAGTGTGGGAAGTCGGAATGACAACCACCAAACCAAACTGGTCTCTGTCTTCACCTTCTCACAGAAAAAAAAAAAAAAAGCCCCATCTTGGAATGTGCTCTGAAGATTTTCTCGTCTCACTGTAGCTAGGAAAGAATTCACCCCAGAGGCTAGAGCAACATGCTTGGCTAAGCTTCCCACAAAACCAAGGACTACTTGCCTTAAAGGTTTTCCTTTCATTGGAATCGCTTATGCATATGTCATCACTGACTCATATCTCATAAACATGATTTACAAAAAAAGCTTGTCAGCTGGGTTTTATTAAATAGTAAATTAAAAAAAAAAACCTGCATCCAGAATATCCAACAAGCTCAACACCCACAAATTCACTGGCTCATCTTCCAGCATCATGTGGTGGTTGATAAGTCTGAAGAACACACACACACCTCATCAGCTCCCATCAAACTCTCTCTGCACCCACGGGAAAAGCTCCACATTCATAGAATTCCTCCCACACATGCCTGCACCCCATCAGCACAAGCAAAGATGAGGATTTACTCTGTGAGTCCAAAGAAAATAAATTGCTCCATTTATACATGACACATGAAAGAAAAAGTCATGCTTATGTCAAGCTAGAAATACACTTTTTAAAAGACAAAATTGTTACTTAAAAAAGGAAAAGTGCTTTGGCTCTGGAATGCCTGGTGGGTGCAATAATTCAATTAAAATTCATTGTTCTGACTCTGGCAAGTATTCATTTGTTCACCAATATTTTAGAGAGATCTATTCTCATTGGTTCTTCGAGTTCATGGAAAGCTTCATGTCATCTTATTGGATTGTCTTGTATTTTAAATGATTACTATATAGGCATCCTGGGAAGATGGAAAGACATTAAAAACCCTAAATCCTAGGCACATCTTCTATCTACTTTACAAAATAGTGTGTATGAAATAATTCAACAGAAGCCAAGGGTATGGAATCCTTAGTAAAACCTGAAATAAGTGAACAAAATTATGCCTTTCAGATTCTGGAAGGCATTTATATACCTTTCCACACCAGTAGTCTGGATTTAAACTGTGATGATAGGAGATCTAGGATTTATAATGAGACCAGTTTAAGTTATTGTGCTCATGATGTATTTTATTAGAGTAGCACTACTGATGACAAACATCTTTTAAAAATGGATAAAGGCAGCAACATGACAGAAGTTTGTTTTCAGCTCATATAAGCCTTAAGAATTGTTTTCTTCATTAGTGCATGACTTTCCTTCCAGTTGTGATTCTGGGACCTAGTCTTCTGTCATACTGTGGCTCTGATATCTTCAATATATGTTTTCCAAAACAAATTATCCAAGGCATCTGGGTGAATCTGAAACTAAAGGAAAGAGCATAGGAAATGACATGTAATCGACTATTGTGGACCACCATGGAAGTAGCACTTGCCACTTCTGTACACATCTCATTGGCCGGGACTCAGTCATGTAACCTCACCTAACTTCAGGGAACATTGAAAATGTCTCCTAGTTGTGTGCTCAGGAGAAAAAGAGAGTGGGTTTGGTAAATAGCAGGCCAATTTTTGCTACTCAAGGAAAAGAAGAAATTCCCATTCTACCATCTTTCCTCTTGTGTGAGAAGGCATGACAAGGACCACAGCTCATCCGCATTGAGTATGTAGCAGACATTTAGGGGAAACTTTCGTCAGTGATTCCAGAGACTGTTTTATTTCAGTTCCTCTCCAGAGAGTTCTCTTAACATGCAGTAAATATCAAAAATGGAGCTTCTGATAATTGTACCATGGGCCAGGGCCTTGGTATTCTGAATAATAATTACTAAGGCATTCTGTTCAATTGGGTTTTAAAGATCAATTGTATCTGAGTTGCCACATCATGGAAGGTCTTTCGATGATTTTTTTCACTGTGAAATCTATGTGCATTTGATCATGTAGACGTCCATTCTTTTGTTTTTCCATTCCTTTCAAAAACTAAATTGAGACAGCTTACAAAATAAAATTCAACAAGTAAATGGTAGACCCAACACCTTGAAAAGGGAATATTATTGGTAGTAAAATTAAATGAAGCTGGGGGTGAGGGTATTACATTTAATGTATATATGCGTCTCTTTAAAAGAGAGGGATAAAGTTGAGGGTTGTAAATAAGCTCATTTAATAGTGGCCAAAGTAAAGAATGCGACCTCAGACATGGGGCCTGTAATTATCTTTCATGCTGCCCTGATGTGCTCTTTCCTTCCAGGGACTCCCACATTTCCCTAAATCCATTAACAACAAGAACAGAATAGAGGGGAAAATGCTTGAAAAGAATATTTAATATGAGTGATGAAATCAAGTGCTAAATTTAAAAAGAAAGGAATGGGATGGGCAATTATTATAGCAAAAAGAGAACAGGAAAAGTGAAAAGCAGAGAAAGAAAACTGGCAATCTAACTCCTTTTTGACTAGAAACAGGACACAAGAAGCAAACTGCTGGTGGTGTGTGTGTGGGGGGTGTTTAAGCAAAGATGTCAGACTCCCAAGATTAAACTAGTGAAGAATGGGAAGGGAGAGGGAGAAGAGGCAAAATGCACAAAACTCCATAAAAGGGAGCCGAGTGTCCATGTATTTGAGTAGATGGATATAAATAGAACATCACAGTATTCGGAATGTTTGTGGAACTTCTTATGATAACAACGAGCGTCCTATTTTTAATAGGATGCTTACCTTCCAAATTCTATCAAAACATAACAGGAAATAAATATTAACCAAAGTACCAAAAGGCATAGTAAACATGGAGTGCATTATTGTATATATCTACAATGAATGTCTTAGTACAAAATGGGAGTTCAACTAAAAAAACAGAAATGGTTCAATAATTTATGGTGCATTTTCTGAATAAAATACTATGTAGCTATTAAAATGAATAACGTGGAAACACCATAGCAACAAGTCTAATTGTTTATTACATAATAGCAATAAAAAAAGAAGGGTCAAGAGGATATGTGTGTTATGATTACAAGTGTGTAAAAAAACCGTGGACAAGAAATAAAAGGAAAGATTGCGAAAAATATTATGTATTGAAGATCATGGAGATAGAATTTTTATTTAAATGGTCTAACTGGAATATTATTATTTCAACAAGAATAAATAGAGACAGAGAGACAAAAATAAATACTGTCCAGCATCTCTTAGTGTTTGACTTAGCAAGGGTGTCTGGAAGTGTTGGGGGGACCAAGTTTGGAGCATTACCATGGATTGAAACTGTTCTCTGCTGAGACTGGGATGAACATGCACAGAAATGCCCTGGCCAGCTCTGCTTATGTCTTTGTCAGCCAGGCTGACACTCCCTTGCTCAAGTTGCAGAGAGGTCCACATGTGGTCAGTGGTCCCAGCAGGATGAGAAGCATCAAGGTCCTCCTTGCCCATCCTTGGCTCTTGTGGCCATTCCTTCAGCTTCTGCCTCAGCTTCTTCTCATGCCAGTATCAATGAAGGAGATAAATTATGTCCTCTGGGCCTCAGTTTCCTCCTGTGTCAACCTAACAGCCTGGGTGAGGATTGAGGGGAGTGCAGTACTCTCTAAAGGAGAAAGTACCATTAGGTACAGATGGGAGCTGCATGCTCCCACCTTGCCACTGTCCTCCTTTTTTTACTTCTCCTCTGTCTCTCTCTCTCTCTCACACACACACACATGCATGCACCAGCATTTATGCACAATCATGCACTCCTTCTGCTCTATATATCCTCAGCTCTGTCATTAGTTAACACAGGTTGCTCCCTCTTGGCTCCAAGAAGGACGTGCTATTATTTCTGCTTGCCAAACTCATCCTTCAAGTTCCACTGACACCTCCTTCATTTTATCGGTCTACTAACCACTTGAAATGAATGGCTTTTTGTTGTTGCCATTTATAGGACAGAATACTTTAGCACTGTGATAAGATTATCTGTCTGGAATTTCAGAAATCCCCATATACCTGGAGAGACTGATTAACTAAGGAGATCTCTGCAATAAAGCGCTGCCACAGGTTGGTCACCATGGGAAGCCCTCTCAATGTTTCAAAGCACTTTGAGCAATATTCATTTTATTATTTAAAATAAAATATTTTTAAAAATATTATTAAATGTATTATTTATTATTAATAGCATCAAAACTCAAGGAGTCAAGTAGAATGGAATGCATTTCTATAATAATTTTATAAATGAGAAATAGGAGGCCCGGATATATTGCAAAACACACTTAAGGTCAATATCTATTCAGTGGCAGAACTGGGAATAGAATTCAGGACTGTCTGGGCCTCAGTCCTAAGCTCCCTGAAGTACACTTGTGTTTCCCTAATGCTGATTATTACGGCTCTACGAGGTAGGAGGTTATGTCTATGTTAGTAGTTCTCAAACTGTAACAAGTATCAGAGTCACCAGCTGGTAGGCCCCACTTCAGACTCTCTGATGAGTTTATGATTCTGCAGATTTGGGGTAGGCTCTGGTCATTGGCATTTCGAACAAGTTTCCCAGGCAATGCTGATACCGCTGATCACTTTGAGAACCACTCATCTCTATAAATCTTTGGAGTTGCTTCATATAAACTATTGGCCAGCCAATTCTACCAATTCCTTCTGCATAAATGACATTTTTAAAAAATGCCATTATTCCAAATTGCAATGGTGCTATACTTTTCCTAGTCAAGTTTCCCAACTTACAAAATGCCTTCGGATATTGTGGTTAATGGAGTGTGTGGTGGGGAAGGAGTTGCCAAATGCATGGGTCTTTGGCCCTCATTAATATTTAGAGTTTCCTGAACCTTAAGAAATGAGGGGCTCAACAGCATGGTAGAGAGACGTGCTGAAACAAACAGAGCCATTCAGGGCGACAGGAACGAGCTATCGTGTACGTTAAATGTTAACTCCCTTTAAAAATAAAATAACACAGAAAGCAATCTTCGCATGGGAAATAGATCACACTAGATTAGGCAAATGTTGTTGTTTCAGGTGGCTAACCTTGTTGCTCCAAACCCAAGCCCGGAGTTAAAAAACAAAACCACGAGCTGGAGGGGCAGCCTAAAGTGCAGTAGTTTAAATGCAGTCCTATTAACAGTAACTTAATACTACGAATTTGGGAAGTTTGGACTTTGGCCCTCTTGCTCAGGAGACCTTAAAAATAAAGATAGCTGCACAGTGAACATGAGCCACCCGCTTGTTTTCCATTAGGTACCTGGTGAGAGATATTTATTTCGCCTGTTGTCTGCTGGATGATTTTTTCCAGGGTCAAAAGTACGATTGTGTGCTGGGTACACAAGTGTGGAGTTAAGTATGCGGGGCCCTAGAACGGGAGCTTGAACAGATGCTCTTGGAACAGTTGTACATAATTCACTCCTCTTGGAATTTGGCTTCCCCAGTACAACCTCAGTCATGTGAAACATTAAGCCAGGGTGGATGGTTGTCAACTGCAGAGCTTATCCACTGTGCTGCTGAAAGCCCAGCAACGGGACACTGTCCTGGTGGACAGGTTGCTATGCTGAGAAAATTATGGCCACCACATACATTGAAGCGAGAGATCTCAGCTCCAAAAAACCCGATAACGTCCTCAAGAGCATGAACAGGGAATAGTTGTCTGGAGAGAGGGGAGAAAGGCACCACAATGATTCAGTTTGACGGTCTAAACAAGAAACAAGCACACCACCACAAAACCTGTGAAAGATGTCTCTTTCACAGACATCAGCATCTACTCATGCTGCACACTGTTCAATTCCCAGGGGTTTTACCCTTGGGCACCTTCATTAAAACACTGAATTATGCTGCCCTCCTCCTGTCCTTTGCATTCCATGAATAAGCCATGCCTCTCTGCTAGTTCAGGCCTGAAATTTATGGAGTACCTTCTATACACCAAGCATTAGATTAGTGAAATCCCACAATGTAATGTCAATGTCAATACCTTTTTTAAAGGTGTTATTAGAATCAATTTACAAATAAGAAAGACTAAATGATTGATAGGTTTAGTCACTTACCCAAGGTGAAATAGGTAGGAAGCATGAAAATCAGAATCAGGGTCATAACTGGTTGCAAAACACCTTGGTAGATATTTTAGGCATTTTTCTCTCTGCCTATGATGTTTTTCCAGTTGTCTGCCAAGGCAACATCATCTTTTCAGTCCTGGTCCCAGTCCAGTGCTATGTCTTCCATGTGGCTTTCCCTGAACCCTTCCTCCGACCAAGCATAGCTACTTACACTTTGTTCTTCTGTCCTCACAGCCTTTGTGTGCACATAGAGTATGTATCACACCTTCTGCAATTATCTACATGTTTATCTTCCTGATTTCATATACCATGCATGCTTAAGGACACTTTGCTTCATTTATCTTTATGTATAAAATGCCTGGTGCTCAATAAATATATGTTGAATGAAACTCAACTATACCTCTAATTATAACACCATTCAGAGTTGGCTTCTAGGTTGGGCACGGTGGCTCACACTTGTAATCCCAGCACTTTGGGAGGCCGAGGAGGGCGGATCACTTGAGGTCAGGAGTTCAAGACCAGCCTGGCCAACGTGGTGAAACCCCGTCTCTATTAAAAGTATAAAAATTAGCCGTGTGTGGTGGTGGGCACCTATAATCCCAGCTACTCAGGAGGCTGAGGCAGGAGAATTGCTTGAACCTGGGAAGCAGAGGTTGCAGTGAGCCGAGATTGCGCCACTGCACTCCAGCCTAGGTGACAGAGTGAGACTCTTTCTCAAAAACAAAAAACAAAGGAAAAAACAGAGATGGCTTCTAATTATATTGCATAAGCAAAATTGTTCCTTAGGCTTAAGTCTAATTGCTTACTGTCCACATAAGGCAGACCCAGAAGCAAATATCACATGGAACCCCTGTTGAGGACCTGAATGCCATAGTTTATGGCCCAAATGCAAAGCAAGAGGCCACAAATTAGGAACTAGCTGAACAAGGATCACTTCAAGGCCTGTCGGGCAGGAGTTGCCATTACAGAGACAACAGCTGGCATTTGTGATGCATGTGGAGATTCCGAGTGTTCTCACTGTGTACCCTGCAAGCCTTACCTTAGGATGCAGATTGTCATAGCTCTCTTTTAAAGATGAAAAAACTGGAGTTCAATGATGAATAAATGATCCGATGTCATGTAGCAAATATGATACAAGAATATGATTTTGAGCCAGGTTTTTACACACCCTAACACTTTTGTATAAGCCAATTCTATCTTGAAGAATAGAGATCAAAGACAATAGGTATGTTTCTAAAACAATGGAAACTAAAAACAACAACAAAAACAAAAACAAGACAGTGTGAATACCTAGTGTACCTAGTGTTAGAAAGTGAGATTCAACCAAGAATTGTGGAAACCCAAACGTCTAGCTTCTTGTCTTGTCTCTCTGCATGCTAGCAGTGTAGCATTGGCCAAAACATTTACCTTCTAGAAGCCTCCATTTTCTTTTCAAACCTCTATTAAATGAAAATCGTCATCTGAGGCCTTCTTTCCTTAGAGAAATATACAATATATGGAGCTGATCCATCTGAAACCTCTTTGTAAACTGTAAAACACTCTAAAAGCCAGAGTGGCAGTTACAGGTGTTTTTACCCCTTGAAGAATGATGAAATGGGTTGGGGCAGTCATGGTTCAATCATTTAACTATAAATTTAAAAATTCCTGCACACAGAGCTTGCTAAGGGAAATACTTTGATTTCTTTGCAGAGTCTCTTTTGTACCTTTAAATTTTATCAAGTACGCAAAGCGCATGATCAGTATTTACAGGCCCTGTCTAAATCTGAGATGAGAAGAAAGTTATGGACATATTGGATGAAATTCAGACGACACGTTCTAGAGGAAAGAGAAGCGGTCTGTTGGCAAAGTGTGTGCCTTGTTGGAATGTGATGTGGGTAGCCCAGTGATCCTAGGCACTCTTTGCCCTCACGTCTGTGGTCTTGAGCTGCCATTGCTCCTTCTTCCCACGTAGAAGAGATGTTCTGCGGGTTTCTGGGGTAGCTAGACCCATGTACACAACCTGTGGATCTCAGAAAACTGCGAACTCTGAGGTCAGGAAACATCCCTTTGCACACTTGGTCTCTGGACTTCCCTCCCACTGGCTCCTGAGTTACCATCACAGAACTTTAGTCTCTTCAGATTACAGGCCACAGACATCCATCAAAGACTGTTGTCTGTTTGTTGCTTAAACAGAGGAGATTGGCCAGAAATTTTGTTTTAAAATCATCCTGGAAACTGTAAGCAAGTTATCTCAGAATGTAAGAGGGCATGAAAAGAAAAGCCATTTATGAAGGTTTAACGACACATTGCACTTTTGAAAAGAGAGGAAGAAATTTATGATGACCCTAAATGTAGAGTGTGGGATAGACAAATGGCTGAACTAGAAAATAGAGAAGGAGGATTAAGTTAGGAGAGGTACTGGAAGAATTTAAAGAATGCAGCAATTTTAGTTATGTTGGGTTTGGGGACCTGTGGCACACACAGATATAAATGTCCATCAGATGATTACATACAGACAGGTGTGGGGTTTTCATGCAGAAGGGTAGATTGGTAATTCACACACACACACACACACACACACACACACAGAGCAGATAATAACTTCTCAATTGCAATTATTCATTCAACCACTAATTTATCAGTTAATAATTTCTTGGAGAATTCTCTTTTCCAGGCACTGTGCTGACTCCTAGGAATGTAGAAATTAATCAGACAGAGCCATCCCTGAGCTGGCAGTGTAGTGGACATTAACAGTTACAACTCCACCTAACACAGACATACATGGGATATCAGAGAGCACAGAAGAGATGTGATGTGGAACTACTGTTTCCCTGAGATGACATTTGAGCTGCATATCAGAATGGGAAGAAATTCACTGGTGGATGTGGGTGGGAACAGTGTTGCAGGAAGAGGAACTGTCTGTGCAAAGGGATACATTTTTTAAAAGCCTCTATGTTCGGACTGGCTTGTTGCCCTAAATAAAAATATCAGCAGAAGGAAAAGCAGCTCTGTCTAGCATGAGTGACAACTTCCTTGGACCAGAAGCAGGCAAGGATCATTCTCTGTCTAAGTGTGGACCGTCCTCAAGGACTGCACTGCCCGCCCCGAGCTCTGCCTCGCTCTGGTCATCTAGCTCTCCTCAGGCTCCCCCAACAACTGATGTGATTCTCATTAAATGCAACGTTAGAGAATCTCACATATACTAAACGATTATCCAGGTGACCAAAATACGCATTTGGGGAGCTTACAGAGAGAGGAAGAAAGAGAAGCAGAAGGCCCTCCCGTCCCAGGGGTCTTCTTGAAGCCGTGATGAAGTGCTGCTCTTTCTGGTTTGCAAATTCAGAATCTCTGTCAATCCTTAGCCTGGGGTTCTCGACCATGCCACAGTGGAAGGTTTGCTGAATCCGTGTTTAGTGTGTGGCAACACATGGCTGGGAATTTTAAAATATTTCAGTGCTGCAGTGATTGAGTAACCTAAAGTGGTTCCACATGGTTGATAAAAGTCTCATCAAGCAGAGAGGTCTGGGCTATTTCTCCTACTCTAGGTTCTTGTACTCTGCAGATTGTTTTTTCTGCTATAGCGCACAATCAGCAACTTCAGAGGATATCATCCATCCAAGGGAGGGAACACAGTATCTGATTTCACTCAGATCAAGTCCAGCAACTTGCCTTTTAAAACAAGAGATGGGCAGCTATTTCGAAGCTTAAGTCTTCCTTTTAACCATCTTCATAAAAAGGAAACCGAGAAACTTTTTTTTTCTCATGTTCATCGAAGCATTATTCACAATAGTCAAGTTATGGAAACAACCTAAGTGTCTGTTGACATCATGAATCTTACTTACTCAGGGTTCTAAGGGGATCTGGCAGTTACACTCAGATTTCATTTTAATTTAAAGAAAATGAATAGAAACAATTGCAAACGCTGCTTGCTGTTATTTTAAATGGACATTTACAAAACACGATCTATTAAATAGACATAATGTGTCTTTTAAAAAAGATAATAAACAAATTAATGGACAGGAAATATACAAACTTGATCACAATATTGGATTAATCACTCTGCTTTTTGAAAGGGTTTCTTTTTTGTCACAATCTACTTATTCTCATATGAGAAAGTATCACTGTTGTATAAATAGGTCCTTGGTTATGAAGAAAAGAGGCCATCTCAGATTACCCACAGAATGAATCTTAGATTGCCCACAGAATGAAGAGTTGGAGGGAAACTCAGTGACCTGTCCCTCTTTTACAGATACTACCCAGTGGTGGAATGAAAAGAACATGAAATTGAAAAGCAGAATCTATCACTGAACAATGGGGGAGATTTTCTTTCAACACATGTGGAATAGGTATTTAAATGGGTCAAGAAGAAATATAGTTGAAGAGGTGAAAGTGGGATAAAGGCAATGATTACTCAAGTTTGTAGATGGTGGTATAAATGACATAAGTTTTGGAATTAAGCCATGTTGGATTTGACTTTCAGCTCTGCCATTAATTAGCTATTTAACACTGGCAAGTTTTATTTTTTGTTTTCTTAATTCCCTGCAGCACAATTTCCCCAGTTGGAATTTGTGGGATTTTTATAAGCATTAAATGAGTGAATATATGCAATTAGTATGATGATTGGCTGATAGTTGGCACTTCGGAGTTGGAGAAACCAATAGCTAACCATCTCTTTGTCAAGGTTCAGAACTGACAGAGAGATAGTCATATGACCCAGAGAGATGAAATTCAAAATACAGTGAGAAAGGCCAAGCTAAAAGATATGACTTAGTTTTGTGGCCACAGTTTGCTTCTCATACTGATTCCTAGAATTAGACAGACACACTCACCTGGTCACTGTCAGTATTGGCCTCTTTGAGCAAGAACACAGCATACCTCTAAAAGTCTATCCTCTCTGCAGGCAGGCAGACTCAGAAAGAAAGGAAAGAGGAGGTGGGGCTCCTCACTCTGCCTAGAATCAACTGTGAGATGCCTCCTTTGAGATGCCTACTGGTGCTGGGTGCTATGGGGGAGAGAGTAGGGCCAGAAGAGGAGGAAATGGTGGGACTTCATTTCTACCTTAGGAGATTTTACAGCCTGGAAAGGGGAGCATCTGCTGTGAGAATCAAGTGAATAATTAATATGAAAGATGCTATTACATTTTAACAAGATACTATCAAATGCTCCATAATATATAGACTAGAATTATTAAATGAAAGTTAATCTTGTATGCAAGAAAACCTTCTGGCTTAACTTTCCCAAAGCCCAGAAGCAAGGATAGATAGGAAGGTGTTGACATGACTCCCTTCTTTGGAGCAGCCGTTCTTTTCTCTTCAACGTGCACTTATACAACGTCTGTTGTTTGCATGTAATGTATTTTAGGTTTTTCGTATTGCAAAGGGTATAAGTTGAAGATTTAAAAAAAAGATATCAGATCAAAAGGAAAGATTTTTAAATTTTGCCTTGGACTCAAATTGTGCTTTAATTTACTTTGACAATAACCCTTTCTTCTTATACTGTCTCCATGTAAAACTATTCAGCAACTTCCCTCTCAGAGTTTAACCAGTTGATAGCTAAGATTTATATCACCAAGGGTGCTAACATTTTAATATATTGAAACAAATATCACATAGAGAAAACTATTTTAAGATGCAATGGTACATGGTTTCAATAAGGTTGTGGTGGTCATAGGTAGCAATAGATAGCAAGATTAGTATTTTTGGTTGGAAAATCCTAATATACTTAACCAAAAGATGGTCTTGCTTTCCCTTCTCCTGAGTCTTGGTCAGCCCAGTAAGCAAACTAATGGGAAAAAAAATGCTCGCTACTATTTTAACTATTGCTCTTAAAATGTACAGTTGTGTAAACAAAGCAAAAAATTGCAGAGAGGAGATATGGTGAAAATAAACATAGTATTATTTTTAGCTAATGTGCGGATATTAAAGACAATAGAATGCAACTTTTTGTATGTGTGTTTTTTGAAAAGTCAGGTCAAACTATCCAATTGAGAGACCAATCGTATGGATGAACATGCTGCCATAGCTCAATACCATGTCTTTAAAATATGCTCACAAAGCACATAGAGCCAGCTTGAGACTACTGCTCTCCTATACTGTAACAAGGATGATAATTTTTGAGTGATTGTTCATAGATTCATCCTTCCATTTCTGGAGACTTATCATTGTGCTATAATTGTGCATGTGAAAGTATTTTGGTTAGGATCATAGTGATAAAAAATAACTTCAAGCAAAACTAAAACAAGTTAATATTTTATAGATTCCGAGTATAAGATAATCTTAGAGTTGATCAGCTTCACCATGATCATGAGCATGAGGCATGCACTGTGTGTGCTGACATGATGTGACAACCAGTGGCAAAGCCTCTGTCTTAGCAACAACACACCTAAGTTTGATTTCTGTCTCCATCAATGACTGCGATGACTTTGGCAAGTTACTTAACTTTTCTGCTATTCAGTTTTTTCGTCTGTCAAACGGCAGCAATAAAACCTAAGCAAAAAACATGAAATACCGATTCAGGGCTATAAAAATGGATGAGAATTGCTGAGAACAGCACCTATTTACAGCAGAACAAACAACAAATGGCCATTTCTTCCATTTATACAGATACAATATAGATGTGAAGAAATGCACACTTGTGAGTGTGTGTGTGTGTATAGATTTCTCTAAATGAAAAATAAACAAAAACTTTTCTAATTGAAAGACCAAATCACAGCTGAATGGCAGTACCCAAAAATCACTGATTCATCAGTTAGCTTTGAACATTATTTTCTAAAGGAAAAAAGCCCAATGTGGAAAATGATTAATACTCAAGCGAAAAACACTGAAAAAAAGAAAAAGAAAAGGTGGAGAAGCTCATGGTTTTATCTAAGGCACCAGGTTTACTTTATTTTCAAAACAAAAAAAGTGAAAAGCCCATAAAATGTGCAACCAATGTCTCTTGAAAGCACATGAGGTTTTGAAAGAAGACATGTTAATTCATTCTCTAGCTTCATAGAAGCCTCTATCTAAGGTAATAAAACTCAGCACATTTTTAGAAGACAAGGGGGAAAAAAAAACCCTCTCAGTATTGTAGGTGTATGTATAATTCCTTAAAACCTGCCAGTACCTTGTCACTGAAGAAATGGAAAAAAAAAAAAAAAATGCCACCACTAGCAAAGAGAAGTGTGCTAATGTAAAAGTGTGTTGCTTGGCAACAGATTAACTTATTTAAACTTTCATCACTGCTTTGAAGAAGATGCTGCAAAGAGAAAGACAAAGACCACACAGTAAAATGCTTGGGATCCGTGGTTTCAGGAGGCCTCCAAAGGACAAAACACACCTGCCTGGAGCTGAAACCAGGAGTTTGCAAACTATGTTTCCAGAGAGCCCGGGTCAGCAGGATTCCCACTAGATTCAGCCAATAGGGGGCACTACCTGGAGATGACAAGGCTGGGGAAAGAAGTTGGGAGTTTGTGCCTCTGATTGTGTGGAAGTTACTAGACACAGCTGACAGTGAGCATAGGGAATGGCAGGCTCCAGTAATCCCAGGGGAAGTAGCACCTGCTTAGCAGCTCCAGCTCTGGCCCAAGCAATGCCCCTTTAGTAGAGTCAGGATCCAGGATTGGGTGTGGTAGCATCTCCAACAGCCCAGGGCAGGAGTAGACTGTGGCTGCCAGCACTAGGGTGTTAGCCTAAGCTGGTGGGTAGATCAGACCTTTTTTCCTTTTTGTTCCTCCACTTCTTTAGTTTCTCTTCTGTTTTTTTCTGGCTTTATAACACCTTCCCTGTATTAAATTCCCTCCATTTGAAACATGTAAAGTGGTTTCTGACTGGACACAGACTGAGAGAAGTTTAGAGTTTTCCTCAATAGACTCAAATTACGGAGCAATGTGATATGGGCGACAACAGAAATCAGTATTATGTATCGAGCTAGGAAAGTAATTGTGATGAGCATTGAAAACCTCTCTATAGATACAGATAGATATAGATATAGTTATAGAGATGATATAGATATATAGATAATATAGATATATAAACGTAGATGTAGATAGCTTATGTAAATGATATAAATATAGATACAGATGCAGACATACACATCCTTTTGATCCGGTTTCTCTGGGAAACGGTGCCTAACACAGGCATAGAGGGGGTGATGACCAGAAAGTGAGGCCATGAGTTGGCGGCCAAGGCCAAATAATGAAGATCTCCTGGTATCAGCTGAAGGCCTTGGGACTTTATTCTGAGGTTCATCAGAACCACTGATAGTCTTCAGGAAGAGGAGCAAAATGGTCATATTTATTTTTTTGAAAGCCGCCTGCTTGTAGATGTGTAAGAGATGAAGCTCCAGGGAAACTAGATTTAGGAGAGCATGACTTTTAAGAAAACAGTTCCTCAGAGTGTTCAACTGAAGCTCTGCCCATCAGTGAGGCATGTCTCCCACTTTCCAGCCATTCAAGCCTTCCTAATACTTAGAGCTCTATTCATTCTTCCCTGCTGACAACTTATTTTACGGTGTGCTTGGGCCACCCCGGAGGCAGAGTTTCTTTTTCCCTTTGCTTTTAATCAGATTACAATGACAAAAAACTATAGGAGAGGGTTTAGCTACATCCTAGTGGACTGATTAAGGTTCAAAGTTGTTATTCTCGACATAGACCATTTCAGTGACCACAGCTCACAAGTCAACAGTTTGGGTGCCAAAAAGTACATGGAAACAGAGACGACTTCTATATCCAGGCCCTGACAGCCTTCATGGTCACAAGAGAGCTATTTTGATTAAAAAAAAAAAAAAAACCTGTGGCCCAGGTCGTGGACTGGGGATTAGCATGTGTTCTTTGTTATCCCACTAGGTGCTTTTCAGAGTGATGTAAACTAGTTGTCCACCCTGCAAAGGCTCCAGACATGGAGCCAGGGGTGTGTTTTCCCTGAGTTTAAGGAAACTTCAGCTCCAGAGCCCGCCATGTGCGTGGGCTCCTTCCAAGGCTCTCAGAAAGTCCCTGACCATGTGTTTTGATGTTCATATAGTTTTGTAAAATTTGCAAAAGTAAGATATTTTAATTGTAGTCAATTAAGACTGTGCCTTTTTCCATTTCACTTTTTTTCTCTGTCCAACTTTTCCTCATGTTGAGTGGTGGTGCAGAGGTGGGCGGCATTTTGAGGATTTAATTGAGAAGAACCTCAGTTAGGGTTAGTTTGGGTTTATTGAAATGAATTCCTATGTCTCCTAGTCACTTCCAGAACAATTGAGCTATTGCTAACCATCCTGGTGTAGAAATGGCTTCTAGAATATTCCTGCCACCCACTGTGTTGACTCACCCAGTGCCATGACAAAAAAGAGCAGGGCCAGAGGTTGATACACAATACAAGCTTGCCCCAAGGCTGCAGAAATGTTCGGGGAGCAGAGGAGAAACAGGTTTTGAAATGTGAAGGCTCAGAAGCTAATCTGTGGAAAATGCTTTCAATCATCAAACATGTAAAACTGCAAGCAGATAATTTGAAACAGGAGTTCTATCTGTCTCAGAATATGCTTAATTATACAGCATATACAATTAAAACACCCCACATTGTTTTCTTTTCGAAGGGAATTAGATAAAATATAATTATGAAAGTGACTATTTAAGTTTCCTACTGATTTGACTGGAAATACTGACATCGTCAAAATAGCAAATTCATAACACGCCATTGCAACAAAGGCTTCTTAAAAAGCTAGTTAATGAAGTTTGTCTAATCAAAGATTTTGAGAATGGTTGCTACACAAGAAAATGTGAAGTGGCTTGAAATCTTATATCTTTGAAATCAATGTGATGTGTTTTTTTCCAAATTTGACAACAGTAAACATTTTCATGGCCTTACTGATAGGGAGTTTGAAAGTAACAGAAGTTAAAGGAATCAACCGACTATGCAAAAGGAAAGACCTTGAGTTCTCTTTCCCTTTTCTTAATAGAAAATATTATAAAATTATTGTCATCTGAAGAGATTATCAAAGATTATAGCACTTGCCATGGCATTTTGCTAATAAGGTCTCAGTGATTCCTAGCCCCTCTTCGTCTGTGAGTTCCACAAAGGTGTAATCTCCAATCTAAGGGCCTAGAAGATATCGGAGCTCAGGGAATATTGGCTGAATAAAAGAAATGCTTTATGAGCACTGCATTTTAAAAAATTTCCATATATCTATATATACATTGGGAATATATATACAATATTATTTATTCATATTAGTAATAGTCAACATTTATTGAACAAATACTGTAACAGGTATTGGCTTAAGCACCTTATGTATGCTGTTTTTCAAAACATATACACCCATTAAGGTAATTACAGAAATCCACTTAACTCACTCCAAAGAGTGGAGGAGATTGCGGTGGAAATGTTTTTGTCATAGGTAATTCAGGCAACTGTTGGACATTTTCCTAAGGTTAGCAAAATAAATGAGCACAATGTATCGAATTGCCTTTATTTTTCTACAAAAATGTCATTCCACGTTTGAGGAAGGGAACATGGTGGAAGGAGCACAGCTTTGGAGCCATAAAGATCTGAGTCTGACTTCATGCTCCATTATCTACCAGGTGGGGGATCTGAAAAAGTTGCATAGCCTGCCTCACTGTGCCTTGATTAGACAGTAAAAATATCAGTGAGAGCCTCTCAAGGAGAAGCGAAGTTTACTTTTCAAAAAAATTTTGCTGCCATTTCATCAACACACAAACATATATGAAAAGAATGAGAAGAAGCTGTTTTACCCAGAACTTCCTCCTCAATACCAAGTGCTGCTGGCCAAAACCACTATGCCATTCACTGGTCATCTATTCAAGCCTTTTTCAGAAGAAAGACAAGCTCAGATAGCTCAGGAACTGCTCCTCACACACCTGCAGGGCAGGCAGGTCCTAAAGATGCTGGTAAATCCGACATAATCACATCCCACCTGGCGCCACCTCCCCAGCCCTTCCTTCACATCTAGAACCCTGGGCTGCAACCACAGGAGTTCACTCACTCTTGTTCAAATGTGCCTTTTCTATGTCTCCCTGCAGCTTCACGTGCTATTCCCCTTACTGGGACCCTTTTCCTCTCTTCTTCACCCATAACCTTTCACCTACCCTTCAAGGCGCAGCTTAACTACCCCTCTCACTGTGAAATCTGCTTGAATGCCACCAGACGGAAGAAGTCACTTGCCCTGTATAGCCCTCCTTGGCTCATCCTTTGAACGTTTTTCTACAGGTGTCTCCATCATTAAACTATGAACTGTAGGAAAGCTTTTTCTTTTTTTTTTTTTTTTGAGACAGAGTCTCGCTCTGTCGCCCAGGCTGGAGTGCAGTGGCGCTATCTCGGCTCACTGCAAGCTCCGCCTCCCGGGTTCACGCCATTCTCCTGCCTCAGGCTCCCGAGTAGCTGGGAGTACAGGCGCCCGCCACCACGCCTGGCTAATTTTTTGTATTTTTAGTAGAGACGGGGTTTCACCGTGTTAGCCAGGATGGTCTTGATCTCCTGATCTCGTGATCTGCTTGCCTCGGCCTCCCAAAGTGCTGGGATTACAGGCGTGAGCCACCGCGCCAGGCCCGGAAGCTTCTTCTTTTGTTTGGGGAGGTTAGGGGTCATGATATCTTTGAAGAAAAATGCAAAGCTATTTCAAGTCTGCTCATAAAAATTGAAAACAAACGTCTTTTGGCAAAAAGATGGAAGAAATAGTGATTTCTGAAGTCAGAAAGAGGAATACTAAGAAAAGATCTTTGGTGGCTGAATAAAAGCGGAACTAACAAAAAGGAAGAGACAAGAAAGACAGATTTGTCTTTGGTACTAAAAACCACGGTTACTAGGTTGGTGCAAAAATAATTGCTGTTTCGGATCATGAATTTTAAATCATTATAACTAGGCTCAAACACATCTTTATTAATCAAAATGGGAGCCATTACAATCAAGAACTTTTTACCAATAAGAAATTTGTTTATTCCTGTAGTGTAAAAATCGACGCTTTGGGATTCAACAAACTCTTGGAAAGCATTTTCTGCATCCTGCTGGTTGTGGAAGCATTTTCCTGGCAAAAAGTCATCAAGAAGCTTGAAGAAGTGGTAGTTGATTGGGAGAGGTCAGTTGAATATGGTGGATGAAGCAGAGCCTCATAGCCCAATTCGTTCAACTTTTGAAGTGTTGGTTGTCCGATGTGTGGTCCGGCGTTTTCATGGAGAAGAATTGGGCCCCTTTCTGTTGACCAATGCTGGCTGCAGGCATTGCAGTTTTCGGTGCATCTCATTGATTTGCTGATCATACTTCTTGGATGTAATGGTTTCGCCAGGATTCAGAAAGCCGTAGCGGATCAGACCAGCAGCAGACCAGCAAATAGTGACCATGACCTTTATTTGGTGCAAGTTTGGCTTTGGGAAGTGCTTTGGAGCTTCTTCTCTGTCCAACCACTGAGCTGGTCATTGCTGGTTGTCAAATAAAATTCACTTTTTGTCGCATGTCACAATCCGATTGAGAAATGGTTTGTTGTTTTTGTGTAGAATAAGACAATGCTTCAAAATAACGATTTTTTACATTTTCACTCAACTCGTGAGGCACTCACTTGCCAAGCTTTTTCACCCTTCCAATTTTCTTCAAATGCTGAACAATCGCAGAATGGTCGTGGTTGAGTTCTTCAGCAACTTCTCATGTAGTTATAAGAGGATGAGCTTTGATGATTGCTCTCAATTGGCTGTTGTCAGCTTGTGATGACCGGCCACTACACTCCTCATCTTCAAGGATCTCGTCCCCTTTGCAAAACTTCTCGAACCACCACTGCACTGTACGTTCATTAGCAGATCCTGGGCCAAATGCGTTATTGATGTTGCAAGTTGTCTCTGATGCTTTACAACCCATTTTGAACTCAAATAAAATCTCTCGAATTTGCTTTTTGTCTAACATAATTTTCATAGTCTAAAATAAATATAAAATAAACAGCAAGTAATAAGTCATTAGCAAAAAAACATAAAGTGAGAAATGCACATTAGAATGATGTGTAACATAACCACATTTGTTTCAGAATGTATTCCAATATCAAAGATCAAATTGCACAATGCAAACACCACCATTACTTCTGCACCAAATCAAGACAAACAACATGGATGTCCATTTGGTGCTAGATGGAGTAAGATGGAACCTGGCCTGATGGCCAAGACCAAGACATTTATCTCCCCAAAAAGAGTTTCTGTTGGACAAGAGAATGATGATAAAGAGGTGTGGTAGTCCCCCGTGGGATGCTGGAAAAGAATACCACAAATTGAGTGACTTGATTAATCTTTTCATAGTTCTAGAGGATAAAAGTTGAAGATGAAGGTGAAGCAGGGTTGGCTTCTTCCTGGCTTGCAGATGGTCACCTTCTCACTGTGTCCTTATGTGACCTTTCATCCTTGTTTGCACATTCCTGGTGTCTCTTCCTCTTTTAATAAGGACACAGGTCTTATCGGATTAGCTTCCCACTCTTTTGACAGCATTTAAACTTAATTAAATTGGTAGAGGATGGGAAATTACTTAATGGTACAGCGTATGCTATTCAGGCAATGGGTACCCTAAAAGCCTTGACTTGACCACTATGTAATCTATACATGCAAAAAAATTACACTTATATCCTGTAAACTTACATGAATAAAAAATTAAATAAGCTTAATTATCTCCTTAAAGACCCTATCTTTAAATACAGTCACATTGGGTTACGACTACTTCCACATGCGGATTTTAGGGGGACAGAACTCAGTCCATAACAACAGAAGACCACTGAAATTGGAAGAGGCGTGTGATTCATTCCAGCTGCTGCACTGCGGCAGATCCCAAGCAGTGGCACTGACAAGCTGTGTCACCAGGCAGAGGCTGACACAAAAGAGCAACCCAGCGGACTAAAGGCCACATCTATAGCAGCTTAGAAGCTGCCTCAGCCTCATGCTGTGGGTCCGGCGCAGGTTAAACAGGCTTGGGCAAGGCTAAGAAGGGACACAGCGGGGGTTGCTGAAGAAGAGTCAGGAGTTTGTCCTCCTAAGACCAGGGCAGTTTAGAGACATCATTATCACATTTGCATCTCTGGTTCCTAGGAGACATCGGGGCACAGGGTAAGTGTTCAATTATTCACCAATGAACTTCAAATGGTTAAATAGTTGAGAACACAGGGAGCTCCCCATTACTGGCTGCATCTGTCCAAGGGGCTATGAAAAGTGGTCGTGCATTGAATGAGACCTTGAAAATCTTGTCCTGGTCTAACAGTCTGACTCTTTGTTTACATAACAAAGTGGATCATAAAAAATCCCCATCTCTTTCTACGTCTGAGTAGATTTTCTTAGTTTACACTGTCATCTTGTGAGCTATGTTTGTATTTTGCATATGCGTTTGCCCCATTTTGGGGTGGCATTTTAAGGGGATGATGACTTATAATGTTCCTTCATTAGAAACATTGTAAAGCAGGATAGGTTTTTATGGCTCTATGTCCTTGTGATGCACATATGTGGGCAGCACTAGTAGTATCTCATCAGAAGCTTTCTCTTCTTTCAACTGGGTCCACAGGTTGAACTCTTCCTATGAGTGGAGCCCTAGCACTGCTCATTGCCCTGCCTGGCAGTGGTGTGGGAGGAGCCATGGCCCACCGGCCCCAGATCTTTCTAAGGGGGACACTGAATTACATTGTTCATCTCAAGAGTTAAACTAGACAAAGTGGGCCCAAACCTAATAAGACAGCCCATTAGGAACATTTTCTGTGCTTACATCTTACTGACTTTTATCATAAATTAGAGATTTTGAAGAGAATGAGTCATAGAAAAAGAAAAAATAATAACCTGGTTCAGCAATCAGCATATTATATCTCCCCAGTGACTCATAACATCAGACTCAAGTCAGGACAAACAGAGTTCCTGTCAGAAAGAAGTGCAGTTAAAAATAAAAGCAAAAATAGGAAGGGGTGGGCGGGCAGGGTGGGGGGAGCAAAACCTTTTAAACTGTGCCTAGAACTCTCCCCAGCCTGGATTCCCTAATGAGGGATTTGAGGTGCAAATAGGCTGAAAAGCCTGAGTCAGACAGCAGGAGGAAGCAGCTCCCAGGGTGCAAAGACAAATGGATTTCTTAATAAAATCCTCCAGGAAAAGAAAAGCAGCAGAAACCATGAAGTATGGATTATTCGTTAAATACGAAAGGGGCCTGCAAGAGGGCTTCTCCTAATGAAATCGTGGCACAATTTCATGAAGAAACACAGGTTTCAGAGTTAAACCAACTTGCATCTTAATTGTGGTTCCACCAAAATTGGCCGTGCAAGCTTGGAAGGATCCTTGGTTTTCACATCTGTTGGATGAGGATAACAAGCCACAGCACAGAGCTGTTGTGAAGATTGACCGATGCTAAGCATGTAAAGCACTTAGCATGGTGTACACATTTACAGGAAAAAAGACTGACATTAAATAATAATTTGTCTTAAAACTATAGATGAAAATACATCTGGACAGAGTTTGCTGAAGCTTTAATTGATAGACTCAGATAAGTGTCTATCAAGCATGTCACAGAATCACAGCTTCGTAAGAGTGGATTCAGATGCCGCTGACTAAGGCCATGGTACCCTTGAACATTTTATTACAGCAGAAAAGGTTAAGCAGCTTTGGCTGGTCCAATAGTTTCCCTGTTCTACATGAGTTCCTCTTCTTCGGTTTCTCCCCAACCAGCCTAGCCAGTGCTTTTAGTGCACATTTGAAAACCCAAAAATAAGTTTGCAGCCAAGCAACTTTGGATTAAGCTTTGATTCTTCCAGTTACTACCTATGTGACATTGGCGAGATGCTTCACCTTTCTAAGCCTTAGTGGCACACCTGTGAGATGAAGTAAGTAGCTACTATCTTAAACAGATGCTATGGAATTTTGAATGAAGAACTTGAAATGTCTAGCATAGTTTGTGAGCACAAAAGTAATTGACAGACTATTTTCATTCCTCTCTCCTAACTAATGTATGCATTTTGTTAGCTATAAATAAGACAATCAATAGCAGAAACGATCTACCTGCCGTTTACAGGAGAATATTTGGAAAAATGTCAGTCCAATTTATAAGTGTTTACAGAAAAGAAGGAGCTAAGTGAACGTCCCACTCCTCAGGCCAATATCTCTCAGCCTTTGTAATCTTTGTTCTGTCATTTCCAGAGAGGAAAAAACATGTCCCTGATAAGTGGGGTTGCATGTGGTCCTCTCAGTCACCAGTCCCAGTACACTGCTGTGAAAGGTTGTAGACTTTGGAGACAGACTTACGTGGTTTTGTGTCCTAGTTTCTTGCCTTAAAGCTGTATAAAGTTAATAAAATCATGGAAGTCTCCATTTCCTCACCAATGATGCAGAGAGCTACCTCACAGGCTTGCCCTAAAGATTAAACCACACGACGGAAGAGCCTGACCTATGAGTCAACAAGGGCTAGCTGCTGTGTGGCTGTCCCAGGCCATCCACCATTCTGCATGTTTCTTGCTACAGCACCCAGGACTTTGCTGTTTGCACTTCCTCTGAGAGCAGACACCTCTCATGAACTCCTCTGAGTCTTCGTCCTTGTAAATATCTGCAGTGTGGAATCAGTCTGCAGCTAACACTCCTCCAGGTTGCTCATGAAGTCACATGCAAGGGTCATCGGCAATGGTGAAGAGCTGCAGAACTAACATACCAGAGGGAGTGGCAAAGCTTTCTAAACTACAAAGTCTTTATAGCTGTGATCCTTGCTCTGGAGTTTCTAACTCCCACCTGAGAGGGTCTCAAGCTTATCCTTATTTTTCAGGATGTGGCTTATTGTATCCTCTTGATCCTCACTCTGCATCTGCTTACATTGTTACTGGAAGAGGTCTGGATCCAGACCCCAAGAGAGGGTTCTTTGATCTCATGCAAGAAAGAATTCAGGGCAAGTCCACAGAGAAAACTAAAAGCCAGTTTATTAGGAAAGTAAAGGAATAAAAGAATGGGCTACTCTATAGACACAGCAGCCCTGAGAGCTGTTGGTTGCCTATTTTTATGGTTATTTCTTGATGATATGATAAACAAAGGGTGGATTATTCATGCCTCCCCATTTTGGACCAGATAGGGTAACTTCATGACATTGCCATAGCATTTGTAAACTGTCATGGCGCTAATAAGAGTGTAGCAGTGAGGATGACCAGAGGTCACTCTCATGGCCATTTTGGTTTTGGTGGGTTTTAGCCAGTTTCTTTACTGCAACCTGTTTCATCAGCAAGGCCTTTGTGACCTGTGTCTTATGCCAGTCTCCTATCTCATCCTGTGACTTAGAATGCCTAACTGGGAATGCAGCCCAGGAGGTTTCAGCCTTATTTTACCCGCCCCCTACTCAAGATGGAGTCACTCTGGTTCAAACGCCTGACAACATCACAGTGTTTCACTCCTAGAAACGTTGAATGCTTGAAATAATAGTTAGCACTCAGTGTGGCAGATTGTAGTCTCCATAGTAATAATTCTGGTCCCACATGGTCTTCCAGAATTTTGTGATCAAGAAGCAGAGCAGATTTACCCACACCATGAGTCTTGACAGGTCTTAATGGCTGGCCCAACAAAGAGGCGTGGCAGAAGGGACACAGGGAGCTTCTAAAGCTGGATTCGAAAAGGTACTACAGTTTTAGCCTCCTTCTCTCTCTCCCTCTCTTTTACTCTCTCTTTCTCTGCGTTTGTCTCTATTTTAGGAGCCTTCATCTACCACATAAGAATTGCAGCAAACCCTGCAGCTATCCTGAAGCTGCCATGCTGAAAAGGCCAATTGGGAGACCACATAGAGACCGAGAGAGACTTCCAAGGACTCCAGCCAATCCTGGGCCCCAGCAGTTTGAATCTCCCAGCAATGCCACCATACAGGAGAGGGAGCAAATACTCAGAAGATTCAAGTGCCAGCTGCATGGGTTGATACCTACATAAAAGGCATTGGGTAAGAACTTTTGCACTGAGTCCAGTCAACCGCCAGAAATGTGAGAAATAATAATAAAATGAATACTGTTGTTTAAGGCCCCTACGGTATAGGGCAACTTGTTATTCAGCAACAGTTTGCTGGAAAACCTACTGATACCTGTAAGTGAAGTGTTGCTCTAACAGAATCTGAGACATGAGGCAGTGGCTTTGGGACTAAGTAACTAAGGGGCTTTAGGATTAAGGGATGATGCAAACATTGAAAAAGCCTTGGAAAAACAGTGGGAGCTTAATGAACCCCAAAGAGATTATCAGGAAAGACTTCAAAGGAAGTGAGAATAAGGCGATTAGGAGTTGGAAGAAAGGAGACTTTCTTACAGAGTGGTAGAAAGTTTAACATCACTACTTCCAGCTGTAAGGTGGAAAATAGGCAGTCTATCTCATGCCTTGGATGATCCAGCCAAGATTTCTAGGTGGAGTGTTGATAGTGCTATGTGGCTTCTTCTTATTAAATATAGTAAAATGCGAAAGGAGATAGAAAATCTAAAGAAAGAACTGTTAAATATAAAAGAGCTAGGACCTGCCAGGTTTTGAAATAAAACTTTTTCTTGTGCCGAGCCCCACCAGTGGCCAAACAATGCTGAAATTCAGAAATGACTTCTGGAAAGGAGACAAATTTATAATTTTAGGAAAATATGATGTAAGGGAGAAGCTAAGAGTATCAAAGTAAAACACTTTGTTAAGTCCATAGAGCAATTTAAGGTGTTGCCTAATAGACCCTTTCAATAGACAGAAATCCTTCTAAAGATCTTGAGGGCATGACTTGAAGATTCTATTCTTTAACCAACAGTTTTTCTGAGAATGTTAAGATCATTGTCCCACAGTGTTCCCCAAGGGAATCCATGGCACAGAAAGAATTATCTTGAAGAAATTGTGGAGTGGCTTGGATCTAATGGAGTGAATTATAAATTGATTCGTTGAAAACCCAGAATGTTTCTAAAGGAAATTTATTAGCTTACAGTGAAGGGGCTATCAAAACTAAGAAAATACAAAGAGATATCAGAATCTTTTGTTTCTATAGGTGGGAAGCAGGCTGAAAAACTACAAAGTTGGGTACATGTGCTACATTTTTCAGAGCTATATACCATGGGAATGATTTCCAGACATTAGAGCTAAGCTCTGATTAACAACTGACAACTTGCTTTCAGATACCTGTTGGCCATGAGTATGCCTCTTTGGAGAAATGTCTGTTTAGGTCCTCTGTTCATTTTTTAAATTTTTCATTGAGGTATTTGGGGTTGTTTTGTTAGTTTTGCTACTGAGTTATAGGAATTTCGTATATATTTTGAAAATTAAACCCCTTCTCAGATATATGATTCGAAGACATTTTCTCCCATTCTGTATGTTGCCTTTTTATTCTGGTGACTCTTTTCTTTGCTATACAGAACATTTTGAATCTGATGTAGTTGCACTTGTCAGTTTTGTTTGTATTGCCTATGCTTTTTGTGTCACATCCAAGAAATAATTGCTAAGACTAATGTTAAGATGATTTTTTCCTTTTTTTTTTTTTTTTTTTTTTTTTTGAGACTGAATCTCACTCTATCGCCCAGGCTGGAAATCAGTGGCACAGTCTTGGCTCCCTGCAAACTCTGCCTCCCAGGTTCAAGTGATTCTTGTGCCTCAGCCTCCCAAGTAGCTGGGATTACAGGTGCCCACCACCACACCTGGCTAATTTTTCTATTTTTAAAGACACAGGGTTTCACCATGTTGGCCAGGCTGATCTCAAACTGCTGATCTCAAGTGATCCACCCACCTCGGCCTCCCAAAGTGTTGGAATTACAGGCATGAGCCACAGTGCCTGGTCCCCTGTGGGGTTTTTTTTTCTTTTTTTAAATTTTACAGTTTCAGGTCTTGCATTTAAGTCTTTAAAACATTTTGAGTTGCTTTTTGTGTGTAGTATAAAGTGATGGTTCAATTTTATTTTTTATTCATTTATTTTTTAAAGGTCACAAGATAACCTTTATAGGTAAAAAAGAATGCATTCAATAAAATTTAAAACACATTTATGATTAAAAACTAAAAACTCTTAAGCCATGATGGAATAATTAGCATCAGATTAGCTCTTTCATTTCAAACAACTATAAAACAGGGTGAATATATTAATTACAGTGTTCCCGGCACTATTTGTTAGAGACTATCCATTCTCCATTGTATATTCTTGGTACTTCGTCAAAAAGTACCAAGGTCAAACCATACGTGCGTGGATTTATTTCTGGGCTCTCTGTTCTGTTCGATGCAGCTACGTGTCCGTCTTTATGCCAGTATCAGACTAATTTCTGGAGCCTTTAATATATTTTGAAATTTTGAAATCAGAAATTTCAGGGAAATGAAAGTCAAAACCGCAATGACATATTACCTCACACCTGTTAGTATGGTTAATTTCAAAATAAGAAACAGAAGTTAATGAGTGTAGTGCAGATGTGGAAAATTTGGAACCCTCGTATGCTGTTGATGTGAATGCAAAATGGTATAGCCACTGAGGAAAACGGTGTTGAAGTTTCTCAAAAATTAAAAATAGAACTACCATATGATCTAGTAATCTTCCATCTGGTTACATATTCCAAAGAATCGAAATCAGGATCTTGAAGAGATATCTGAACCCCTATGTTCACTGCAGCATTATTCACAAGAGCCAAGATATGGAAATAACCTGTGTCCATTGACAGACGAATAGATGAGGGAAACGTGGCATATACACACAGTGGAATATTATTCGGAATTAAAAAAAGAAGGAAATCCTGAATCCTGCTATTTCTGACAACATGAGACTGCAGGACGTTATGGTAAGTGAAATAAGACAGTCACAGAAGGACGAATACTGTAAGATTCCACTTTTATAAGATGTGTATAATAGTAAAACTTACAGAAATAAGAATACAGTAGTAGTTGCCAGGGGTAAGGGGATGGAGAAAACAGGAATTTGTTTTTCAATGGGTTTAAAAGCTTAGCTAGATGAAGAAGTTCTAGAGATATGTTGTACAACACAGTGCCTGTAGTTAACAAGGTCCTATGTACTTTAAAATGTGTTAAAAGGCTAGAACTCATGTTAAGTGTTTTTGCCACAGGCACACATCAAAGACCTCAAAACATAGGGACACAAGGAAACATTGGGAGGTGTTGGATGTGTCTATTAACTTCATTGTAGAGATGGTATCCTCAGTGTTTACATACTTACAAACTCACCAAATTCTACATATTAAATATCTACAGTTCTTTGTAAAGCTGTTTAAAAAAGCTGACAACCTGTGCCAGGGTTGATTTCAGGAACGCTACAGACCAGCAACTTCTATGTGCACCGCAGTATTCCCCCTTTGAAAGGGAATGTCTATAGTGGTTATCCTATGCTTGTTGAACTTGTCTGTGATAAGTGTAGAGAGGGAAGGTGGAGGGTAACTTTTCTCTTGTGATCTGAAAATTGTAAGTCTTTACATCAAGAGGAGACATTCTCGAGGAACTGTAGTTGAGGAAGTGTACTCTAGGAGCCTCATTATACCTGGAACTAATTAAGATGATAAAATTCTGGCTCTAAGGCCTCATCCTGATCCCATCATGAAATAAGGCTTTAGGAGGTCTTGGAGGTAAGGGTTAGTGTATTTTTAATGTGTAAGGAAAGTAGAGTATTGTGGCCAGAGAAGACTCTCACCAATTGTTGTTTTTTCAGAAAATGGCCACATCATGCTCTTCTAGAACTTTCTCATCCCTCAGTCAAGAGGTGGAGCCTATTTACCCTTGACCTTGAAATTGATCAGGACTTTGTCACTGCCTTGCTCTTAACATCACCATGCTGGAGAAATAGCATGGCAAGGCCAGCTGGTGATAGAGAAAGATGCCTAAGGAGCTCCAGCTGCTATTTTCCCTGGATTTTTGAGTCTTCCCAGTCCAGCCAGACATATGACTGGGCAAAACCCTCAGGTAACTACAGCCTTATCCACTGTCTGACTATCACAAAATGAGAGACCTTGGGTGAGGACCACCTACCTGAGCCCAGTCATCCTGCAGAGATGCGAGAAAAATAAGAATGTCATTATTGTTATTTTAAAATCACTGAGTTTGGGTTAATTTGTATGCAGCAATAGATAACTGGGACACAAAGATAGACTGTAAAAAAATAAAGAGGGAATGGTTAAGCTAAAAACATTGTGATCAAATCAATGTTTAGTAAGTAAGCAAGAAAGATGGCTATCCAGGGAAGAGAGATTGCACAACAAAATGAAAATGAAACAAGCAAAGAAACAAAGCATGGATTATAACTTGTAAGAGAGAAAACCATATTAAGGGGAGTTATTTGAATATTTTGTATGAAAATACAGAAATCAGATATAAGTGAGCTGACACTGACTTTGGAGGCAGGAGGAAAACTGATGGGGAATTCTGGGAAAACAGAATGATACAAAGCAGAATCCTCAATGTCCCTACCCAAAACCTAATGAAATAAACAGAAATCAGCAACATTATTTTAAAAATTAATTCTCCAAGAACAATACAAAAGTAAATGGAGCAAAAATTATTATTCATTTTGAAAAAGATAATCTAGAAACAGAGAGACAGAGGAATCTAGAAAATAGTACACAAATTCTTGTCTGAGAAGTGTCTGAGAAGACATCTATAGGCAAAACTGCATAAAATTCTCTCCAGTTTGGAAGGCCATCCTGGGTAATTTTATAAAATGTCTCTTTCATAATAGAAGCCTCTTCCCAACATCATAGATGAAAAATTTTTCAACGAAGGGAAAATCTGTTAGTGCTCATCAATCTTCCCCTACACCTCAAGGATGAGGGAGTAGAGGCATAGATTGAGCACAACTAATTATTTCCAGTAATAAACAACATCAAGATAAGACAAAGTCTTGAGGCAATTTGGTTGTCCCTTGACAAAGGGAATAATGTGAAAGGAGGTAAAAAAAAAAAAAAAAAAAAGAGCTCTATATGGCCTTTCTTCCTATAGCACCTTGTTTAAATAATAAATTTCACTCATTTTCCCCACCTCTGGCTTGGTCAGAAGAGGGATAACAGCATAGAATAGCTCAGGAGGATGGCAATGTGAAACTGTAGTAGCTATAAAGTGATGTCTACATAGCAGAAAATCCAATATAAACATAATATCTCTACTCACCTAAGAAAGATACACCTTGGAGTACTCATAATAAACTCTATAATAATAATAAAATTACATGAAATTGAGCAGAAAACAACAAATCAAAATAGTCACAACTGCATCTGAGGCCCCTTAAGAAAACAGACACCTGCAAACAGACATCAGCAGTAACCAAGTCACAAGCTGAACCTCTAGTGGGATAAACAAATAAGCCTCCACTAAGATAGGCGGGTAAGCAAGAATAATTTGTATATGCTATATATGCACAAAGAAAGTGCCCACATAGAGGGGCTAATATCAAAGATGAGCAAAATGAAAAAAAGAGTCATGGCACTCTTAACAATTATGAAGGAAAAGAAAAAAGGAGAAGGAGGAGGAGAAGAAAGCAAGCTAGCATATAAAATAGAAAAGAAGAATTTATTCTAGAAGAAGGTATACACCAAGTAATAGAATAAATATTCTGATAAAACACTTTCTGAGAAGAACTTATAAAAACACCAAAACTACAATGAAAATAATGAACAGATTGATATAAATAAAAATATAGATATAAAATATAACACCACCGAATTAATTTGCAAAAGTAGTGAAAGTATTTGAAGATCAAGCAACAGCACTGCAGATTAATAAACATGCTTTAGAGGGTAAGGAAAAGAGAAGATGCCAGTTGAAAATCAATACTGTGTTATGGAAGAGAGAATTGAAATAATCATGAAGATTGTCATTAGAAAGCATGGCAGGATGACAACAATTTCAATGAAGATGGCAGATACGGAAGTTATGCATCAAAGGAGCAGCATGTGAGCATCTGTGTCCTTGAGATGGAGAAGAGAAAATAATGGAACAGATAAAGAACACTCAGAGATACAGAAAAATATTTCCTGAAATGAAACATTTGCCAAACCTTCAAACATGAGAAGCTTTTACATCCACGTATGTAAATGGAGTAAAAGAGATCCCTTGATCTGACATGAATCTTAGCTCCATTCTTTAGTAGCTGTGACTCTGGGCAGGTTTGTCAGGCTGATTTTTTAATCTGCAAAGTGTGACTATTAAAAATCCCAGCTTCATGGTTTGTTGTGAATGGGAATGAAATGAGGTAATATATGTCATGTACTTCGGTGAGTTACTGGTACAGAGGATATTCTTTTCAAGTATCAGCTATTGTTTGTATCTTGGTAAAGTTCCTGAACATTATCGGGGGAAGAAAGAATCCTGTACGAGGAAAAAAAAACAAAAGTTGCATTGCATTCAAACTTCTACACTGCATCAGTTAGTGCCAGAAGACAATGCAGAAATTCCAGCGGAGGCTTGTGGGGTGGAAATATGTATGATCTGTGAATGTTATAGACAGACTGATAGTCATTCAGGTATAAAGGAAATCGAGAGGCATCCTAAAAATTGCTAGGATGCAGAAACTGAAACCTTTTTGAAAAAGCTCACCGATGAAAACAAGAAATTTCCATAGCAAAAAAATTGAACTAATGGAATAGAAAGACCTTCTATGAAAGGACTGGCAGTAAGTACTAAATCCATTTAAATATAAAACCAAAGTGAAATAATTGAGGAAATTATGGTTACGTAAAATATATATTTTAAAACAGAAAAAAAGATTTTTTTCATTATGAATAAAAACAACTATATAACTCTGATGGACCCTGGAAAAATGTTTTAAAACAAATAGGAAGTAGGGAGGGAAAAGAGAATGTGTAAGTTTCGTATTTCCCTATGTTCACAGTGGTAGGTCAAAAAATGGCAGGTTTATTGGAAAAGTTCATTTTTATAAAAAGGTAAATCCTAAAAAACCAATGATGCAAAATCTTTCTAAATTTTGAAAAAGGAAATGCAAATTAAAACAAAACAGAAACAAATGTTCCCTACAAACCTTGACCTTTTTGAATGAGATGAAATGCACATGTCTCTGTGCATAGGCTAAGATCTGGAGGAGTGACATGAACAGTGACTGCTCCTTGGGCAGTATGAATGAGTGGAGGTGGTAGAATAGGAATGGGCTTTTCATGTCCTTCTTTCTGGTTATTTACTTTGCTTGTTTTTGTTGAGAAAAAAAATCACAAATACAGATTAGTATGAAGAATAAGGTGAGAAACTGCTAGGTATCTATTACCCTGAATTGACAGTTTCACATTGTGTTATATTTATTTCAAGACATTTTTAAAGAAAGAAAGAAAACATAACAGATTAATCACATTCTCCATCTGCCTTCCCCCTTTCACTCTTCTCTGAGACAGACACTGTGAAGAACTTGTGTATATCTGTTGAACCAAATTATAAATTAACATACATATGTCCATGAACAACATATCTATTCATACTTGAGAAATATATTTGAAACCATTAGATCTTTTAACAATTACAGAAATAGTATCATGCTATGTTATATTGCTAAATGCATTATCAAACATGCTTTTTCATTACCTTTTTTTTGAGAACATGTGGAGGGATTATTTTAAGGTAAATGAAATAGTTTGGTTAAAGAGAAAGCACATACAATATTGCCAATTCCTGCCAAGTGGTAGCATCACTAAATTCAGTGTAAAATAAGTTTGTGAACACACAAAATGGATGAATTTCCAGGAAAATATCAAGGACAGAAATGCATTTCAAAAATGATCTCATCAACTCAAACAAACAAATGCCACAGTTTTTTAAATAAGGGAGTATGGGACAATTCCCCTGCCTCATACACACCCATACTCACACATCACAGCACATGCTAAGAAGGTGTTGCACAGGAAAATTACTTTTACATTTTTGAATACTATGTCACTTCAGCGTGTTTAAATTCTTCCAGCCAAGAGAAGAAAAATTTTCAGATTCTTTTTACCAAGCCAGCATGAGGTTAAACCCCAAATCTGAAAATGACCGCAATGAGAAAATGACTGATGAATGCCACATATGAACATCTACATAAAAATCCAAATAAAATTCAAAACTCTAATTCTATAGTGTATTATATTTTAAAATGATATATATTCAAATATATAAGACACATGCATACACATATGCATAGAAATGTATATATACTTATGTATATCTACAGATATGAATATGTACATACAAGCAAATTATATATATTTACAAATATACTACATAAAATATATATTAAATACACATGAATATATATCTATACATATATGTAGGTGTGTGTAATATATGTGTGCAGCAAAGTGAATTTTAGCTTAGAAATATCAGAAAAATTCAAAAAAAAATTACTAATTTTAGAAATACTAATTAAAGAGTTAATTCCTTTTCTTGCTAAGAAGTAAATCAAAGGTCAACATTATAATTGAAAACTAACTACTTTCTAAATTCTGCTACATTTCAGGATGCGAACAATCAATATTTACTGGCTTTATTTAAAAATAACTAAGATAAAAGCATAGTCATATGCATCTGTCCACCATTCAGCATTAACAAGTATTAAAATATGTTATATGCTTTTCAGGTCTGTTTTTGTTTTTCAGGAAACAGAAAGACCAAAAATAAAATTGAAACTAATTTTTGCATATAAACACTTCCTAAGTGTGTTGCTGATTCTTGAAGCATGCATATATGGGACAAAATACAGCTGAATTGCAAAAGGCAGAATTTTCTATTTGAGTTCAATCAAGGGAAACCTGCTTGATTCCAACCAAGTTAAATCTGCTTAAAAGATAATCCACACTCTTCAGAGAAATGTAAGAGAATCCAGCCTGCAACCCAATCCAACACCGCTCCCTAGCACATGATTTAAATATGCAGAATGTGTTCTGCGTATCTTGTTATATGGGTATCAAGTGCCTTGGGTTGTAATCCAGAAGTACTTGGCGTAAAAAGAATGAGGAAAATGTGATCAATTCTTAAGAGAAAAGACAACTGATAGAGACAATCTGACAGGTGAACCAGTTTGGTGCACTCAGAAAGTTAGACATAGAGCTACCATATGACAAACAATTCCACTCCTAGGTGTATGCCCAAGGTACTTGAAAACGTACATTCATAGAAACTCATAACAAATGTTCATAGCAGCATCATTCGTAATAGCCCCAAAGTGTAAACAACCAAATGCCTATCAGGTGACTAAATGGATAAATAAAATGTGATACATATACCTAGTGGAATATTACCCGGTGATAGAAAGTAACAGAGTATGGACATATGCTACAGCAGAATTTGAAAAGTATGATGTGAAGTGAAAGAAGCCAGGCACAAAAAACCATGTATCTTGTGATTCCATTATATGAAATGTGAAGAATAGGCAAATCCATAAAGGCATAAAGTAAATAAGAAGTTGTCAGGCTCCAGGGGTGGGTAGAATGGACTGGGACTGCTAATGGGTACAGGGTTTCTTTTAGGGGTATGAAAATATTTTAAAATTAAATAGTAGTAATGATTGCACAAGTCTGTGAATATGCCAAAGGAATACTGAGTGTTATAAATCAAAAGCGTGAATTTTATAACATATAAATTATACTCCAATAACACTATTATTTTTTGAATTTCCAATAATCATTTTGTATAACCTGATACATCGATCCCAAAAGGCATACATAGAATAGCCAAGAACAGTCATTTATATTTGAATGAAAATATAGTGGAAGCACTTGCCCTAGCCAAAAGAAAAAAAAAAATCAAGATTTACTATAATAATTTTAAAAGTGTGGTGTAGTATTAGTTTAGAAATAGAAAAATGGAGTTATGATTCAAGGTATAGAATCCTCATTTTGGGAGGCTGAGGCGGGCAGGTCACGAGGTCAGGAGATCGAGACCATTCTGGGTATTACGGTGAAACCTCGTCTCTACTAAAAATACAAAAAATTAGCCGAGCATGGTGGCAGGCGCCTGTAGTCCCAGCTACTTGGGAAGCTGAGGCAGGAGAATCGCTTGAACCCAGGAGGTGGAGGCTGCAGTGAGCTGAGATTGTGCCACCACGCCAATGCACTCCAGCCTGGGCAACAGAGTGAGACTCCGTCTCAAAAAAAAAAAAAAGAATCCAAAGTCAGATTGGCACATGTATGGAAACTTGTAATATGGTAAGTATCATTTAAACCAGATGGGGAAAGGATTATACAATACTTGGTGCTGCAAAATCTGCTATCTACACAGGGAGAAACGATGCCTCTACCCCAAACTGCGTAAGATAAATATCCTTCTCAGTTGATTAAAACCTAAAAAGCAACGGACTTTTAAATCACCTGAAAAAACAGACTGTAAGTTAACATTATAACATTATAATGTTATAAAGTTATAACATTTAACCTTGGGCTTGGCAATGAAGAATTTCTTAAATAAAACACAATGAACATAACTCTTAATGAAAAACATTGATAAAATCAACCACCTTAAAATAGAAAATTTTGTACAACAAAAGACAATGCAGCTTTTTTTTTTTTTAATGAAAAAAGCTACAGGATGTCAGAAGGTATTTGCCATTTATATCACCAACATATAATTGACGGTTATTGGATATGCAAAAAAATACTAGAAACAGCCTACTTGTTCATTATCACAAAAATGATGAAGGATAAATAAAGTATACAATAATCCAATTGCAAAGAATACTACACCTCAGCTAAAATGAAAAGGGAACTATGTATTAATGTAGATAAGTTTATTAGTATAAAAGTTATTTTACTTATTGATCTATAATCCTCTTACTGATTTTAGGATCTATAAGACCTATATTTCCTTACAATCCAATTAAAGACTATAGGATATCTTTTATTCTGATATTGAAAATTTATATTTTCTTTTTTCCATCTTTAAGAATTTTTTAGGAATGTATTAATTTTATTAATCTCCACAAAAAAATCCATTTAGATTTTTTCTCTTTTCTAGTTTGTTCTGCTTTCTATTTCATTAAATTCTTTTTTTAATTTATTTTTTATTTTTTATTTTTTGAGATGGAGTCTCGCTCTGTCCCCCAGGCTGGAGTGCAGTGGCGCAATCTCTGCTCACTGCAAGCTCCACCTCCTGGGTTCATGCCATTCTCCCACCTCAGCCTCCTGAGTAGCTGGGACTACAGGCACGTGCTACCATGCCCAGCTAATTTTTTGTATCTTTAGTAGAGACGGGGTTTCACTGTGTTAGCCAGGATGGTCTCTGTCAGGCCTCTGAACCCAAGCCAAGCCATTGCATCCCCTGTGACTTGCACGTATACGCCCAGATGGCCTGAAGTAACTGAAGAATCACAAAAGAAGTGAAAAGGCCCTGCCCCGCCTTAACCGATGACATTCCACCATTGTGATTTGTTCCTGCCCCACCTTAACTGAGTGATTAACCCTGTGAATTTCCTTCTCCTGGCTCAGAAGCTCCCCCACTGAGCACCTTGTGACCCCTGCCCCTGCCCAGCAGAGAACAACCCCCTTTGACTATAATTTTCCATTACCTTCCCAAATCTTATAAAACGGCCCCCCCTATCTCCCTTCGCTGACTCTTTTCAGACTCAGCCCACCTGCACCCAGGTGAAATAAACAGCCATGTTGCCCACACAAAGCCTGTTTGGTGGTCTCTTCACACGGACGCTCATGGAATTTGGTGCCGTGACTCAGATCGGGGGACCTCCCTTGGGAGATCAATCCCCCTTCCTCCTGCCCTTTGCTCTGTGAAAAAGATCCACCTATGACCTCAGGTTCTCTGACTGACCAGCCCAAGAAACATCTCACCAATTTCAAATCCGGTAAGCGGCCTCTTTTTACTCTCTTCTCCAACCTCCCTCACTATCCCTCAACCTCTTTCTCCTTTCAATCTTGGCGCCACACTTCAATCTCTCCCTTCTCTTAATTTCAATTCCTTTCATTTTCTGGTAGAGACAAAGGAGACACGTTTTATCCGTGGACCCAAAACTCCGGCGCCGGTCACGGACTGGGAAGGCAGCCTTCCCTTGGTGTTTAATCATTGAAAGGACACCTCTCTGATTATTCACCCACGTTTCAAAGGTGTCAGACCACGCAGGGACGCCTGCCTCGGTCCTTCACCCTTAGCGGCAAGTCCCGCTTTTCTGGGGAAGGGGCAAGTACCCCACCCCCTTCTCTCCTTGTCTCTACCCCTTCTCTGCTTTTCTGGGGGAGGTGAAAGTACCCCTCAACCGCTTCTCCTTCACCCTTAGTGGCAAGTCCCGCTTTTCTGGGGGAGGGGCAAGTACCCCTCAACCCCTTCTCCTTCACCCTTAGTGGCAAGTCCTGCTTTTCTGGGGAAGGGGCAAGTACCCCAGCCCCTTCTCTCCGTGTCTCTACCCCTTCTCTGCTTTTCTGGGGGAGGGGCAAGTACCCCAACCTCATATCTCTGTGCCCCAATCCCTTATTTCCACACCCCAACCTCTTATCTCTGTGCCCCACTCCCTTATTTCCGTGTCCCGACCCCCCTTCCCACTTTTCTGGAGGGTAAGAACCCCCAAACCCCTTCCCTCCGTGTCTCTACACTCTCTTTTCTCTGGGTTTGCCGCCTTCACTATGGGCAACCTTCCACCCTCCATTCCTCCTTCTTCTCCCTTAGCCTGTGTTCTCAAGAACTTAAAACCTCTTCAACTCACACCTGACCTAAAACCTAAACACCTTATTTTCTTTTGCAATGCCGCTTGACCCCAATACAAACTCAACAGTAGTTCCAAATAGCCAGAAAATGGCACTTTGAATTTTTCCATCCTGCAAGATCTAAATAATTCTTGTCGTAAAATAGGCAAACGGTCTGAGGTGCCTGATGTCCAGGCATTCTTTTACACATCAGTCCCTTCCTAGTCTCTGTGCCCAGTGCAACTCGTCCCAAATCTTCCTTCTTTCCCTCCTTCCTGTCCCCTCAGTCCCAACCCCAAGCATCGCTGAGTCTTTCTAATCTTCCTTTTCTACAGACCCATCTGACTTCTCCCCTCCTTGCCAGGCCGAGCTAGGTCCCAATTCTTCCTCAGCCTCTGCTCCTCCACCCTATAATCTTTTTATCGCCTCCCCTCCTCACACCTGGTCCGGCTTACAGTTTCGTTCTGTGACTAGCCCTCCCCCACCTGCCCAGCAATTTACTCTTAAAAAGGTGGCTGGAGTCAAAGGCGTAGTCAAGGTTAATGCTCCTTTTTCTTTATCCCAAATCAGAAGCGTTTAGGCTCTTTTTCATCAAATATAAAAACCCAGCCCAGTTCATGGCTCGTTCGGCAGCAACCCTGAGATAATTTACAGCCCTAGACCCTAAAAGGTCAAAAGCCATCTTATTCTCAATATACATTTTATTACCCAATTTGCTCCTGACATTAAATAAAACTCCAAAAATTAGAATCTGGCCCTCAAACCCCACAACAGGACTTAATTAACCTCACCTTCAAGGTGTACAAGAATAGAAAAAAGTTGCAATTCCTTGCCTCCACTGTGAGACAAACCCCAGCCACATCTCCAGCACACAAGAACTTCCAAACGCCTGAACCGCAGCGGCCAGGCTTTACTCCAGAACCTCATCCCCCAGGAGCTTGCTACAAGTGCCAGAAATCTGACCAACAGGCCAAGGAATGCCTGCAGCCCAGGATTCCTCCTAAGCTGTGTCCCATCTGTGCGGGACCCCACTGGAAATCAGACTGTTCAACTCACCTGGAAGCCACTCCCAGAGCCCCTGGAACTCTGGCCCAAGGCTCTCTGACTGACTCCTTTCCAGATCTTCTCAGCTTAGCGGCTGAAGACTGATGCTGCCCGATCGCCTCGGAAGCCCCGTAGACCATCACGGACGCCGAGCTTTAGGTAACTCTCACAGTGAAGGGTAAGTCCGTCCCCTTCTTAATCAACACGGAGGCTACCCACTCCAACATTACCTTCTTTTCAAGGGCCTGTTTCCCTTGCCTCCATAACTGTTGTGGGAATGACAGCCAGGCTTCTACACCTCTAAAACTCCCCAACTGTGGTGCCAACTTAGACAATACTCTTATGCACTCTTTTTTAGTTATCCCCACCTGCCCAATTCCCTTATTAGGCTGAGACACTTTAACTAAATTATCTTCCCTGACTATTCCTGGACTATAGCAGCATCTCATTGCTGCCCTTCTTCCCAATCCAAAGCCTTCTTTGCATCCTCCTCTTGTATTCCCCCACCTTAACCCACAAGTATAAGATACCTCTACTCCCTCCTTGGCTACCGATCATGCACCCCTTACCATCTCATTAAAACCTAATCACCCTTTCCCCGTTCAATGCCAATATCCCATCCCACAGCATGCTTTGAAAGGATTAAAGCCTGTTATCACTTGCCTGCTACAGCATGGGCTTCTAAGACCTATAAACTCTCCTTAACCATTCCCCCATTTTACCTGTCCTAAAACCAGACAAGCCTTACAAGTTAGTTCAGGATCTGCGCCTTATCAACCAAATTGTTTTACCTATCCACCCTGTGGTGCCAAACCCATATACTCTCCTATCCTCAATACCTGCCTCTACAACCCATTATTCTGTTCTAGATCTCAAACATGCTTTCTTTACTATTCCTTTGCACCCTTCATCCCAGCCTCTCTTCGCTTTCACTTGGACTGACCCTGACACCCATCAAGCTCAGCAAATTACCTAGGCTGTACTGCCGCAAAGCTTCACAGACAGCCCCCATTACTTCAATCAAGCCCAAATTTCTTCCTCATCTGTTACCTATCTTGGCATAATTCTCATAAAAACACACGTGCTCTCCCTGCCAGTCATGTCCGACTAATCTCCCAAACCCCAGCACCTTCTACAAAACAACTCCTTTCCTTCCTAGGCATGGTTAGTGCGGTCAGAATTTTTACACAAGAGCCAGGACCACACCGTGTAGCCTTTCTGTCCAAACAACTTGACCTTACTGTTTTAGCCTAGCCCTCATGTCTGCGTGCAGTGGCTGCCACTGCTTTAATACTTTTAGAGGCCCTCAAAATCACAAACTATGCTCAACTCACTCTCTACATTTCTCATAACTTCCAAAATCTATTTTCTTCCTCATACCTGACACGTATACTTTCTGCTCCCTGGCTCCTTCAGCTGTACTCTCTTCGTTAAGTCCCACAATTACCATTGTTCCTGGCCCGGACTTCAATCCCGCCTCCCACATTATTCCAGATACCACACCTGACCGTCATGACTGTATCTCTCTGATCCACCTGATGTTCATCCCATTTCCCCACATTTCCTTCTTCCCTGTTTCTCACCCTGATCACGCTTGATTTATTGATGGCAGTTCCACCGGGCCTAATCACCACACACCAGCAAAGGCAGGCTATGCTATAGTACAAACCACTAGCCCGCCTCTTAGAACCTCTCATTTCCTTTACATCATGGAAATCTATCCTCAAGGAAATAACTTCTCAGTGTTCCATCTGCTATTCTATCTGCTATTCTACTACTCCTCAAGGATTATTCAGGCCCCCTCCCTTCCCTACACATCAAGCTCGAGGATTTGCCCCCGCCCAGGACTGGCAAATTAGCTTTACTCAACATGCCCTGAGTCACAAAAACTAAAATACCTCTTAGTCTAAGTAGACACTTTCACTAGATAGGTAGAGGCCTTTCCTACAGGGTCTGAGAAGGCCACCGCAGTCATTTCTTCCCTTCTGTCAGACATAATTCCTCAGTTTAGCCTTCCCACCTCTATACAGTCTGATAACAGACCAGCCTTTATTAGTCAAATCAGCCAAGCATTTTATCAGGCTCTTAGTTTTCAGTGACAGACTAAAGGTCTTTTAAAAACACACCTCACCAAGCTCAGCCACCAACTTAAAAAGGACTGGACAATACTTTTACCACTTTCCCTTCTGAGAAGTGAGACCTGTCCTCAGAATGCTACCAGGTACAGCCCATTTAAGCTCCTGCATAGATGCTCCTTTTTATTAGGCCCCAGTCTCATTCCAGACGCCAGACCAACTTAGACTGTGCCCCAAAAAACTTGTCATCCCTACTATCTTCTGTCTAGTCATACTCCTATTCACCGTTCTCAACTACTCATACATGCCCTACTCTTGTTTACACTGCTGGTTTACACTGTTTCTCCAAGCCATCACAGCTGATATCTCCTGGTGCTATCCCCAAACTTCTACTCTTGAAGTAAATAAATAATCTTTGCTGGCAGGACTATGCTGAATCTCCTAAGCACTCTCTAATCAGATGTCCTAGGTCCTCCCAATTCTTAAACCATTTATACCTGTTTTTCTCCTTCTCTTATTCCATTTAGTTTTTCAGTTCATACAAAACCGTATCCAGGCCATCACCAATCTTTCTGTATGACAAATGTTTCTTCTAACAACCCCCTCAATGTCACCCCTTACCACAAGACCTCCCTTCAGCTTAATCTCTCCCACTCTAGGTTCCCACGCCGCCCCTAATCCCGCTTGAAGCAGCACTGAGAAACATCGCCCATTCTCTCTCCGCACCACCCCCAAAAATTTTCGCCACCCCAACACTTCAACACTATTTTATTTTTCTTATTAATATAAGAAGGCAGGAATGTCAGGCCTCTGAGCCCAAGCCAAGCCATCGCATCCCCTGTGACTTGCACGTATATGCCCAGATGGCCTGAAGTAACTGAAGAATCACAAAAGAAGTGAAAAGGCCCTGCCCTGCCTTAACTGATGACATTCCACCATTGTGATTTGTTCCTGCCCCACCTTAACTGAGTGATTAACCCTGTGAATTTCCTTCTCCTGGCTCAGAAGCTCCCCCACTGAGCACCTTGTGACCCCCGCCCCTGCCCACCAGAGAACAACCCCCTTTGGCTGTAATTTTCCATTACCTTCCCAAATCTGATAAAACAGCCCCACCCCATCTCCCTTCGCTGACTTTCTTTTCGGACTCAGCCCACCTGCACCCAGGTGAAATAAACAGCCACGTTGCTCACACAAAGCCTGTTTGGTGATCTCTTCACACGGGCGCACATGAAAGTCTCGATCTCCTAACATCACGATCTGCTCACCTCGGTCTTCCAAAGTGCTGGGATTACAGGTGTGAGCCACCGTGCCCAGCCTATTTCATTAAATTCTTATCTTACTTTTGTTACTTTTCCTTCTACTTGTTTTGATTTTAGTTGTACTTAATGAGAAAAATAGAAAAAAATATATGTTTATTCCTTTAAAAAAATGAGCAAAAGCCATGAACAGGTGTTTTACAGAAAAAAATTCAAGGGACTAATAATCATAAAAAAATCTGCTCAATATCACAAATCTTCAAAAACCACTAACTGAAACAATTAGACACTGCTATCTGAAATGTCAAATTAAAAAAAGAAAAAAGACAAAAACAAATGACAAACCTATCAAGACCAGTGGTGGCGGGAATGTGGAATAACTCTGTGTTGCTGGTAGGAATGTGAATTTGCACAGGTAATTTAGAAAACTGGCCAGGCATGGTGGCTCATGCCTGTAATCCCAGCACTTTGGGAGGCTGAGGCGGGCTGATCATGAGCTTAAGAGATGGAGACCACCCTGGCCAACGTGGTGAAACCCCGTCTCTACTAAAAATACAAAAATTAGCTGGGCGTGGTGGTGCATGCCTGTAGTCCCAGCTACAAGGGAGGCTGAGGCAGGAGGATCGTTTGAACCTGGGAGGCAGAAGTTGCAGTGAGCAGAGATCAAGCCATTGTACTCCAGCCTGGTGACAGAGGGAGACTCCGTCTCAAAACACAAACAAACAAACAAACAACAACTACAACAACAAAAAACCTTGTGGTACTATCTACTGAAGCTAAACATAGGCATACCTGATGTTTGAGCAATTTCCCTTTTAGAAATTTGCCCCAAGGAAATGCATACACATGTACACCAAAAAAAGTGGCACAAGGACACTCTTAGAAACATTTTTCATAATAGCTTCAAATTGGAAACAACACACATAACCTCCCAGGATACAATACATTCGTTGTTGTAAAATCACACAAAGTAATACTATGGTGTAACAACCAAGTTTTAACTATTGCTATGTGAGCCATCAAGAATAAAACTAACAGAGTGTTGAGTAAAAGAGTACTACTAACTCAAGTGAGTACATAGAGTACAACTTCATTTACATGAAGTTTCAGAAATGGCCAAAGCTAACTAACTATAATAATTTAAGTAAGAATCCAGGTTATTTTAGGAAAGCTGGCATAATAACTGGAATGGGGAGAGAGGATACCCCTGGGTCCTGGTAATGTTGCAGCTTCTAATCTCTGTTGCAGCTTTCACCGGTTTGCTCCTTTCGTAAAATTTATAGAGCAAAATACTCATCATTTTTGCACCTTACCATATTGTTGTATTTTGATTAATTTGACACATCCTCTTTAGGTATGTGCTCTTGGGTGATTCCCCTAATCATAGTGGAAAGATGGGAGCTGAGACTCTAAGACTGTAAGTAACTTGGCCAAGACTTATGGCTTGATACGGATCTTCTAACTCAAAATCGTGTGTTCTTCTCACTACCCAATTATTGCTTCACACTTCATCATTTTGCAGATGACTGTGTGTTGATGAGAGGCTGCCATAATTTGAAGTCATTAGAACAATGAAATAGTATCTGCACATATGCACAGTCCTCGGATGCGATGGGCATTCCCTCAAGCTGCAGTCCAGCAGGAAATTTTCAGTGCTAGAAGAGTTAAACTATAAGCTGACTTGAGATGTAGTAGTTCAAAACCCTTGCCAATAACTCTTTATTATGTGCAGCATTTTCAAAGCAAAATTACAACATGTTAGAAAGTGAATGAGGCAAATTACTGGTGATGTCATCAAAGTAATAACTGCTAATGACCCTTTTACTCCTGGGCATTGCCTGAGGCCACACTGACAGGAAGAGCAGATCTGCTTTCTGTGAATCCATTTGGATTATCTAGAAGGCATCCTGAAAGTTATGAAAACATAATGTGAGAAAATGATAGATCAAAGTGTGAATACAATGCAGGGACAACAGAAAGGAAAATGTACTCTCTGTTGTGTAATGGGTATTTTGGCCAGAGTTTGAAGAGCTTTATTAAGGAGTGACAACAAACATATATTTAAATGATGACATTTCCTCCAAAATAAAATAAACAAATAAATATGTAGAATTTAAAACTTTTTTGTTTCCATGAAAGAGTTTGGAATACCCTTCCAAACTCTCCTCATTCATTGAGACGATGGATCTCTTGTTATTAACCGAGACACTGAATTTTGAGGTGACATCCTGTTCTGGAGGCAGAAACATTGCCAGCACTTCTCCTTCAGCAGTTGATTTATTATGTGACAGTCGGTGATGAGCTTATCCTCATGAAGATGCTCCCTCCCACGGACAGCCGTATCATACTTGAGGCCTCCCTGCCACTTACCCAGGCCACTGCAATAGCCCCTTTGTTGTCATCTGGTTAAGAACTAAGGTTCTTCCTTAACCAGTCCATTCCCCTGACTTCCACAGAGAAACCATTCTATAAACTGCTCATCTGTCAGCTGTTCACCAGCTCAAAAACCATTCAGAATCCCACACCTTCTCCCACTGTCCACAGAATATTGTCAGTACTCCTTCTAAGAGAATTCAAAGCAACATGACATCATCCTATATTTCTAGCCTTACCTAATAAATATTCATACCGACTACCTACTGCTTTCTATACAGGGAAACATTTCAAGGCCTCCGAGGTCTGCTTGGAATTCTCCCATCCACCATCATTTCTGCTGCCTATTAATATTCCACCTATAATTTATTCACCAAATATTCCTTGAATGAGTGCCAGGTGTCAGATACCTCAGTTCCAAGGTCCTTTCTTTTGTGAAGCTTTTCTTGGAAGCTCCCCTGTCTGAGCTCACACTCTAATTGGGACATTATTTAATTATAGTCTGTATTGAACAATATTCGTGTCAAATGCATTTTTGTCTGTTTCTCCTACTGGATTTGGAGCATATATCTTGGAATCACTGCCACCTGCCATAGTATCTAGCACATTATAGACAATAATTTTTATTGACTGAATCATTTTGAAGTTATTCCTCTATGTTCTAGAGAATTAATACTTTAGTTTCTGTATTCCCTACTTAGAGATACTTTTAAGGTGCATTGATAATAATCCTGGATTTATTAGAATCTTTAGGGAGCATCTCAGAATGAGATTATAATTCTTTCTCGATAGCAGGGATAAGACTGGTGCTGTAGAAGATAAAAAGGAATCCTAATTTCTTGCTCACATCTTGCTTTGGCAGAGTCAGGACATAGGACCCATAATCCTTATCTCCTATGAAGAGAAAATCTTGCCCCCGTCTTCTCACCAGCCCTTGGCAGAGCTGTTAGGAGGCAGATTCCAGCTGCCAGCCCTTCCAGTGATTTTTCTCAGCTGCAGCAAGCCACCTTGCCCAAGGTCATGCCCTTCCACGTGTGACCCACATCCATGACTGATGGATGCAGGAGCTATAAAGGCCCAGCCACTGCAGCCCAATGCAGGGGAATTGGGGCCATCTTAGTTCCAGAGTTCTCCATGAAACCGGCTGAGGCTATGCCTGCATAATAGTTCAGGTTTTCCTTTTGTCCAATCCCACTTTCTATGCCTCCCTTTCATGGAGACTGATTACAAGAGCACTCTGATAAACACTTTGAACATTATACTTCGTCTCAGAGTCTGCATCCTGGTGAATCTAAATGGTATCATCAATGCAAGTGGCTCTAAGATGGGATTTTGGAGCTGGATGACTCACCAACCAGCCAGTGATTAAGATGCTGTCACTTGTGGTTGGTGGAGCACAACTAGTCCTGGTGCAAGGTGGGTACTGCTTGGTAAAACTTTCATGAAGGTGAGCTGGGAAGCTACACCAGTGGAAAGGAATGCACTCACTGGTGCAATGCATGCTTTTCAGTGCATTTGAAAATTATGGGAGGGGTAGGTACTATAAGGGCAAAGAGGTTGTATGACTATGGTTAACCTTTAAGCTCTAGAAAAAAACAAAAATAAGGTTAAGTGTGAAAGCCAAAGCCAAAAGCCAAAGCTTTTATATAGTACCCTATAAAAAGCCTCTCATCTCCTTTAACAGCAGGGAAGAAAGTTGGAGAAAAGCTCCACAACTTAATTGTCATGGTAGCTGAACTAGAAAGAATAATGTACTCATAACAAAGCCATTTGTATCCAGGTGAAGACCCTGACTGGGATGAACGGGACCCTGAAACACGGAAAAGAGACTTGGTTGATGACCTGAAAAATTCGGAATTCCTAGATTCTCCCAAATCTCTGAGCCTATAGAAGCAGACTTTCCCTCCATTTTAACCCATTCAGAGGTCACTCCCCTGAAAGAGAGCAGGTACTCCACTCAGGATCTTTCCCCACCTTGCTTCCTAGCCATTAGGCTAATAACTCAGGTAAATTGCATCATAATCCAGCCTTGAGTGTGCTGGGCCTGGTAAGAAAGGAAAGGAATTACATCCCAAAGGAGCTAAAATAAAACCTGCTAACATAGACCAGCAGGTATGCTCTGGCAGAGCAGGTATGGGTCTGATCAAGGAGGCTGGAGCCTAAGAGTGAATAAGGGATGTTATCTACTAGTGGTTTAGTGAATTTGGGAGCACTCTCCCAAGGTACAGGATTTAAAACTTAGCAAAAACCCTAGGAGATGATGCAAACTGGGTCTTAGGAGCATGCAAACTAGTTCCTAGGAGCATGGAAAAAGTGATGGCCAGAGTAAGGGAGGTCTACATGTTGGGATCACTGTGTCTGATGGTGGAGAATGGGATAAAAAACTAGGGAGTGAGCATTCTAGGGAGGATATACAACATACAAAAAGCCCACCACGTGGTTATATTTCATGGGAAATCCCCAGAGAAAAGAAGAGGTGTTCTGGTGAGACGGGAACCAGCATCACCAAGAAGTTCATTGGTGGCTGTCCTTTGTAGGTGGAATTGACCATAGGAGAGGGCATTATTACAGAGCTAGGGTCACTGATAGTGATAAGGATAATAAGATCCCTACTGAAGCCCGGCAGTGGCACTTCATTGTCAAAATCCAGGTAGACAGGTAACTCAGGTAACTTTATACTTGGAGAATAGGAAAACTCAAACTGGCAGTGATACCAGAAACTCCAAAAGTCACTATGGCCTCAGTTTTGGGGTGGAGCTAACTAAACAGAGTTAACTAACTAGAGTTCAAGGCCAATATCTAATCAACTGTAAGTCTGCAATATCTGCTGTTTTCTCAGGCCCTTCTGAAACTGCTCTCCCCCTCAATCCAAGACAGTAAATTAAAAATAATATTGCATTCCAGGGCATGTAAAAAATGAGTTTCGTTCATAACTATCTAAATGATGCATTGATAGTGGTCCCTACCAAATACCCAATCAATTCATCAGTCCAGCCCCTGCAGAAGCCAGATGAGCCTTAGAGGAGGGGAATGTACTACCACCAACTATACCAAATATAACTCCAATCACAATCGCAGTCTCTGTTCCAGATCAAGTATATTTGATAGAGAAGATTAACATGGTTTCAGTGCATGGTTTGAGGCCATGTATTGTGGTCATTTTTTCTATCTCTATCTGAAAGAAGATAAAAAGTTGTTAATATTTACATTGAATGGACAAAACTACACGTTCATAATTGTGCCTCAAGGCACTATGGATTCCCTCCCTCCCCTACTTTGTCAATAATACAGTCTGAAGATGTACTGGACTGTCTGACATCCACAGAGCATCACATTGATCATCTGCATTTATACGTCATGCTAATTGGATTGGAGGAACCAAAGGTGGCAACCTTTTTGGGAGCCTTAGTAAGACACACACAGCTGAGGGTGGAATATGAAACCTACAAAGCTATATGGCCTGCCACACTAGCAAAATATTTAGGAAGTCAGTGTTCAGGGCAAACCAGGATCCCACCTGTAGTAGTTGCCTGTAACTGCCATAACAAATTATTTAAAAATGGGTGGCTTAAAATAACAGACATTTATTCTCTTACAGTTTGGGGGGCCAGAAGTCCAAAATTCAGGTGTTGACAGATCCACACATCCTCAAAATGCTCACAGAAAAATTCCATTCCTTACCTTGTCCTGCTCTGGGTGGCTTCCAGCACTCCTTGGGCAGTGTACCCCCCGGGAATACTGCTTTGGCTCATGTATAGGTGACATGAGATGCTGCCAGCCTTGAGTGGGGCCCAGAACAGGAAAGTGCACTGTAAAAGGTTCAGGCTGTAGTTCAAGCGGCCATTACCCTTGGGCCATATGACCCAGCAGATCCTAAGATATTAAAGGTATTAGTGGTGGGATAAAGAGACCATGGAGAGCCAATGACAATCTCAAGGGAGAGCATCACAGAGCAAGCTTCTTGGACTCTGGACCAAGAATGCCAGTGGATACTTTGCCATGCATATGCAGTGGAGAATCACCTTTTGAAAAACAACTGCTGCCATGCCACCAACCCCAATAAAAGTGGAATATCTATGCATGAGACTTTTTTGACCCTGAATGATGAACTGCCCACAATGACGTAGATTCTGTCGGAACACACCGTGTTATAAAATTAGACGCAACTGGCAACAATAGTGAGAAAATGAAGTGTAGCATAGGCAGGACCAGGGGCAGAGCCAACTGCATGCAAAGGGAACACAGACCCCATGCCACCCACCGCTGATGCCCCAGCACCCTCCCTCATCATGCACCAGTGCCACATGGTGTGATCCCGCTTGGTTCGCAGATGGGTTGGCTCTGAATGTGGCCCAAGTCAGAAATAACAGCCTTTCTTGGAGGCAGCCTTGAAAGACAGTGATGAGGGGAAATGCACTTTGGGAAGAGCACCTAGTTGTGCAGTTGTGGAAAGAGGTGTCCTAACATGAGACTGTACAGATTCATAGGCAGCAGCAAATAGCCTGGCAAGTCTGAAAAAATAAATAAACAAATTTTGCAATGAGAAGGACAAGGAGGGGTGGGATAGAGGCATTTGGAATGTGAATGGTGTATGAAGATCTTGGAGTCACGTGTTAACACCCACCACAGAGCGTCCACCAGAGAAGAGGTACTCAATATCCAAGTAGACAGAATGTCAGCCAGATTTTGTCATAGACCAGTGTTAGCACAGGGACGTATGGCCAAAGCAGTGGCAGTGATGGAGAGCCTCCACACGGACCCCACAGCAGGATCTCTCACTGACCAAGGCTAGTGTTGCCACTGAGTGTCAACATCAAATGTAGAGGCCCACACTGAGTTTGAAGACCAAACTGGTCACTTGGTAACAATTGACCAAGTGGGCCCCTTCCACATTGCAGATGCCACCAAGTCACTGAGAGAAATTGGTAGATATTTCAGGTATGGATTTTACTTACCTGAGGGTGTCAGACAGCCCCAGTGTCCGAAGCCTTACAGAGTGTTGGCTGCTTGGCACAGGATTCCACAAACAACTGTCAAAAACTAGTGAGGCCACCTAACAGAAATGCAGGTGAGGGAGTGGGCCAGTAACTACAGGAATGACCTTAACAAATATTACACCAGCTAAAAGCTGCAGGCCTGAAAGAACACTGGAACAGTGAAAACACAGCTGAAGCAACGGCTCAGAGCTAGAGAATGGAGTTCACATCTCTAGGAAGCAGTGTATGCACAAAGCAGGTTCGATATATGATGCTGTGTTCCCAGTAGGAGGAAAATAGGAGTCCCAGGCACAATGAAGTAGAAGCAAAAGTGGCAACTCCTCGAAAATTCTGAAAGAGAATCCTTTCCAATCAGTGTTCCATAGCACCTAGATCATCCATTATGCATGCCTATGGAATAGTCATTTTTAGATGTTCGCAGACCCAAAAAATTATCTGCCATATGCACTTTTCTAGATAGCTATTCAAGGAGGAAACTTACAAAAAAAAAAAGGAAGACACTAAAAAACATGAGATTCATTAAACTAGGAATTCAACACAAAAGAGCTGGGGGGTCTCCACAGGACGGTGAGGGGAGATGTTAGGCAGCCATGCTCCAGGCTGAGTGAGGTACCAGTCTCAATGGATAGAAGCCTCTGGGAAGGACGTCTTCAAGCAGATGAAACTTTCCTAAGATTGGATACACTCCACTGTATTATAAAGAGATTTTATTTCTGGGGAAGAATTTGGGGAAGAATTAGTAATAATTAATAGAAAAAAAGAAAGATAAATTAGACAACTTTAAGAAAAACAAATTTGTGTAAGAAAATTCATTCAAGTGTCCTGTGTCAATCGTGCCTAGCATTTACATGGCCATAATAAAATAAGCACTACATTTTGTACCCAACTAAAATGAAAATATGGGTAGGTTGGAAGGATGACAGGCCAGGAAGTATGCACGAATATGGCAGGGAGAGGGGTATGAAAGGGGGGTTAATTCCCTTCTTCAAGAGCCTAATTTTTATTTAAGTGCAATTTGGTGGAAGGTTATCAGCCTACACACTGGAGCATTATCAGAAAGAAGTCTATTGCATTTGCTTTGGAGATGTTACTAAACATTCGTTTCTTTGTATGGTCATGTCACTCGTATGATCAATTATAAGGTAAATTTTTCTCTGGTCATTTTACCAAGTAAAGTTATATTTCCCTTGAGAAAAACGTGCTTTTTTTTTTTTGTTATAGACACTATGAATCATACACAAATCAGTTTTCACTCTTTTGTTTTGAATTTTAATGAATATAGAGGTGGCTTTGCATTATGTTTTTATCATACATATAGAATGTTCTGGCATTCATCTTGCATACTAACTTCACTGCTGATTTATTATATTTTCTGACCTTCATTTTCCTTTCTCCATGCTTTCTTCAATTACAAATTCTTATAATGGCTATATTTCTTCAAATAAAAGAAATTATTTTGTTTTGGAATGAGGCAAGGTTAGAAGCAAACATATAAATAAATGCGACTTTGAACAATTAATCAATTTTGGATGCACTTTTTGTAATTGCTTTGCCTGTTTGTACTGTGCAGTCACCATATCTTCCCACTGGAGCATAAATTTACAAACTTCATGCAAATGCATTATTTGTAATAAAACTGACTCATGAGCATTAAAAGCCAATTATTTCTATACATCTGCTGGCTATGGCTGGCAATAATTGTGCGTCATTCAGATTTGTGGCTGTGTGTTTGCCTTAGTAAGATTTTAATCACTCATTAATTTATGGTTTACAATATGCATCATGGGCGCCTGTATTCCCCAAACTACCTCAGACTTACAAATCGAGAAGCTGCAGAACTTGGAATTGTGACAACAGAGGCCTCTTTTAAGTTGTGTCTTCATGCCAATGTCTACTAGAGGATCATAGATGAAATAAGACAACCCCCCCACCCACCTCAAAACACACTGAGTACAATTGATCTTCCATTCCATTGATGAATTACTTTTTCATTTTTTTTATAATACCATACTATGCATTTTTATGTTACTTTTTTATTTGCCAGTTAATGACTTCTTGGTGGCCTAACCTTTGTGGAGACAGGGTCCCTATGGAAGGAGCATACTTTCAAATTTTTGTAGAAGGGGACTTAAATCCTTTTTCCGATTCTTGTTGCAAAATCTTAGGCAAATCACTTAGTGTCTCTGAACCCATACCTATGAAAACTTTTTTAAACAGTAAAAGTGCAATATCAGTAGTAGTGAGGATTTTGATGAATGACAGGCCAGTCTCTGAAGGAATTGTCCTTAACTATGGCAGGAATGAGCTTGGGGAAAGGACTGGTGGTTGACTCCCACCTAAACCTCTGAAACAGAGCATTCTAACTAGAAAAAAGAGATGCTGGAAAATGCTGCTGGCCACCTCCACTCTCCAACCCTCTCTCCATCAAGGGCAGACAGAGAATGAGAAGCAGAATGCTATGAATAGTGCATTTTTAAATGCCCCACACTGATAAGAACAAGAAAAAGTACAGATTGTTTCAAATATACAGAAGCTAGGATGGGAGGACAAAAAATTTCTGATGGTTAAAAAACCATATTGAAGGAATGAGAAAAAATATCCACCTTCCCACAAAGCAGTGCAAGATAAAGGTCTACCACACACTAGACATTTGGCTAGGGACCATGCTTATTGCATAGTTTAAGATGTGAGGGGACATTAAGGTGGCACCCAGATGAATGATAAAAAGATCAAAGTGAATACACACTCCCTATCTGTTGGCAAACAGCAGAGATATATACGTCTTATCTCATATAAGAAAAAACTAGAAAAGAACAACAGAAAACAACAACATGGGCTGTATGAAAACATTCTGACACATGACAAGGTGAGACATAGCAATAAAGATTCAGAGAAAAGCAAAATAATTCACTACAAATGGCAGAAAAAAAGTAGAATGCATCTGCTTTGTGTTCTCAGTATATAAAAAAATATTGTTGCTATGAAGTAAGACAGAATTTGTGTTGGTCAAGTGGAAAATAAGGTTTTAAAGGAGCTGGCAGAGTTACGGAGAAAATGTAATTAAACTACAATATGATATCAAAAAATAAAATATACATTGGAGACAGTAAACAGCTGAATTTAGACTTGTTCAATCACTGATGAATGCAAGGTCAGCAAACAGTGGTTCACAGGCCTAATCTGGTACATCCCTGTTTTTATATTGCCCATGAGCTAAGAATAACTTTTACATTTTTAAATGGTTGAAAAAAAAACCCAAAGAAGAATAAAATTTTGTGGCATACGGAACTTATATGAAATTCAAATTTCAATGTCATGCATAAAGTTGGATTGGAACACAGTGCCACTCCCCCATCCATTTACATATTATCTATAGCTGATTTCTGGATCCAAAGGCGGAATATTTGGAATAGAGATCATATAGCTCACAGAGCTAGAAATATTAACTATTTGACCCTTTAGAAAGAAGATTTGCCAACTTCTAATGCAGAGGACTTATTAACTAGAGAAACATGTTCTCAAAAGTGACATTTCTTTTTTTCTTTTTTCCTTTAGTGCGGTTGTGTTATTAACTTGAAATGCAGTTTGGTTACTTTGTTTCTGTTCGCATTCCATGTGGAGTTTTTTTCTTCCGTTCTTATTAATTATATTTGCGTATGCAAAATATTAATATAGTTCTAAAAGTCAGATCTAGTAGGTTCTTGAAAACTGGACTTCAAGCTAAATGATGTATAATGAAACCAACTTTACCACAGGCTAATTGATATAAATAGGACTTAAGTTCCTGCAGCATATTTCTAATCACAAAAACATCATCAAACTTCTAAATAAAGAGCAAAACACTTCTAATATTAAACATTGAAATTAATATGAGCTATGCACATATTTAAGAAAGATGAATAAAAACAAGTAATAGTGCTCAATAAATACGTGTGTCTTCATTCTGCTATCTTATAGAAGCATAGTTAAGAAATATACAACAACTAGAAGTCAGTCTTGGGGTGCATTAGTTGTATATAACAAATGTACACAGATTTGGTAACTTAAAACAACACAGATTTCTTATCTTACAGCTTCCGTGAGTCAGAAGTCCAGGTACAGCGTAACTAGGTTCTCTGCTCAGACAATCAAGGTGTCTACTAGGACTGTGAACTCATCTGAGGCTTGGCATTTTCTTCCAAGCTCACTGTTAGTTTGCAGAATTCAACTCCTTGTAGTTGTGAGACAGAACTCCTGAGGTTCTAGAAGACACCTGTCATTCTCTGTCATGTGGCTCTTTCCACAACAAGGCACCTGTTTTAAATGGCTCGCCTGATTATATCAGACTCACTCAGGATAATCTCTCTTAGACTACCTCAAAGTCAATTAATTAGGGCCCTTAATTACATTTTCAAAATCTTTTCACCTTTGATGTATAACTGATCTAGTTACAGAAGAGATACCCTTCCTATTGCTCCTACACTCAAGGGGTAAGTATTGTACAAGGATGTGGGCCATTGGGGGTCACTTTAGAAGTCTGCCTGCTGCATGGGCTCTTCCCTCATTGTGTGCCTCCTCGGGCTTGCATGCTATCTAGAGGACCCAATCATCCCACAGAAGAATGATGTCAGCAGGAAAGGCCGGGAGTAGAGTGTATGTGCACTGTGTAGCCTGTGAGTAGACCTGGTTGGCTTTGTGACCTCAAGTAAGTCATTTCAAGTATATTTGCTTTTCCTATTGGGAGTCAATTCTCCATTGGGTTTTCCCATTTCTGAAGGTATTGCAAGCAGAAGCACTAAAAGATAACTATATTTTCAAGGATGTTTGTATAGCAAGAAGCCTTGGAAGATATAGATAGCATCATCCTCCAGAGTAGAGGGTAAGTTTGTTAAGTGCCAGGTAAAAGAAAGATAATGTCTTCCTTCTGGGAAAAAATTCCCACAAGTTTGCTTGCAATCTAGTATAAAAGATTTGAGTTCATGAGATTGGAGTTCCTCATTTGTGATGCACACCTGTGCATGCAGCATTCACCTGAGTCCACTTTTGTGTTGCCTCCATTAGAAGTTGGAACAAGGCGAACCAATGCAACCATGAAGTTTATGCTGCTGTCTGTGTTGTAAACAATGGTCCTTTGTCTCTGGTCCAGGAGTCTCATTTCTTCTGCCGGCACTCATGAACCTGCAATAGCTAACTTGCCTGGTTGCAAAGAAAAGAAAATCTCAGATATTCCATGGTTCTTAACATTTCCCCATAGTACCTTTATATGAGGGGTGCTTCCAACTTCACTTGCTTAACACCATGACCTATGGTCCTTCTAACTCACCCTCTAGTATCACTTCCTCCTTGGAAAGTTTCTTAACTCATCCCCTTTCTTCTAGAAAAAGTCATTCACACTCTCTTCCACACAGTACTTCCTCCTTCCTCCTTAACCACAGTTTCACTTTCCAGTTTCACTTTTCAGTTACCTATGGTTAACTGCAGTCTGGAAACATTAAATGGAAAATCTCAGAAAGAAATCATGTTGTAAATTGTGTGCCATTGTGAGTAGCATGATGAAACCTTGTGCTGCCTTGCTCTCTCCTGCCCAGCACTTGATTCATCCCTCTGTCCAATGTATCCACACTGCGTATGCTCCCGGCCTGTGAGTCACTCAGTAGCCATCCCAGCTCTCAGAATCACTGTCCTGGTATTGCAGTACTTGTGTGCAGGAAACCTTGTTTCGCTTAATAATGGCCTCAGAGTGCAACAATAGTGAAACTGGCATATTGTGATCAAGGTTCTATTTTATTATTGTTGTTAATCTCTTACTGTGCCTAATTTATGAGCTAAACTTTATCATAGGTATGTATGTACAGAAAAAAGTGTAGTATGTATAGGGTTCAGTACCATTTGCAGTTTCAGGCATCCAGTGGGGGTCTTAGAACATATTCCATAGAACATATTCCCCACGGAAATGGAGGGACTACTGTATTACCCTTCCACTTATGCCATAAAGGTCAGATTAAAAGGAAAACTGTCTTCCCCAAAACTACACATCATTTTGAGAATAAGGAATTGCAACATATCTAGTTCTATATAAAATCTACTATAGAGGACTTTCCCAAATATTTTACTTTTCAAATCAGATTAGTATTTGGAGAAGAGACATTAACATGAAGCAACCTCAGTAAACATTGGTATTGGATCTCCATAGAAGTCTCTTAACGGGATTATTAACAAAGGGGGCAAAGAAATGTAATTTAGGTGTAATTATTTCTCTGGGGATTGGGAGTTGGTGATGACCTCCCAAGTTCATTTCTTGCACGTTGTCACAAACAAGGATATCAAAACCACTTTAGGAACGCAATTGGGTAAGAGATGTATGTTGCAAAGATCATGAATAGTAAATAGAAACTTGTGACTTGGGAAAAAACTTCCAGTGACAACCTTTTATAAAGATTCAAGAAGATCTGCCTCTCAAACCTAAATAAAGATTAGGCGCACTAGGTGACTCAAAGAGCGCTTTGATTGACAAGGAAGACATGATACTGAGGAGACAGGATGAGTTCAAATAAACTTGCATCAGGAAATGAGCAGAGAAAAATTAACATACTTTACACATGATTGAATGTTAAATGTGTAGCTATTTTGAAAGGTAGATATTTTATTATTTGGCTACCTTAGTTATTTGTAGAGACATTGTGTGTGTGTGTGTGTGTGTGTGTGATCCTATTTTGCACTTCCTGACAAGGAACCTGTGGCTGTCGTTATATTCACAGCTCTGCTGTATTCGGTGGTAGTTAGTAAACGTTCCCTGCATCTTGCACGTGATAGACAGTCTCCACTTCTGAATGAGATGAAGTTAGAGATCATTGTATCCTCAACATTTTGCATCCTATTTGACACACGGTGGTCAGAAAAATTCATGTTGAAAATTAAATTTTTCACCTGAGACATCAATTTTCATCTCTATAAAATAAGGTGATTTGAGCAACCAATCTCCACTGTCCTTCTGGGCTCAGAGGTTCCAAGAGTCCTTCATCTAGAAGCTGCTGGAAATCAGTGCTGTAACTGGCTGCAAATTCCTGTGAGAAGACTTCGTGGAAGTCTCCCCTCAGAGGCCTAATCAAGAAAGCCTTCTAGGGCTGAAAGCCACCTTTGTGACACTGCCCCACCTCCCCCCCTTGCAAAGGGGCCAGGGTTTCTGTGGGAAGAAGGGAAGCTCATGCTTTATGGCATGTTTTGCTAATGTGACAATCAAAGGCCTTCCAGGTGTTAATGGTGGCAACGGTGCAGAAAGCCCAGAGTGACATAATTCGGTTCTGGCTTGTGTTGGTCTGATTGCCTTTTTTGGCATCAGCTAACTCTCAGTTTCCTTTCACCTTTTGGTTGAAATGAACCGAGTGAGCTGAGGCGAAGTTTCCTAGGATTAGGATGTAAACCTGATCTTCCTGTACCCCAGATCCCAGGGCTGGAAATCAGCTGGCTGAGGAGAGGGAGGTGGAGAGGTGGGCAACTACTCACCCCATGGAAGCCACAGCTCTCACCATGTTTAAGAGAGACTGGAGAAGAAAACAAGGTCCACAGAGTCTCCTAATTACAAACAAGGGCCTGTCTCTTCTCATCCACATTAATTAATGCTGTTGCCTGGCTTTGCTTGTACAGAAGCTGAGTGGCTTATTCCGCCTTGCTCATGAAATTCTCAAGTCAAAGCATTCTGCTCGGCTGGCCATGGTGCCTGGCAGCATGGGGACAGACCTTCCCAATTATCACCTCCAGAATAAACCTATTCAGTTCTCTGCAAAAACAAATGACATCAGCAACAATAACCACGCAATCACACTGGCATTTACTTCTACCTGAAATGCATTCCCTGTAATTCAAAACAACCTAGTACAGTGGGCAGGAAAGGTGTTGCTATTTGCACTGGCGAAATGAGAACATGAAGGCCCGGGGGAGCAAAGCAACCTCCTGGGGATAATAAAGTGCATCAGGCAGACTGGATCCTGGTCCTTGGTCTTAAACTCTCAGAAGGAGTAGACTTTCTTATGAAAACCACTTCACTTGAAGTCACCCCAGAACTGAATTTTCCTCACTTTTTCTCAGCCCGTGGTATGGGAAGAGTAAGGTGTTGGGAATGGGTTAGCTATATTTAAACACTAATTCCATGGTTTACTAACTGTGTTATTTAGCATCTCATAAGGACAGTTAATTTATCTATAAAATGATCATAATAATGCTTTTCTCATGGGATTTCTGGATTATATAAATGCAAAAATATAAGTACTTTTAGATACTTAACAAATATATGAGTTCCTTTTTCCTTTCTTTAAGGGACACAGTCCTTCACCATCAGCAATTTTATTTACAGATCTCTCAAATGGCAGGGCTACAGAGAAACATATGAAAAATAATATATTAAGCTATGGGATTAAACATATCATGGAGGGTGCCATGGTAGGGAGGACTTCATATTTTTGAGTTTTCAGTCCCATCACCAAAAAGGATAGATAGGCCCCTCTCTTACCACATGCCAGCTTCTCTTTGGCTGTCAATCTGCAGTTCCATATTGCAGCCTCACTTGTCAGAGATTAGGGCCTCAGACACCAATAAATTCACTGGTTGTTGCTATAAAGGCCTCTGAACAAAATGGGACATGACAAAGGAAACTAATGACAACTTTCCATTCTACATACCATTGCAGGCTGGAGCTCAGACTCCCAGAAACATTCCCTGCACTGAAGGAACCTCCAGTTCTCAGGACCCACTCTTCATTCTCCTGCTCTTTGGGCAGAATGCATAAATTGGTTAATGCTACCTGGACTTTAGCAGTTAAAAAAATTACAGTGTGGAAGGTACTGGTTTAGTTTTAAGCAAACATCTGCTGAGGGCAAGGGACGCACTCACTTAAAAGATGAAACTAGTTTGGGTAATGTACTAGTTCCTTCTCATGCTGCTAATAAAGACATACTCAATACTAGTCATTTATAAAGGAAAGATGCTTAATTGATTCACAGTTCAGTATTGCTGGGGAGGCCACAGGAAACTTACAATCATGATGCAAAGGGGAAGCAACATGTCCTTTCTCACTGATGGCAGGCAGGAGAAATGCCCAGCCAAAGGGAGAAAAGCCCTTTATAAAACCATCAGATATTTTGAGAACTCACTCGCTATCATGGAAACAGCATGGGGGTAACCATCCCCATGATTAAATTACCTCCCACCTGGTCCCTCCCAGGACACGTGGGGATTATGGGAACTGCAATTCAAGATGAGATTTGGGTAGGCACACAGCCAGACCATATCAGGTAAGATATTCAGTATCTAAAGCTAAATAATGAAGAGAAATCAAACAACTTCTTCATAGCTAACTTCTAAAATTCTGTCAAATATTTTCTGGTCAGGTTAACTTCAAGCATATTTACACAGTTTCCTCTGTAATCTAAGTTTTGTTTAAGCTCAGGCAGAGTCAAATTTAACAAGTTTCTGATTCCGGCACATTTAGTCCATTAACATGCCATTTTGTGAAAGTAATATTGAAACAATTCTCTAGTATTTTGAGACTTTCTGAGCAGGAAGATAGATAGGACCAACTATGTACTTTGTGAGATCCAGTGCACATGTGGGAATCCTGGTTCAAAAACTACTTAGAATTTCAAAGTGGTGATAAGAGATTACTAAACTAAGCATGCAGCCTTTCTGAGGGCAGGATCTTATGCAACGTTTCAAAGAGCAATTACTAAAGGTCTTTAGATCTGGGTACTTTCCACAGATTCTTTAAAATACGCATTTAGATCTTACAAACAAGAGATGTATAAAAGTAATGAATCAACAGCCTGGAGAAGGCTTGCAAGTGTTCATTCATTCACTCATCACTCGATTTAATGAGGGCCTATCATGTGTACTACTTGAGACTCAGAATGCAAAGATTTGTAGAGACCAACAATTGCTTCACATTTCGATACACCAGCACAGCAGAGAGTCTTCCATAAGGAAGGTTTTCAGTAAAAGGCTAAGGAAACATATAGTCTGGCTGAGAAGATTCCATGGGTGGAGACTGAATAGACAGCATAGAGTCCAGGGCAATAACTGCCCCCGTAGAAGCATATATGGGAGAAAGCTATCCTTGCCACTTGATTACATTGTAAGGACCACAAAAATCTGAACAGTTCTTGCCACCTTGATTTTTCTTCAGCTGTTATTTACAAGCATAGGACTTCCAAGGCTATGAGTTGGACATCTATAGGTGAGACAAAGGTGGCCCAATCAATGATGCTCCAGGAGTATAGTAGAAGCAGGAGACAGCATACTTAGACCCACTGACTTTCACTTTGCCCAACTCATTACAGATAGAACCTGTGCCATCTTGAAAAGACAAAGGCCACCACAAGCAATTTCTCCACCACATACAGCTCAATCCTTTATTCTAACAAATGGGGTCTGTTATGTTGTATCCTAAGGTTGTGGATATGCAGATGATCATTTATTTTCAATTAATAGTACAGTGTATGGAAAAGGTTGGAACAAGCCTGGGTTCCAAATGAGCCCTTGATCTGCGTTGATGACAAAGCCCATGCAAGTCAGTTAAGTTTCTGAGCATCTCTGATGTGCAAGGAGGGGCCTGATTTCTCTAGCATGGTCCTTTAATTTCTAGAGGTAAGTACTTTTCTCTTAATTTTACTTATAAAGAAGCTGAAGCTAAGAGAAATCAAAGGCCCTTCCCACGTGGGCACTCAGCCTGAGAGGTGCAGGCTCCAGCCAAGCTTTCTCTCCACTGTGCATGGCTGTGGCCTCTGCATCTTTGTCTATAAAATGAAAAACAGGCCCCTCTGCTAGGTATGTCAAGGGTTGTTGAAACTAAGATGTGGGGGTGAATACATAACCACCTCGAAAGCTATGAAGCACTGCAATGGAAATGACCATTATTACTTTTCAGCAAATAGAAACACATTTTATCCAAAAAAGCATTATGAGAAGAAAGCTACATATGCATTATTTTTTATTCCTCACCAAGCCTTAGGGCAATTATGTTCATTTTTATTATCTGATTATATTATGATCTGATTATAAAAATTGTATAGGCTTACTGTGGAAAATACAGATCACACAGACTAAAAATAAGGGAAATTATACCTATAATATCAGGTGTTAATGGTAAATATTTCTATCCTACGTTTTCTGTGTGTGGATCTCTAAAACATATTGTTGAGAGGAAATTACATAATCCATACATGCACATACTATTTGAATCATACCTTTAAAACTCAACATTCATTTATTAATTCAAAGTAGCTGAGCTTCTGCTGTTTCAGGCATGTGTAACATGTCCTGGGAGAATAAGGGAGAGTGGTGTAGAGAATAAAAAAAGCTAGTGACGCAGGTAGATGCAGAGAGAGCAATTGCAAAAATTATCCTAATCAAACCTGGTGAGGGTATTGCTGCAGAAGAATATAGGAAATAAACCTAGAGGATAAATAGGAGTTATTAGGATAAAGCAGAGATAAGGTAAGGGAACAGCCTATATGGTAAGGGGCAGGAAAGAGCATGGTCCACAGGGTGTACAAGGAACCAAAAATAACACCTCTATGGCCGGGGCTAGAAGGACAAATGACATGGGGGGTAGTATGTGGATTTTCCCACATCATTTAAATTTTCTATGAAATGGCATTTTAAATGCCCGAGGCAAGTTTTCACTCCAATACCTCAAAACATGAGAGTACAGACAGCCATCGGTCTTCCCTCTATGCTTATAGACTGGAAGGTTTCCTCTCCCTGAAGACAGCAGATTTGGCAAAACTCTCTGAGGGACATTATTATCATTGTCACCATCCGTCTGTTCCATAGAAATCAGAAAATGTTGCCTAAGAGTGTTGTGTTGGAATATATTTATCTTACAGGTTCTGATTTATCTGCCTATGTCTCTAGCTCTTCCGGATCTTCTCTAGCCCCTTCAAGTCTCAACTTGAGGCTCTCTGGTATTTCCTCAAACCATGGAGCTTTGTCCCCAGCCAGCTTCCAGGTCCAGGCCTGGCCTACAAAGAAGGCCATGACTCACCACCTCCTCGTTCCTAGAAGATTCCCTCCTCGGATCTGGAAGAAAGGCAAGATGGTGTTGAGGACATTGGTGCAGAGGCATGAGGGAGTGAGGGCCACCTCTGCTACTTAGTGAGTGGTTTGGGGCATCACTTAACCTCTTGGAGCCTCAGGGTTTTCACTGGTAAAAGACTGGGAATGGAGATTGTGAGGATTAATACGAAGTGGATGAGGAGGTGAGCAGTGCCTTGTGCTGAGGAGGTGTCAATGAAAGGGAGTCGTTATGAGAACGCCCAGACTTGCAGTCTGCAGCGAAAGGCCTCAGGGAGGAAATGGCAGGGCCCACTCTGTGGATGGGCATTTCCTGACTGGACTGAGCCTAACAATCATGGGATTGATAGGCTCATTTATGGCTGTCCTTCAGGGGTGACTGGGTTTGTGTAGCACCGTAATTGGTGTTTTCATTCTGTGCATGAACCCTAAGGTGAGTTCTCATTTTATAGGAAAGCCGCCAATAAATGATTAATTAAAGCCCTATAAAATATGACTTTTTAAAGCCATTTACTACTCAACTAGGACACCTCAGAAGTTCATGCTATGTTTTTATATCATGACACACTTGGAATCAATTAATTTATATATGTATCCGTTCTCTAAGCAGCCTACTTTCTCATCTCTAATGTGTTTGGATTGTGGTAGGCGCTGGGGAGAAGAAAAAAAATCTAATTTCGATGCAGGGCTTGCTAAGTGGCAAATGCTATTTCATTTCAGCTTTCCGTATCGCCGTTTGAGACAGTTGCTATTGCTATTGTCCCCATGCCATAGAAAAGGACGTTGAGGCTCAGGTTTCTAGGTGGTATTGACAAAGCTACATGGCTAGGGAACACTGGAGCTGGGCCTTGCAGCCAGGTGCATTTGGTTCCAGGGTGTCTGTTCTCTCAACTCACTCACATGATGTCTCCAAGGAGGAACGAAAAGTATCCCCTGTCTTCAGTGGCCTCAGTTTTGTTAAACTAAAGAAGATTCAAATTACGCAGAGGATGTAAACAGTCTAAGCTCCCTATGTTTTCAGTCTTTATGCTGAAAGGTGGAAGTGCATGGCATGGGTTTGGCAGACTAATGGATGGGTCCACTATCTGCTAAGCAAACCAGGATGAATGAGGTGGCTGTGTATGCTAGGGAGGCCACCGTGCTGTGACTAGGAAGGCTATTGGCATTGAGGGGGCAGATTCCATAGGTTCGGTCAACCCAAGTCCCCTCAACTAGGTTCTCACAATAGGTAAATGACCCAAAGTCCAATTTTAAAGTTTTTGTGGTAATGTTTTAAGGAACCTCGGATCCTGCCAAGAGATAGGTGGGTCCTCTCATCATCTCTAAGTTGAGGCTCCACATCCGTAGTTCTCTCCTTGGCCTTCACATTAACATTACAATGATCTGGAGAAGGTTTAGCAAATACTGATGACTGGGGTTCACCCCAAAAGTGTGTATGTCATGGTCTGGGATGCATCCCAAGCATTCACAGCTTTTTCAATCTCCCCAGATGAATCTAACATGCAGCAAGTTTGAAGACTTGGGGAATTCTCTCATCTCCCATACAGTTTGTTTGCCTAGGCACAATTTAGAGGAAGAGTCACACGGTGTCACCTTTCTATTTTACCTGTCAATTTCAATGACCCTTTTCTCCTCATTTCTGGACTTATTCAGTGTCCTCTTCCCTCAGCCTTGTTCAGCCAGCTAATGGCACATACTAATTCCATACTGGGCACTAACTCTTTGGATTTCCTAACACAGAGGATATTTTTTATTTAAAAAGAGGATATTGATGTCTTAAAAACAACAGCAGCAGCAAAAATCAAATCACAGGAGATCAGTGGGGTCTTTTGAAGGCTTCTAAAGGAGTCTGTATAGGAAACTCGGTGCTATTGCTGTGTGCAAGCCAATCCTACCTGGGATGCAAGCGTTCCTTGGAAAACAACCTTCTGAGTCTAAGTAGAAGCTGGTGCCTGAATCTTTAAATTACTTTGTCTTTGTAGTTAAAGAAGGATTTGTTTTTCTTTAGAAGCAAGGCAACATCACAAATCCTAGCTGACCACAACATTCCCAAAGCCTGAAAGGCACTCTCCGGCAGGTGAGCCAGTTGATCCTGGGGTCCCAGGCTCAGTCACCTAGTTAACACTCATGGCCAAACATTAACCACCCAGGCTGCGCTGTGCTGTGTGCTGGGTCTCTGCCTTCAAAGAGCTGCTTCCAGCTGGGTGGAGAGAAGACAGGGCCACAGTTACAGGACAGTAAGGTCAGTGCTCTGAAGGCATAGAGAATGGATCCACTGCTCAACCTGGAACAGAAGCATGGGCAGGGAAGACTTTTTAGGGCACATTAAAGCCCCAGGGGAGAGGCATTCCAGGCAGGAGGACCAGTGTGAGCAGAAGTGTGGAGTGGCACAAGTACAACAAGGAAGTGGGAATTGAACCAGATTCAAGAACTCTGGATAACCTCATCCCAACACAGTTTTAAGTGCTCTGTGTGCAATTAAATCGATCCCCTTCTCTGGGTCCTACTTTTTCAGCTTTATAGAAAGGATCAGTGGGAGACCCTTCTTCTCCACAATTTCCCATGATCCTAAGTTAATAGAGACTTTCCAGCCACTTTTCTGCACAAAGCTCCGGCACACCAGTTACATCTGCCTGGTGATTTTAGATTCTTCTTTTAATGATATGCCAGGTGACACCTTCTACTTTCACCCATCTCTGCACTAGCCTGCAAAAAGGGCCAAAGTAAATGACAGCAAGTCTTGCACAACAAACCAAAACAACACAAATGTCTACTGCTCACAGTATGGCACCTTCCCTTGGCTTTGCAATCTCTGCTGGCCAACATGCTTGGTTCAATTGCAAAGGAAAAGGACAGCCAAAGGACAGCCAACTGCATCCTGGTAGGGCAGGGGCACCAGAGCTGACTCCGGCCAATGCCCAAGTTGTAAACTAGCCACCCACTTGGCTGTGGTTAACAGGCCTTGGCTTACATTTCCTTAAGAGTGGATGGAAGGGTCTTTTGTGTTGTTTTTCTCTGATTTCCTGCCTCTTCTTTCTTCTGGAAGAAATTGAAACAAAATCTGTTCAGAATCCAAAGGCAATGGTCTTTGTTGGCTGGCACAGGCGGCTCTCTCTTTCCTGGCTCTCCTGTCACTCATTGTACTGCTCTGTGTTTTGCTTTGTTTTTTTAACCCTGAAAGTACTTACGACTCTGGCTCTGCCTACCTAAACTTTCACGGGGTGTCAAACACCTCTACTCCTTGCCTACAATTTTGTTAATGCTTTATGACTAGCTAGCTGGCTTTGAGTCCAGAGGCAGGAAGCTAACTCTAACTAAGTGTCTATTTGTGTCAGCCCCTTTAGATGAGACCAGTGTTGTCAGCCATCATGTGATAGAAGTCTTACTATTACTATTATTATTCCCACTTTACAGAAGGAAAACCTTCAGCTCTACCTTTCACAGATGGCTTACATTGCCTTACTTCAAGGCTCAAAATGGGTCTGCAGGTATCTGTGTCATTAGACAGTCTTGTAGTTGAGAGGAGGACCTTTTAAACAAGGCCAGTAGGCATAAACAACAACAAAAACAAACAACATGGCCAGGCGTGGTAACTCAAGCCTATAATTCCAGCACTTTTGGAGGCCAAGGCAGGTGGATCATGAGGTCAGGAGTTCGAGACCAACCTGGCCAAGATGGTGAAACCCAATCTCTACTAAAAATACAAAAATTAGCCAGGTGCAGTGGCGGGTGCCTGTAATCCCAGCTACTTGGGAGGCTGAGGCAGGAGAATTGCTCGAACCTGGGAGGTGGAGGCTGCAGTGAGCTGAGGTTGAGCCACTGCACTCTAGCCTGGGTGACAGAGCAAGACTCTGTCTCAAAAAAAAAATAAAATATATATATAAATAAACAACACAAAATAGCATCAGGCTCTTAACTGTATTTGCAAATATACTGCTTTACACTTCAGATAAATCTCTATCAGACTACTGAAAAATAAGCACACAAATAAAAACAACAGTCTCTATGGTAGACAGAGGCCAGAATCCTCGGGCAATGACTGCCCTCTGACATCATAGATGATGGCTCCAGTGCTCACTTGTCCCGTAAGGACCAGAGAAAATGTGTCATTGCCTGGAGTCTCCCCTGTACTCTCTTGTTATTGGCTGAAATGTGTACCTCCAAAATTTATTTATTGAAGCCCTAACCTCAGTATCTGAGAATGAAAGTGTATCTAGAAACATGGCCTTTAAGAGGTAATTAAGATAAAATGAGGGCATTGGTGTGGGCCCTCAATCAATAGGACTAGTGATCTTTTAAGAAGAGAAAATTCGGACATGCAAAGAGACACCAGAGATGTGTGTGCACAGAGGAAAGGCCACGTGAGGATTTAGCCACTAAACAGCCATCTACAAGCCAAGAAAAGAGGTCTCAAAAGAAATCAATCCTGCTGACACCTTCATCTTGGACTTCTAGCCTCCAGAACTGTGAGAAAATAAATGTCTGTTTTTTAAGCCACCCAGTCTGTGGTATTTGGTTATGGCTCTAAGCAGACTAATCCAGCCCCTAGACAAACCCTCACCCTACTCCAAGTGGAGGTAATTTTTCTCCACCAAATGCTCATGTTACTGCACTTACAAGCATTTATATCTGTTCCTATAAGGATGGAATTTAATAGCTGTTTATAGTATGGACCTAAGGGAGGTAGAGACATTATCTTTGGAAGGTCAGGAATACTTTTTAAAATAATAACTTGCTTTCAAATACATGCAATTTCCAGAAGTATCCCTCCAACCAGAGATTTCCTTTTCCTTCTTTTGTATTTTATCCCCTTATTTGTAATGGTTTCTCTATCTAAATGACCTTCATTTAGCTTTTTTCATCTGTAATTAGAGATAATCATACCAGTCATTAAGTTGTAATGGAGTTTACAAAGCACTTAACAGAATGCTTGGCATATATAAGGGGTCTTTAAACAGTTCATGAAAAATGTGTATTATGAAAAAAAACTATGAATAGATTTCAAAATTATTTTGCACCAAAATAAATACATAGTAACTCATTATAACGTGCCCTAACAAGAACTAGTTTGAGGAACTAAGAAGGATAGGACATCAGTTTGAAAAGAGTAACATAAATTCTGCTAAAATTGAAGCAAGAACAAACATTGAGTTTATGGTGAAGCTTGGGTAGAAGAAGGATGAAATCACTGATGCTTTATGAAAAGCTAATGAAGACAATGCCCCAAAGAAATCAGTAGTTTACAGATGGATAATTCATTTTAAGAAGGAATGAAATAATGTTGAAGATGAAGCCCACAGCAGCAGACCATACACATCAACTTTCGAGAAAAAAAGAATACATCTTATTTGTTCCTTAACTGAAGAGGACTGACAACAGCAGAAACAACATTCAACACCATAGATATCTCAATGCTTCCACTTACACTACTCCAACTCAGAAATTAAAGTTGAGCAAACTTTGCACTCAATGGATGCCAAAACGATTGTGCCCAGACGAGCTGCAGACAAAAGCGGAGTTTTTGATGGAAATTTCAAACAACAGGGATCAAGAATCTGAAGTACTTCTTTAAAGAACTGTAACAGGAGATGAAACATGGCTTTACCAATATGATCCTGAAGACAAAGCGCAATCAAAGCAATGGCTACCGCGAGGCAGAAGTGGTCCATCCAGTCAAAGCAAAAGAGGAACAGCCAAGAGCAGAGGTCATGGCAACAGTTTTTTGAGATGCTCAAGGAATTTTGTTTGTTGAATTTTTGGAGGTCCAAAGAACAATAACATCTGCTTATTATAAGGATGTTTTGAGAAAGTTAGCCAAAGCCTCAGCCAAAGGAACTTTTGGGTAAACTTCACTAGAAAGTCCTTCTCCACCACAACAATGATCCTACTCATTCCTCGCATCAAACAATGACAATTTTGCAGGAGTTTAATGGGAAATTATTAGACATCTACCTTACAGTTTTAATTTGGCTTTATCAGACTTCTTTTTTGTCCCCCAATCTTAAGAAAATCTTTAAAGGGCATTCATTTTTCTTTAGTTAATAATGTGATAAAGACCACAGTGACATCTTTAAATTCCTGTGACTCTCAGTTCTGTAGGGATGGACTAAATGGCTGGAATCATCACTTACAAAGGTGCTTTGAACTTAATGGAGCTTATGTGGAGAAATAAAGCTTATGTTTTATATTTTTATCATTCAATTCCACTTTCCACTAACTTTGTTTAAGTCCTCTCACAGTAGGTGCTCAGTTGATGCTGATTTATTTCCCATTTTTTATCTTGCCTCTTTTGAGAGTCACTGAATGAAAGAAACCTGAATTACCATCAAGCTCATTGTATTAGTTTGCTAGGGCTGCCAATAGCAAAGTACTACACACTGGTAACAACAGATATTTATTGTCTCACAATTCTGGAAGCCATAAGAACAAGATCAAGGTGTTGGAAGGGTGGGCTGATTTGGATAGTTGTGAGGAAGAATCTGTTTGATACATTTCTCCTAGTGTCCAGGGAATCTTTGACATTCTTATGATACAGAAGCTAGAAAGAAATTATTTAGGCAGACAATAAGGGCAACAGAGTCCTCAGTGGAATTCCCCTTTTAATAAAAAAGCATCTCCCAAATCATTTCTTTTCTAACAAAGAGCAGACTGAAAAATCGAGCTGCAGACATAGATAAGCAAGTTGGAAGCTTGCATGGGTGAATGCCAGCAGCTGTGCCAACAGAAAAGGGCTACTTGGGGACCAGGTATGTTCAACATGGAGGCTCCATCTTCCCTTTTCCTTGTCACCATGTGTACAGTAAAGAAACAGGCAACATGGTACTGGCCAGGTAGAGAACCCATCTGCATAATTAAAGATTAGGCCAGCTTTTTGCACCCTATGCAAATGGCACACCTGGTCCAAACAATCTTTTGTACCCTATGTAAATCAGACACTGCCCCCTCAAGCTCATCTATAAAACCCACTGCATTTCACCCCAGAAGTGGCAACCCGCTTCTTTGGGGCCCCTCTCTGCCACAGAGAGCTCTTCTCTTTCTTTCACCTATGAAACTTCCACTCCAAACCTCACTCTTTCTGTTTCTGTGTCCTAGTGTTCCATGACTGTGAGACAACAAATCTCAGGTATTTACTCCAGACAACAAGGCCGCTTCATTTAGGCTTCTAGAAGCACCACCCCAATCTCTGCTTTCATCTTCACATGGCGTTCTCTCTGTGTGCATGTTTCTGTGTCCAAATTTTCCTTTTCATAAAGACATTAAGCCCAGCCTAATGACCTTATCTTATTACATCTGTAAGGAAATGATCGTGAAATACAGTTACATTCTCAAGCACTGAGGGCTAGTCCTTCAACATATGAATTGGGAGAAGAGGGAGATATAATTTAACCCATAACACTGGGGAGCAAGTGATACAAATCGACTACCATCCCAGGCAACCCTTTAAATTTACAGACATCTTAAAACTTTATTGTTTCTTTCTATATAATTCTAGCATCATAGACATAGAACATATTTATTTTGTTTTCCTTCTGATTCATCTTAATAATTTGAAGAAAACTTCTCTTTGTTTCAGAGTCATCTGGGAAGCTTTAGACAAATCCTGATGCCCAGATCCAATTGCAGACCAATTATCTGAATTTCTGGGGGAAGGAACAAAGCCTTACTTTTCTTGTCAAAACTCTCCAGGTGATTCCTGTGTCTATCCAAAGTTGAGAACACTGGTCTATTAGATAATGGGAGTTTGTCCCAGCTCTACAGGTGAGAAAACTGACTGATGAAGAGCATATTACGAGACCTTTGGATTCAATCAAATATTTCACATTGGCTTTCTAACCACCAAAAGATTGGGAAAACAATTTGACATGAGCTTGTGTCCAATATTCCTTCCTTTATTTTTCAAACACATATATTTAAAAGGCAATGTGAACCATGTGTTTTTGATTTAGTGACACTGAAGTCATCATTGGAATGCGATTTTGTTAAAAGCTTGTTGATACTCCAGGACTCCATTTGAAAAGACCTGGTTGTTCAATGTGGAGTTGTGGGGTGGGTGGGGAGGCAAAGTTGAAACCTCAAAGGCTCTAGCCTATTTCCAAACATGTATTCAATTATTAAGAAACCCAAAAGTAACTGATTTATTTATTTTTAGGTCTGGGGATAATGCTGATGGCTGCATTTGGGGAAGAGGTGGGGAGCTGTGGCTGAAGGGGAACTATGAATCTCCTATATTCCTTTTTCCCCATCACACTGGTATCTCCTGGAAGTTCAAGAACCATGTCCTCTCTCTCCCTTTTTCTCTCCTCTCTGTCTCTTTGTCTTTCTCAAACTTAGCGTGAAGTCTTTAATTCATTCACTCATTAAACTTATACTGTTTTGTGCTAGGCTCAATGTTATAGAAAACATAGACAAAAATGTCCAGTTTTCATAAAATCTGAGCTAAAAGAAGCTCAGTTACAGAGCACAACAAATGCTTCAAGGTGAGAAATAACTTTCAGGAACACAAATAACTCTGAGCAAAATATGTACTATTAATAGAGATTTTCATGAAATTTTGTACCTAGTATGTAAGAGAACATCTAATCCAGTTGTTTCATTTTATAGATGGAGAGATTGAAGCCAAGAGTAAGAGAGATGGTGACTTACTTAAGATCACACAAAAAGCTATTTTTATGTCAGGGCAGAGACAAGATTTCTTACCTCTCAGACAAAGTTTTTTCAAAATGTTATCCTGCTGGGAGATGCCCACATAAAAATGAAATTGAAATATAAGCATGATTGCAATATATAAAGCAACATATAAGCATATATTGTTTTATTTTGCTGCAGTACAGTTGGCCTGCAACACCCCTAGCATTTGATATCAAGAACGGTAGTTTTGCTAAGCTATAAGAAGGTACAGGGCAGAGCCCATTCAAAGGCAAGAAGGACAGTCATTAAGCATGATGAGTTAAATATGGCAAAGAAAATGGTAATAGAGACTAGGACAAGGGGCCCCAGCTAAGAGCCTGTTTCAAGATCAGACAACAATGGAAGATGCTGTTCAAGCAAGGGAGAGAGAGGGAGGGTCAGACTGGCATTGCTGGACAGTGGTTTTCAAGCCTGGCTATGCATCAGAATGACATAAGATTTTTAAAACAATAGTGGTGCCCAGACTCCACCCTTCCTGCCCTCCCCCAGTAATTCTAATTTGTCTGAAATGGGTCCCAGACATTGTTATGACATATAAACTTCCCTGATGAGTGGACCATATTGTAACGGTCCAGGGAAGAAATGAGGAAAGGAGGGAAAGAACTGATGTAATGATAGAATGTGCTGCAGAGAAGGCTCTGTGGGAGAAACATCCAAGAGTGATTCAAGGGAACTTAGTGATGAATTGGGTAAGGGGGGAGAGAAAAGGAAGGTTCTGGCTTCAGTGTCTTGGCAGGTGATACATATATTCATAGGGCTGGAGAGAACATAGGATTTGAGGCTGCTGGGATGGGGGTGATGACGTCTTCATCTTTGGAGCTGTTGAGTTGAAATTGCCTGTGAAACAGCCAGGTGGAGTTTACAGCAGCCCATTGTATGAAGGGGCTCAGTACATAGTCCTGTGTTGGAGATTGACATATGTTAATATTTATGAACTCTGATCTGTAGTTGAAGTGAGATATAAATCCTCTAGCCAGGGTAAGGACAGCCAACAGGTCATTGCAAGCACTGGAAACATGAGCACACCCACCACCACTCCTAATTCACCCTCTGACAGATAACGACTGCAGGACACACCCCACCCCACCTCAGGTGTCCTGCTGCCCCAGGCTCATTCTCAGAGTTTGCTGTGATGTGGGACAAGGCAGTTACTGGAAACATGCTTCTTTTAATCAGCTAGGATCTATCCTAATCCTGGAGACCTGGGCAGAGAGGAGGGGGCAGATGGAAGTGTGGGAAGAGGGGGTGCAGGGAATTGCTGTGAAAGCCTTCCATTGTGTGTAGGTGGCTCTGAAAGAGGAAGAAATAGATGTCAGTAACAGCAACATCAGGGACGGGGAAAAATGCAAGCAGAACCTCAGATATGGGTCTCATCAAAAATCAAAATAGTCTTACATCATGCCCTAGATATAGCCAAACACAGATGAGGCTAGACCACCAATGAGGGGGCTCCCCAAGGCTCTAAGTCATTCTCTCATGCTTTGTTGGAAAAGCTGTCCCACTTAACTCCAAATATATGGCTCTGGACAGGAACAGAGAAGCCAGCTTGAGCAACATCTTCTGAGTCACTGGCCAAGAAATGCTTCCCCACCTATCCTTCAGGTAGGAGAGTGGACACTAGTCAAAAAGGCACAAGTATTTCCAATTCAATTTCCCTGCACATGGCTGCAAGAGACAAATGTCACCGATTGAGTCTGAGCTTCACACATCCCAACTTAAAGCTCATTAAAAAGCTCCCAAAAAATGAGGACTTCAAGCTTGGAGTTCCCTCTGAAAGCCATGCCGGATCTAAAGTTCAGATCTTACAACATGCAGGCACCAGACTAGTCATCTGACATGCATTTTTCTATTTAATTCCCACAAAAACTTTGCTGGGGCTTTGTGATCTACCCTAAGGTGACATAACCAATTCTTAAGGAAGAAGGCCTGGCACTTGCATTTTTGTTCACCCAACTCTCGTTCATTTCTTCCTTCTTCTACCAATACATAAACACATCTGCAGCTGGAGGTTTTCCCAGGACTGGCAGGGCACTCTGCTCTGCAAGAGTTACTTGAATTTACTAAGGGGTATTTGGTGGATTGTTGAGGGGGATAAAAATAATATGTCAGGTGGCTGGGACCCCAAGTTTAAGTTTGCTGTTCACTAGCCTTATGACTATAATGTGTGCACTTGGCCCTTTTGAATTGCAGTTTTCTCTTCAATGTAGTAGGGATAATAATACCTACCTCATTTTTTTTAGATTAAATGTCAAAATTGTTCATAATATGTTAAATTTGCTAGCTTAGTATCACTGACTTTAACGTTAACTAGGTAAGGAAGAAACTACCCAAATACTGGACTCTAGCCAAGAAATACACACTATCTTTATCTTGGTTTTAATGAGATGCTCTCGTAATCATTCTATTTGCATAGCCTTAAGAATTAACAATGCAATTCAATGGTAACTGACTCTACTGTGGCAATGTAACAGCATCATCGATTAGTACAATGGAAAAGTAAGATTATTCTTTTAAAATTTAGTCTTGATGACCACTTGGCATGCCTTTCCATGCATGCCTTCTCCCTGAGCTGAGATAAGCAAAAAATGCCAAACAATAGGGAGTATTGGTGAGACATACTGGCTTTGGCAAGGCAGAAAAAAAAAAAAAGCACTAGTAATTCAATTTAGACTAAGATTTGTTTCTTCTGATCAGGTCAAACAAAAACTGTGAAAGCTCAATGATTCAATATTCTTTCACCACAACCTAAGGCAAGTCTCCTTATGTGGCCTGGCTGCTTAATTTATAGTATTATTTATCTCAGACCTCTATATTTCATCTAAATGTGGTCCTAGACATATTGCAATAACAAGTATGGTTAGAGATGGGGACAGCCCTTGACTTGATCTTAAAGGTGCATGGTTTTTAAAGTCAGGCTTTTCTGAATCTGGGTCAGGAAAGGCAGTGTGAAGCTAATTTGGAGCTGAGGTCTGCTCCCCCTGCTGACTCACAGTGTGGGCACAGTCCATAGTGTACGCTCTTAAAGTGCAATAAACTGTCCATGCCAGAGGACAATGCTCCAGTTGTTAAAAGTGCTTTATTCTGGAGCATGGACTTTCTACACGACATGGTCTGAGTGTGTCCTGGTGAGGAGGCTGAACCGTCTGTGGAAATGAGACTGTTCAATGTTTCTGCAGCAACTGTAGTCAGCTCCTTTTCCTTCCTGTTTGGGGGAGTTTAATTGGATGCAGCTGGAGCATCCCCGCACTCTGAGTCTGAATTTGCTAAAGAAAGAGGGTGGGAAAGGCAGTTCTCACTGCATTCTGTCTGAACCTACAAAGCCACGGGAGACTCCAGAGATAAAATGATTCAAAATCTCACTAAAGTCACTGTGGGTGTTTTCCCAACTGCCAAGACCCAGCTACACAGAACTGAAGTCACTCTTTAAGAATGCATGCAGATTAAGTTTATCTCCATCTTGAAACATTGGGAATAAAAATTAATAATGATAATAGTAATAATTTATAGTATTACTTGCTTCCCTAAATATTTTCACTTATCAGTTGATTGACTAGCATTAATTTGTTCTGAAAATAAAACATTTTTAGAGTAGGGTACAAAAAAAGGATAGGTAGCATGGTGGGAAAAGCGCAATTTAGGTTCAAAATCCACTGCTGAGAGTTACCCATGTATGATCATAGGCAAGTCACTTAAAGCTTATCTGAATTTCTGTTTCGTCTGATTACAAACCAACATATATAAAAAGGCATCATAGACTGAAACAAGGTTGTAAAAGGGGTCATCAGATAGTAACAAAATGAGATAGTTTCATGTCTTTTTTCCTTTCTAAAAAACAGAGCAGGAGGTATATATCCACATGAGTGTGTTTATTTCCAGGATCTTCCTTCAAGAGGGAGGAAAACTTATTCCTATGGTGTAGTAATCCTAGGAACACTTATAGTTTCCAAATCGGGAAATGATATAAGGCTTGCTTATGAATCACTTGAATTTGTGTGACATGATTTTATCGTCACATCCTTTTGTGTTTATTCATTTTTATCCCCATTGATAAGTCACTTCACTTATTTACTTGCTTTTGTTTTGAATGATGTTTGGCTCTTTATAAAATCAAATTCATTCTCAAAGATTTAACATCAGTGAAGAAATTGCAACTCTTTTCCTCCCTACTTTTGATCAGTCTCTTACACATTTGTGAGCAATGACAGTGCAAAGGTTTTACCTTCCACAGGGGGGTGGTCTATAGAAGCGACAACTTGCATTAATTGGATGCCTAATGTTTACCATACTCTATGTTGGGTGTATCTTATACACATCCGATATTATCTTTTTAATAATATTGTGAGATAGACAATGTTATCTCATTTTAAAGATGACAACAATAAAGCTTGGATTTTTTAAACTTGTTTTTCACTTACCTGTTAAATAAGGAACTACAATTAGATCCTAATTCTCTCTGAGCCCAAGATCTGTTTTTTTCCTCCACAGGAGGCTTCTCCTTCACCATTTGCATATGCATACCAAATAACCAGTCTCATCACTTTACGGTCATATGATCTTCACTGATTAGTTCACTCAATATTTGTTGAGCACCTTCTTTGAATGTGGCTCTTCAGCAGGCCTGTGAGAGACTGAGGTCTCTGAGTCATAGTGACTTCCCAGGTTGCGTATCTCCAAAGTGCTGCATTTCCCCAGTGACTCAGGGTACCACAAAAGTGTCACCTATTTAATGATTGTTAGAACTTAATTTAATACAAAATTAATTCTTACATGCCACAGATCAATAATGCTTTGTCCTCAGAACAATCGTAATGGAATTTTAGCTGGACCCAGATAAAATCAAAAAGGAAAACCGAACTAGACCTCCCTGGTAATTATCATCCCAAATGCACCCATATGTATGTAATTCTGAAGAGTTGCATGAAAAACAAATATATATTGAATTATATTTGATTTTTGGCTTTTATTATAATATTGGAGATATAATTGTGTGGATCAAAAGTAATACAATTTATCTTTCACATGTTGACAAGATGGAAAAACAATACTGGGTTTACAATGCTACCTGAAAATAAAAAATTAAATGAACAAAAAATGTGAAAGAAAATGTGAAAGAAAGGATTTTCAAGACCCTAAACATTGGGCAATGAAAGACAGTGATCAATGCAAAACAGAAAACAAATGAAATAAATCCTGCGATTCTCTTACTACCTTGAGAGAGTCTGCAGACCATGATGCAGAGGGAGAACACCAAGGAAGAACCGGGTGGACTCCATGGATGAAGAAACAAAGCTGAGATTTCAGGGATACCAAGGAACCTAGAGTTTGTGGAACAAAGTACTGAAGAGAAGAAAATCATATATAGAAAGAATCCTGGAGAAATGCAAGGGACCCTCTTACATTTTCAGCAGAATACTGACCAAGCCATGCACCAAGGCTGGGACCCTCTTACATTTTCAGCAGAATACTGACCAAGCCATGCACCAAGGCTGGAGCAAGAACCATCCAAAAGATGAAAAGAAAGAGTACTCAGCACTCATACAGGTCTGGAAATACTGCCTGTTTCCACCAACCAGATTGAAGAATCTCATTATTCCCTGGACATTGCGTAGAATACTCAGGAAAATCTTGCTTCAATAATGGAAAGTAATTAGCTCTAAAATGCTCTGGGTCTTCCTAACAAATGATAAAAGCAAGACTCTAAAGGGGCAAACTTTTCCCAAGTAAAAATGGCATCCTAGCATAAATCTCAAGAATATTATGATTTTTTAAAAAACCCAGCATTCAACAAGGTAAAATTTATAATATTGGGTATCAAATCAAAGATTCTGATCCAGAACTGACACATATGTTAGAATTAGCAAACAATGACATTCAAGCAGTCATTATACATGCAGTCCATATATTCATAGGCTTAAGTAAAGACATAGAAGATTATTTTTAAAAAAAGGCAAGTTGGCCAGGCGCAGTGGCTCACGCCTGTAATCCCAGCACTTTGGTCGGCCGAGGTGGGTGGATCACAAGGTCAGGAGATCGAGACCATCCTGGCCAACATCGTGAAACCCCGTCTCTACTAAAATACAAAAAAGTTAGCCGGGCCTGGTGGCGCGCACCTGTAGTCCCAGCTACTCGAGAGGCTGAGGCAGGAGAATGGCATGAACCCGGGAGGCGGAGCTTGCGGCGAGCCGAGATCGCGCCACTGCACTCCAGCCTGGGCAACAGAGCGAGACTCCGTCCCCCGCCCCCCACCCCCCCAAAAAAGAACACAGTTATTACGAGACAGAAACTTCAACAAGGGGGGCGGAGGTTGCAGTGAGCCCAGATCGCACCACTGCACTCCAGCCTGAGGACAGAGCAAGATCTCCGTCTCAAAAAAAAAAAAAAAAAGCAAATCGAACTTGTAGAAGGAACATGATAATGTGTGATATGAAAGTACTTTGGATAAGATTAATGTCAGACTAAAAAATTTGGAAGAAAGGATTAGTAAATTTAAAGAAATAGCAATATAAAAAATAAAATGAACCACTGAAAGAAGTCTAATTTAAAAAATTAAAATAAAAAAAGAATGTTAGTGACGTATAGGACTACTTTAAGCAGCTCAATATATAGTTTGAAGTCCCTTGAGTAGAAGGGGGAAAAAAAAGCAGAGGGAACAGAAAAGATATACAAAGACAAATTTGCCAAAACATTTTCAAAATTGATGAAATTACAAACCTATAAATCTAGGAAATGTGAAGAAAACTACACTGATGCATATTGTCACCAAATTGTGCAAAACCATCCATTAAGAGAAAAACCTTAAAACAGCCAGAAAAAAATAAGTTGCATTTTATACACAGGAACAAAGAAAAAAATGAAAGCATATTTCTTATCAGAAATAATACAAGCAAGAAGACAATGGAGCCAACAACATCTTTAAATTACTGATAGGAAAAATATTTTCCACCATAAATTCTATACTCAGCAAAAATATCTTTCAAAAGACAAAAAGGAAACAAAATGCTTTCAGAAATAAATGAGTAGAAAGCCTCATCACCAGCAGACACATACACTAAAAATGTTAAAAGGAGTCTTTTGGACAGAAGGAAAATAATGTCACATGCAAATATAAGTCTAGACAGAGGAATCAGTGGCCTAAAAATGACTACTACATGGGGAAGTATAAACTTTTTAGCATTTAAATCTCTTTACAAGATAATTGATTGTTAATAAAAATAATAGTATACATAATAACATGCGTAAGTAAAATATATAAAGTCTCAGACAGGAGAAATGAAAACATTTTGTTAAGGTTCTTATACCACATGTGAAGTAGTAAATATTATCTTTAGGTCAAATGTGATAAGTTAAATCTTAAAGCAGCCACTAAAATAACAAAACAATGAGTTATAGCTAAGCAGGCAGAAGAGATAAAATTGAATCCCCAAAAATGCACAATTAATCCAAACTAAAAGCAGAGAAAGAAGAAAATGGGAACAAAAAAACAGAATTTTTTTTAAATAGCAAGATGCTAGACTTGAACCTAACTATAGAAATAAGTGCCTTAAATTTAAATAGTTTAGAAAACTGCACTGAAAGACAGAAATTGTCATATTTTATGAAAAAAACATAGTAAGATATATGCTGCCTTTAAGAAAATACAGTTTAAATGTAAAAACATAAATAAGTTAAATGTGAAAGGATAGAAGAAGATATATCATGTTAACACTCCTCAAAATAAAGCTGTTTTGGCTATGTTAATACCAAAGTAGATTTTAGAGAAAATGATATTGCTAGAAATGACAAAAATAGTTTCATAATGATAATTATAAAATATATGAAAGTCCTCTATACTGAAAATTAAAACATTGCACAGATAAAGAGGATCTAAATAAGTAGAGAGATACACCTTGTTCATAGGTCAGAAGACTCAATATTATTAAAACATAAATTTGTTCCCAAATTACCCTGTAGATTCAAAGCAATCCAATCAAAACCCCCAAAAATATTTTAGTAGTAATCAACATATTGATTTCAAAATTCATATAAAACTGCAAAGGACCAATAATTGCCAAAACAAATTTTAAAAGCAGAATAAATTTGAAAGACTACCACTCCCTGAATTTAATACTTATTATAAAAATGCAGTTATCCAGACAGTGTGGTATTAGTGCAAATATACAGAAAGACAGATCAATAGAACAGAATAGGGACTTCAGAAATTGACCCCTATATATTTGGATAATGGATTTTCAGCATGCAAGAGCAGTTCAGTAGAGAAAGAATAGTCTTTTTAAGAAATGACACTGTAATGATTTGATATCCATATGCAAAAATAAAATAAAATAAACTTAGATCTACATATTTCACCATATGTAGAAATAACTCAAGATAAAGTATAGACCTTGATGTATTATAAAAGTGAAAACTATCAAAATTCTAGAAGAAATTCTCTGTCAGGTCAGGTCAGGAAAATACATGATACTAAAACTAGGATCTATAAAAGAATAAATTGATTACTTGAACTTCACCAAAGTTAAAAATTGCTGCTCTTTGAAAGACGTTAAGAAAATTAAAAAAGAAACACAAAGATGAGAAAAAATATTTACAAAGCATATATCTGACAAAGGGCTTGTATCAGAATACATAACTTTTAAAATACAATAAGAAAACTTAAAAAAAGGCCAAATATTTGAATAGACACTTCAATAAAGAAGATATAAGCACACAAAAAATAACCACATGAAAATAAGCTCTGTCTTATTAATCATTAAGGAAATGAATATTAAAACCACATTGAGATACCACTACATGACTGTGGGAAGTGCTAAATTAAAAAGTATGACCATATCGAGAGTTGGAGAAGATATAGCACTCTCATATACTGCTGGTGTAATGTAAATGTTAAAGCCACTTTAAAAAACGGTTTGATAAGTTCTTAAAAAGCTAAATATACATGTACATTAAACACATTCTGCTCTTAATAATTCACCCAAAAGAAAAAGAGGTATATATTCATACAAAGCCATGTTCAAAATTTTCATAGCTGCATCGTTTGTAATAGACCAAATCTGGAAATAACCCAAATGTCAATAGACAATAGATGAATAGATAAACAAATTGTGGTAGATTTATAAAACGGAATATAAAGAACCAAATATTGCTACATTTGCTAAATGTAACTAATATTGTTAAAAATAATTATGCTAAGTTAAAGAAGGCAGATGAAAGAAGAGCTCATACTGTATGATTTCATTTAGATAACACTCCAGGAAATGTGAACTCGTGTAGGGAGAGAACACACATCATCATTGTCTGGAATACAAAGAGAATCAGGAAGGAAGGATTACAGGGGGACACTAGGAAACTTTTGAAGGGTGATGGATGTATTCATTATCTTGATTGTGTTGATGGTTTTATGGATATATGCATATGTCAGAACTTATCAAATTCTGTTGTAAATATGTTTAGCTTACTGTAAATAAAAATAAGTAGTATGGGCTTGAAGAACCAATCTACTTAAAAATGCAATCAGCCTTTTAAACATCACATTTCCAAAGGGCTATAAAACAATTTTCTGATGAAATATTGATTAAATTGTCCAAAATAAGACACAGGATATGCATGTTAAACAGCTATGCTTGTTGTTCTGGTTGGCATAACAGCTAGACAGCCTGAAGGAAAAACAATGACAGCTTAGCTGAAGAGAACTCAGTGGACCGAAAAGTCCCTCCCTACCTAACAGTGTCCCTCATAACTGTGTTACAGTGGGAGGAAAGGCAGCTCTTTCTGGCGTCTTGGTGTATGTTTTTCAGCACTTGGAAGGCACAGCTGGCTACCAGAAACACACAGGTGGAGCTGGCCTAAGGACAGATGGACAGAGCAGGAAGCTGTAGAAACAAAACAAAAGCGTCGTACATTCAACTATAAAGTAAGAACAGGGGAAAGGGGGTGTTAGGCTTCCTCCACCTCAGCCAGAGACCAGTGGTCGCTATGGAATGTGCCGAAGCTGTGAGGTTTGCTAATGGGGTAGACCAGGGACCTTTACCCTGAAATGCTGGCAGGCCTGGAAGCCTCACCCTGCCCTTCCCACGCTTATGGCAAAATAAAAGCAAATCCTGGTACTTGCTTCTTTCCTCATGCCTCTGCACATTCACCCTAAGGATAAGAGACAGCACAAAGCCTTGTGGAGCAGTCACCCAAGGCTAGAGCCAGACACCTGGACCTTACAGCTCTGTCATTCATTATTTCCAAACTTCCCCTTTCTGTCTGTCCTATTTTTCTCTTCTCTCTCTTCTCTCTTTCTCATTTTGCGTTTTACCCATCTTTAAATATACTTTAAGTGGTATCTGAACAAAGCAGGAAATACACACATTAAATATGTGAACATTTTTACATATTTGATGTATGTATCTTCAGCAAATATTTTCTAAGTAGCCTCTATGTTCTACAAACCGTGATGGGCACTGTGTGAGCAAGTGAAAATGTGAATAAGGCATTAACCCTGACCTTGAAAAACTCACTGTGAAAGTGAAGGGATAAATAGAAATTGATGCCTTACAAAATAATTCATATGCACTAAAGCACATATAAGTCAATGATGGTGGCAGCCCAGGGAAAGAACAGTTAGCTCTGACCCTTCAGTAGACGGGCAGGAAGATGGCATTTGAGCTGGACTTTGAGAAAGAACAGGAGTGTATCAGTCTAAAAAGAATGGGATGGCCAAAAAAAAAAAGAAAAAGAAAAAAAAAGAAAGGAGTATTTTATACAACAAGGCAAGTGCAAAAGCAATAATGGCAAATGAAAGTTTCTCTGCTCGGAAATAAGAAATCTAGAATGGCTAGAAATGGACCTGAGGATGGAATTGTAGCTGGAGCACCCCTGAAGATACCGATTAAATTCCTTAAAGAGTTCAGACTCAGACCACTAGCTCAGGGTCACTAATGTTTTCTGCAGGAAGGGGAGTTTGACTGAATTGTCACTAATCTTGACGCTAACCTTGTGATCCCATTGATACAGGGCAGGTGAACCCCAAAACTGGGACTTAGCCCAGGAGGGTTCTTTGCTGTGCCCAGGAAAAATTCATGGGTGAGCCAGTGGTGTTAGACAGCAATTTCTATTAAAGTGGCCATGCACCATGCACAACAGCAGAGGGACTGCTCCTATGGAGTGGGGCTACCCTATAGGCAGTGTGTCTGGAGCAGCAGCTCAGAGGAAGATCTGCCCTCATATTTATACTCACTTTTAATTATATGTGAATTAAGGGGTCAATTATGCAGACATTTCTAGAAAAAGGATGGTAAATTCCATGTTGGTGGGTCATTGCCATAGAAGGAGGCAGTAGCTTACAGGTATGTCCACAGCAATGATAAACTGACATGGCACACAGGTGGTCATGTCTTATGCAAAGCTGCTTCCATGCTGTCCCTGTTTCAGCTAGTCCTCAATTGGGTCTGGTGTCCAAGCCCTGACTCCAGAGTCAAGTCCTGCCTCCTGCCTCACCATGACACTTGCATTTATCAGCAACAGAGTCTCTGGTTTCTCTCAGCCATGTGTGTGCGCCCACCAGCCTGACAAACACATTGTATCTTTTAAGTGTAAATAGCAAACCATCTCTGGCATAAACAGGATGCACAAACAAATCCCTCCTCTGAAGCCAGGGCAGGCTTCGGCCCAAAGCCTGGTCTTTGGATGTAGTCAAGGATAAAGTGGAATGATATTAAATTTAATATTTTCAACAAGCAGTGCAGTGAAAGGAAATAATGGATTTGATGTCTACATGCTCTTACCAGCTCTGTTACATGATATTCAAAATGCATCGGGCATACAGTACACACAGCTGCTACCTCTACCGTGTTTTCCACTACTCTTGTTCTTGGGGAAGATAAGCAGGACAACAGAAGATTCATCAGAAGACCTGCAAAGGCCTGTACACTGGTCAAGAGCATTGCCTGCGGTTGTACCTACCTGCGGTGACCCATCCTGTGGTCCCAAGCACCCAGCCTGCTTTGTGTATACCAGAGTTGCACATGTTAAAATTAGGAGTTCCAAACTCCCATTTCACAGAAGAGAAAACTTCTTAGGAGACCTAATAAAGGAAGCCCAGACTGAGTCATAAGGCAGATGGTAGTCTCTTAGTATAACTCTGAGCTTCTAGGAATCAGTGAGAAAGAGAAAATAAACATGGGTCATGAAAGAGCGAGGCTAGAATCTGGTTCTGCCCTTTACTGGCTAAGCCATACCTGGCAGGATGGCTGTCTTCTCTGCATTTCTTTATTTAATGGGAGTAATAATATCTACTGCCAAGGATGTCACAAGGATTGCAAGGAATGGTTGCAAAGGGCTTGGTGGGGTGCCAAGTAGGTATTAAGCACTCACTAAGTGAAGTCCAATACAACATATCCACTGCAAGAGGCTTACTCTGTGTCCCTCTTGGGGCATATAATAAGGACACATTTCATGTGGGAATAGGGTTATAAAGTTAATATAGGTGGCAAATTAAATACAGTCAAATACCCTTGAAAATCACTTACGAAGGTGCCATGGCAGACACTGGCATGTCCCTTAGTAACTCCAGCATAGCTGCCTTTTTACTTTTCCAATTCAGCAATAACACAGATCACTATTTTATTTGGAAAATAAATAAAATAAAATAAATACCAGATAGAGTAATTGGTTTGTGTGTCAAGACAATTATTTTACCCAATATATATAATTTTAACACTTCCATTTTTAAGGAGGCATTCAATTTTGGCAGCTGGAGGAAGGAAGAGTAGAATCAGGTGCCTGACGCTTATTCATGCTGCGCACACACACATAGAAAGTTCTACCTTCTCTGTACCCCTGCTGCCACTCCTCACCCCAATGCTGGAAATCAAGTAGGAAGAAGCAAAGCAGAGGTATGATCCTAGGTGGGTGGATTTTGGGGTGCACTTTTTTACCCACCCTAACACTGCTTTCCTCAGTGTATTCATTTGTTTTCATGCTGCTGATAAAGACATACCTGAGGCTGGGTAATTTTTAAAGGAAAAGAGGTTTACAGGACTCACAGTTCCACATGGCTGGGGAGGCCTCACAATCATGGCAGAAGGTGAAAGGCACGTCTTACATGGGTCAGGCACAGAGAGAATGAGGGAACCAAGAGAAAGGGGTTTCCCCTTATAAAACCATCAGATCTCATGAGACTTATTCACTACCACAAAAACAGTATGGGGAAAACTGCCCCTGTGATTTAATTATCTCCCACCCGGTCCTTCCCACAACACATGGGAATTATGGGAGTTACAATTCAAGATGAGCTTTGGTTGGGGACACAGTCAAACCATATTACTCAGTATGATTGACTTTATATCATGGGTTCCCTTTTCTAGGGATCTTTAATTTCTGTGTGAGCAATCCCTTCCTCTTTTCAGGCTGAAGGACCAGATGAATAACCAAGGTCCTCTTTTGACAATGATACAATGTCTCAGGACTGAGTAAAGACCTCAGAATATCCTTGCCTCATTGTGTCATCATTTATAACAGATTTGGGTATATGTTCCCACATTACTCAAAAAACACACCTCTTTGAATAGAAGCTAAAATGCCTTTTTAAGTTCATTCATTTGGTCATTTATCTATTCATAAAACATATATATTATATTCTCTATGTGTACTGGAAACCTTGCTTATATTTGAAACCTATCAAAGTCAAATGCAAGGGCTTTAAAAACATCACATAAAACTATGCAGAGTTATTGATGAAGAAAAGAAGGAAGGAAAAGTGGAAGAAATAAGAAAGAAAAGTACTATTGATTTATCCCCATGGAAAACATGATTGCTATCAAGTTAAAACCCAGGAACATGATGTTCAGAAGAGTCCACGGGTTTACCCAACATCAGACAGCTACTAAATTGCAGGGCCAGGATTCTAATTGCAGGTTTCATGAAGACTCGTCACAGGCAACAATTTTTGATCACAGCCAAGTTCAAGGTGAAACCGGAAGAAGTTAATTAAAAAAAAAAAAAAAGCAGAAGTGCAAAAGGGTAGGCATGTGTTCCCTCTGAGGCCTGGGAGAATTTTCAGGGACAGAGTATTGTTGATATTAAACAAATTCCCCTGCTCTGCCACTTCCAGAACTCTTGGCCTTAACCACTCTGCCTTGCCAGCCTAGCACCTAGTGAGAATATGGCTGGAAGATAGCAGACATCACAGCCAGTTACTGGTCTTCTTAACCATCTGTACTTCACCAAAATCTCATGGATCTTGTTCTTTGGCAAGAACCTTTGGCATCTCTGAGAAGTGATTATTCTGTTTGACATAATTCCTGAGCAATTCACTTAGAATATTGATACAGGTGGTTTCCAAAGAGAGTTGCCAACAACTCTTCCCTTCCCTATACTTGCCTGCCATTCCTCCCTTCAGAAGTGGAATGTATTTTCCTTTCCATTGAATCTGACCCAGCCTGACCTGCTTTGACTAATAGAATGCAGCAGAGGGGACACGATGCCAATTTGGGGCCTAACCCTACAGAGGGCTGGTGGTTTCCACTCTCTTGGAACTCTATGACGTCATGTAAAGTGGATTCACCATACTGCAGGAGAAACCACATGGGGAGGGCAAGCTACCTGCAGCAGAAAGAAGCCCTCACCTGAGAGCCAGTTTCAAGCCCCCAGGTGTGTGAAACCATCTTTACATTCCTGGCAAGCCCAACACCAGCTGAACATAAACCCATGAGTGACCCAGCTGACACTATACAGAGCTAAATTAACCATTGCAAAGAGAAAATAAAAAATGAGACAGAATAAATCATGGGTGTTATCTTAAGACACTAAATGTTGGGGTAGTTTATTACCAAATTATAAGCATCTAAATCAGTATATTTTGTTCAATATCTCAGAACAGTAAAACAAAATTCACTGGTACATATTATGAAATGATAGCATAGCTCTCAGCCATTAACTGCTCCTCAAATGTGACCAGAGACACTGAAACCCTTTCTTATTTAAAATGCATATTCATGTGAAATGAAAACCCATCTTTTCTTCTTAAATTTGAATACTGATACAATTTGTTTGAAGATAACCTAGTTCAAGTCATACATTTTCCTGAGAGAACTGCCAACCAAACCTCCAGATACCCAAACTAAAATTAATATATTACCCATTTTTTGTTTCCAAAACACATTATGGTATGAGACTGTGGTGGAAATTAAATAGGACTTGGAGTTATGAGTCCCAGCTGCATTTTTTACTGTTAGTGTAAACTTTGGAAAATTACTTAATCTTGCAGATTCTTTGCTTCCTCATTTGTTAAAAGAACATAATAAGAACAATGTAATATTAGATGTCCTGGTCTCCTTACAACTTTATCATGAGGGTCAAATAAGAAAATGTAAGAAATAAAACATTTTAAGCTGTAAGATGCTTATAAATGAAAAATACTCAACAGATCTTCCTTTATACTGCTGATAGTAAAACATCACAAACATTTCTTAGTGCAATTATGATTTTAAAATATTATGGGTAATATAAATCATCTCTAGTGGCAGCTTAAGTGTGGTTCTATAAATACACAGCCAAGGGGATTTGATGATACCCAATCGAATCACAGATAATCAAGTGTGATTTCACCTAAGGAAAGTGAAATCTAACTATTCGCATTGACTCCTTCTGTATGGTCAGAACAAGGAGTTCTCTCTCTGGAGGCTGGACTCAAAAAGAATCTACGAGCAAAATCAAGAAAGCATAACATGAAATATCTTCAGTTCAAGAGAAACTTAAGGAACTGACAAGACCATTCCTACCTCTTGAAGTTACCATACTCTATCAGGTCTATTATGCACATTTTTGTTTTAACATTTAACATCTCCTAAATTTAGATGCATCCGAAGCGAGGGAGTTCTAACATTACTGTCAGCAAGATGGTAATCATGTTGTCATGGTCATGGTCACTGTGCACTCATGAGCTTGGCCATAGCTGTTCACGTTGTTTTCACTGCTGTCTAAAACACTATAAAGGAGCTCTTTCAATAAGTTTAATACAAAAATGTGAAGTGATAAGGAAGCATTGTTTGATCGTGTAAAGAGAGTATTTTCTCCCTCCTCCCTCTCTTCTTCCTCTTCTTCCTCCTGCTTCTCCATGGTGCATAAAATGATGGTGTTTTTTGCACTTTGTGGTACCCTAGGTAAGATGAAATGCAGTAGACCTACCGAGGAAATGTAACTGAATTACTCTAAGTTTTAAGACTTTCACCCCTTCCTCAACCTCTTTCCAGATTCATGAAACATATTCTAATTGTCATTTAGCTTCCCAAATACCTGTCACTAAAGAGAGACTAGAAAACATTAGTCATGAGTGTCCTCATATGGGTATTTCTCATGGTAAACCAACGATATGGAATCTGGGTTTCTGCTTCCATTGCCTACAGGTTTGATTGATCAGCAGGGTTGAGAAGCTGAGTCTGATCACTAAAGGGCACTTTGGCAAAATACAATCTCTCAACTTGAGACTTTGTGGAGAAGATGCCAAACCACGGTGATCTCATCGCATTTCTGTCCATTTGTAAGGCTCTGTCTGGCAGCCAGCCTGGTTCCCATGGGGCATGGCTGTTCTTTCTCTCTTGTGGCCTTTACACCACTGTCTGAGTGCTCAGTGCCGCTCAGTGAATCTCCCACACCTGTCAATCCTGGGCTTCCCCAGGAGGTCTGACCCCACCAGGACTTCACTTCCCAGGTTCTCATTCAGCTGACTCAGTGTGGGTTGGGTCAACATGAGGCAATGGCAAGAGACACAGAAGGATGAGTAGTAGGATATGCTGGAACATTTGTCTCCTACTCTCTCTGCCTCAAAAGGTGTCAGGAAGCAGCTCACTCTCCAGCTTCACCCTCACATTGCCTGGCCTGGGAAGCTCAAGCTGATGGCAGTTGGTGCCAGGTGACCCTCAGCTCATGGGATCTGGTTACACCACCCTCCTCTTCATTCTCCCCGCCAAGGCATGGAAGCAGTTCCTTGAGCTTCCCAATTTCTATATTGCCTCTCTGTGCCTCTGGTCAGCCTCTCCACCTTCTATCCCTAAATAGTCAACTTCCTATAAGACTCCAAAGGATTTGTTACTCTAGGTGGACTGTGACTGCTGTATACAGGCCTATATCCCCATGTGATCCTGAGGGGCTGGAAGTCAAGGACTTCACCTTAGCGTCTTTGTTCACATGCATTAGAGGGGGTACTTGGATAATCGTCAGACTGAGTTGAAAATACATTATGTGAGATCTAAACTGACAAAGCTGACAATCTATGTAGTGGTTGTTCATTTTAAACAGAGATCTTTGTGGTTGTAGTTAAACTAAGATTTGATTTTTTAAAAATCACATATTCAGGGCATTTCCAGGAGCACAGGAAACTGCGGCATCATTTCCTTTGAAATGATAACTGAACTTTAACTAGACACCTAGGAATCACCTTAGAGAGAGGACTTGTAGTCCTCACCACTAAATTCTGTGGTTGGGTAGCGCTGGTTCCATTACACAGATGGGGAAATTGGGGTTCTGAGACATTCAGTAACTACTCCAAATTCACACTCTTAGCATGTAACTAAGTCAATATGAAATTCAATAATTCAAAAACTTTAAGAAAAATAAGAATTAACTCTTCATTAAAAATGGGAAATCTGGCCGGGTGCGGTGACCCACGCCTGTAATTCCAACACTGGGAGGCCGAGGAGGGTGGATCACCTGAGGTCAAGAGTTAGAGACCAGCCTTGTCAACATGGTGAAACCCCATCTCTACTAAAAATAAAAATAAAAATAAAAATAAATTAGCCAGGCATGGTGGTGCGCACATGTAGTCCCAGCTATTTGGGGCTGAGGCAGGAGAATCGCTTGAACCCGGGAGGCGGAGGCTGCAGTGAGCCGAGATTGCACCACTGCACTCCAGCCTGGGTGACAAAGTGAGACTCTGTCTCAAAAAAAAAAAAAAAAAAAAAAAGAGAAGTCCAGGGCTTGTATCCAGAGAGTCTAATTTAGCAGGTCAGATGGTTTGCTTCATTTATAATATTCATGATATAAACATTTATATATTACACTCCACTCACCCCATCTGCCTTGATTCTGATGCAACTGATTCCTCACTTACACTTTGAGAAATACTGCATTAGAATTTAAGGAAAATGTATCTGTGTCAAATTAGTTCAATGATACATCCCCAGATCCTAGCTAAGTCCCTGGTACTTAGCCAATGATCAATAAATAATTGTAAAATTAATAAATGAATGAGTGAATGACATTTCTGTTTGAATTCAAATCCTGAACATTTCTATTTCTAGCTCTTATTTTAAACATTGTGCCAAAGCTTATTCATTAACTCATTTAACAAACATTCGCTTAACTTTTACCATATGCCTGGTCAGTGCTAGATACTGGGAAATATCCAGATATTCATCTAATATTCAAGACACAGCCTCCATCCTTCAAAGAGTTCTAATTATTGTAATACAAAAGAAACCAAGCAAGTAAGGACAATGGAGATCTATAATAAAAGTATGAAAGAGTTATTATTACAGATTACAATTCAGGTAAATTAGAGTTACAAAGAAGAGAACAACAAATTTTACCCTGAAGGAGGAAATTAGACAAGGATTCTGCAGAAGAGCTAATGCCTGAGATATATCTTGGAAGACAGACAGGTATTTGTCAGTCACCTGAGGGGCAGATGGGTGGGGGCAGCCTTGCCACATAAAAGTAGAGTTTAACAGGCTCTTGGAGGTGAAATTGTACTAGCAGGATGCTGGCTCCAGGTGTGAATCTTACATATGGAAATATACGACTCTAAAATAAAACTCTCCACATAGTACAAATAAGAAAAGGACTCCCACGTCACCAGTTTTGGGTGGGAAGGAGAAGAATTGCTCTGTTATAAACTATCATCTTTCTTCTTTCTGATGAAAAATTTATAAAATATATAAAATTTATATATATTTATATTATATATAATATAAATATATATATTTATAAATATATATAATATATAAAAAATTTATAAAAATATTTTTTAAAATTATATTTTTTAAATATAAATATACACTTAAAGGAGAAAGAATGTGTGTCCTTTGTCTACTTTCAACCTTTAACAAGCAAGTGATTTAAGTTCAGTTTCTAAGGGGCATCTAGGCTCAAAGACAGGGCTCTTAAAAAACACAGTCACTTAGTTTTCCAAGGAACTGGGAAGCAAGGGTTGGAGGAGGAACAAGATTCTTGGTGCAACTTTCCAATATGTGGTTCTAGGACTCTGCTTTAATGCAAACCCAAATGCTTAACAAGTGAAGGTCATTTTGTCCTCAATTCATTTTTGAAATTATTTTATTTTATAGCTGAGGAAACCGAAGCTTAGAGAGGCAAAATGGCTTGTCCAGGACCACCCAGCTAATAAACAGCTTACTACCACCTGTGATGGGACTTGCACTATATGTAATTCTTTTATTTTCCTGCCAGTGCTCTTGATTGAGACTGGGGTATTCAAATAATAATGAAAATATTTACAATGGTAAACCATCTATCACTACAAAGCAATTTAGCACTGTCTCATTTCCCTCTGCAAACAACATGAGCTATCCCCAACTTACACCAAAGGTTATTGAAAATGAAATACGCCAGTGATTTGGCAAACCACACAGCTGTGAAAGAGTTGGCCCATTTAACTTAACTCACCTCTTACTCTCTTACTTTAGCTTGAAATCTCCATATTTGGAAGGAATCCATTTGTTTCTGGATTGTTCTTGTTTCCCCAGACTCATTTTTAAAGTGTAACTATTTAATATGGAAAACCATTAATATTCACTCTCCAGTTAAGAAAAAAAGGAAGGAACTTTGGATGGATTAAATAGTAGTTCAACTGTTATCCAAGACCCAATTTTCTTATCTTAATTAGTAAGCAAGCCACTAAACCACGCCAGATTTGACTTTGGTTGAGCAACAAGGATGTCTAAAATGGTCCCAACATTCAATGTTCAAAATATTTGCAGCAACATTTTTCTATAAGCATTGGTATTATTCTTTGGTTTTATCACATTTGACATAATTATACCTTGTAAATACCTCAAATTTGTAATGACATCCTTTCAAGAATTATTACTAATTATTATACTTGACATGACAAATTAAACATGTTGTTTGACGTAATTGCCCTAAATAATTCAAAATGCTAAGTATGCTTAGAAATAGCAATTAGCATAATTAGGTGAAAAAACCAAACTACAGTCAATTTCAATACCAATTCACTATCACAAGTTAGAATTTTCCAGAAGATTTTAATAATTATTGGGTGACGTGACTTAGAAAATCATTTTGTTAATTAAGAATGATGAAACATTATCAATGGTTTTATAAGTCCTGAAATAAAAGAGTGGAAAGAGCTTCAAGCATAAAGGGCAAAGTCTTTAGAGTTAACCAGATTTGAGTATGAATCCCACCCTAGCCATTACCAACTGGGTTGGTCTAAGCTTAGAGATGGCACCTTTCTGAGCCTTTTTCCTCTACGAATGGGATAAGAATGTTTGCCTCTAGGCCCGTTGTAAGAATGAACTGATGACATAAAGTGCCAAACAGTGTGTGACACCCTCGAAAGGCTCAATAAATTTAAGCTTCTTGTACTCTTACTCATTAAAGATAAGAACATGTTGGATGTGGAGTTCTAAGCTAGTTGGAGGAAAAAGTTCCAAAGAGGAGCTTTTCAAATAGGGTGTTATAAAGAAAAAAATCAACAATATCTGAAAAGGAAGGGAAATGATCTTCAATTTTTAGGTTTGTGAAGATATGGTGAGGTAATATCTATAAACATATAACCGCTAGAGTGCCTGGCGTGTCATTGACTCTTCATAAATGATAAAATGATTGTTTCTCTTCCCTTTGTCGATGAAAAAGTCAAACTCAAACTCTAGAAAACATTTGAAGAGATTTATTCTGAGCCAAATATGAGCGACCATGGCCTGTGACACAGCCCTCAGGAGATCCTGAGGACATGTGCCCAGAGTGGGTAGGGTGTAGCTTGATTTTATACATTTTAGGGAGTGTCCAGAAGAAAAAAAAACCTAGCTATGGTAATAGAGATTATTTACACATGCAAATTTTCCCCCACAGAGGACAGCTTTGCAAGGCCATTTCAAAATATAGCAAAGAAACATGTTTCGGGGTAAAATATTTTGATTTTCTTCTTTGTCACGTAATGTTATACCAGAGTCGGACTGGAAAGTAAATCACGATATATGGGTTAAATAAAACCCATTTGATGAGAATTTATGATTTGTAGGGCATGATTCCCAGACCCCGTAGATAGGAATTTGGGCAAGATAAAAAAAATGAGGGCTTAGTCCTCGCCTTCTATGAGAATAGATATTTAAACTGAGGCTGAGAGATTTAGTGACTTGTCCCAGGTTCCTAAGTAAGTCGAAGCAGAGCTTGAACCCAAGTCTGAGACCAATGGGGAGCTCTTCCTTTGTATCATCCTGTCCTGTTTTGAAGAGGGTGGTAGGCAGCCCCACTGCCTTCAGTCAAGCTCTTCTTCCCTGTGCTGCTGTGGGCGTGTCCGCCCGCCTAGGTCTTTGGTTCAGCTCACTGTTGCTACTGCTGCTGCTGCTGCATTTCAGAGGTGCAGACATCCTTTCTCTCCCATGAAATGTCAGAGCTGGAGAAGTAGACACCACTTTCATTGGGATCTTGACAACTCTTTCCCTGTTTGTAAAACACTGTGATAAAGTACCTTTTTGTCTACAAGAGACAGCTTAACAGACATCTCATCAGGGAAGGATGACTGTCAAAAGCACTCATTTCTTTTTTAAGGTAAAAAGACACAGAAGACAGAATGTTATTATGATGTAAATGAGCTGACTGGCAGGAACTCCTTCCCCAGGGAGTCTGGGGAAGGGCTTGACTACACAGTTTCCAGGTCTAGGCAGCAGGATTGGGTCTTAGATCTGCTCTCAGGAGATCAGTCAACCTAGTGATTATGGGCTGAACCACTCAGCCTACCTGAGTTCAGGCACCAATGAGATTATGGACGGGACCATTCAGCCTACCTTGAACTCAGGCACCAGTGAGTTTCTGCAGCCAGGGTAAGAGAAGAGCGAACCAACATGAGTGCATATTTTTAGACCTATAACTGACTTGCAAGTAACTTTGCTAAACATAATGTCTGGGACAGGGAGGAAGTAAGGTATATACTGTTGAAAAAGCACATTTCCTTACAGGTTTATCCTGAGGACATGGACATGTGGAACATGGTATAGAATAAGAAAAAGAAGAAATGACATAGAAGTTAAAGAAAATAGATGGTGATTTCACCCATCCTTGATTACATGAATCTACCATGTGTCTTTTACTCTCCACTGACAGAGACGCAAGTGTGTGTGTGTGTGTGTGTGTGTGTGTGTGTGTGTGTGTACACCTGCATATGAGAATGTGGTTACTGTCCCAGGTTTTAAGGAACATGATGGACTAGGGAGAAACCAATTTTAGAGACACCTGCCTCTGCCCCAACTAGCTGAGTGACCTTGGGAAGATTTCTTAACTTCTCTGAGTCTGGAATTACTCAAATATAAAATGGATGGGAGTATGTGAAACCACCTTTGCAAAAATCATAACTGAGAAAATTATGAAAGTGGAAGATAACAGACCTAACTGACCCCAGCTTACTTCTAACCTCTAAACTGTCCTTGTTCCTTCCTGGGCATAGGCTGAACTAGCTTTTGGAAGGAATTTAGTGTATAGTTATATAACAGCCCTTTGCAAAAGCCTAAACTGCTCTTGTAAAACAAAAGAAAGGCTACTGTCAGGCCTCTGAGCCCAAGCCAAGCCATCACATCCCCTGTGACTTGCACCTATACGCCCAGATGGCCTGAAGTAACTGAAGAATCACAAAAGAAGTGAATATGCCCTGCCCCACCTTAACTGATGACATTCCACCACAAAAGAAGGGTAAATGGCCAGTCCTTGCCTTAAGTGATGACATTACCTTGTGAAAGTCCTTTTCCTAGCTCATCCTGGCTCAAAAAGCACCCCCACTGAGCACCTTGCCACCCCCACTCCTGCCCGCCAGAGAACAAACCTCCTTTGACTGTAATTTTCCTTTACCTCCCCAAATCCTATAAAACGGCCCCACCCTTATCTCCCTTCACTGACTCTCTTTTCGGACTCAGCCCACCTGCACTCAGGTGAAATAAACAGCCATGTTGCTCACACAAAGCCTGTTTGGTGGTCTCTTCACACGGATGCTCATGAAATTTGGTGCTGTGACTCAGATCGGGGGACCTCCCCCGTACTCCTACTCTTTGCTCCGTGAGAAAGATCCACCTATGACCTCAGGTCCTCAAACCGACCAGCCCAAGAAACATCTCACCAATTTCAAATCCAGTAAGCGGCCTCTTTTTACTCTCTTCTCCAACCTCCCTCACTATCCCTCAACCTCTTTCTCCTTTCAATCTTGGCGCCACACTTCAATCTCTCCCTTCTCTTAATTTCAATTCCTTTCATTTTCTGGTAGAGAGAAAGGAGACACATTTTATCCGTGGACCCAAAACTCCGGCGCCGGTCACAGACTGGGAAGGCAGCCTTCCCTTGGTGTTTAATCATTGCAGGGATGCCTTTCTGATTATACACCCACATTTCAAGGGTGTCAGACCATGCAGGGACACCTGCCTTGGTCCTTCACCCTTAGCGGCAAGTCCTGCTTTTCTGGGGAAGGGGCAAGTACCCCAATGCCTTCTCTCCTTGTCTCTACCCCTTCTCTGCTTTTCCGGGGACAGGGCAAGTACCCCAAGCCCTTCTCTCCTTGTCTCTACCCCTTCTCTGCTTTTCTGGGGGAGGGGCAAGTACCCCTCAACCCCTTCTCCTTCACCCTTAGCGGCAAGTCCCGCTTTTTTGGGAGAGGGGGCAAGTACCCCTCAACCCCTTCTCCTTCACTCTTAGTGGCAAGTTCCACTTTTCTAGAGGCGCAAGTACCCCAACCTCATATCTCTGTGCCCCAATCCCTTATTTCCACGCCCCAACCTCTTATATCTCTGCACCTCAATCCCTTATTTCCGTGCCCCAACCTCGTATCTCTGCACCCCAATCCCTTATTTCTGTGCCCCATCCCTTATTTCCATGCCCCAACCTCTTATCTCTGCACCCCAACCCCTTTTCCAACTTTTCTGGAAGGTAAGAACCCCTGAACCCCTTCCCTCCATTTCTCTACTCTCTCTTTTCTCTAGGCTTGCTTTCTTCACTATGGGAACCTTCCACCCTCCATTCCTCCTTCTACTCCCTTGGCCTGTGTTCTCAAAAACTTAAAACCTCTTCAACTCACACCTGACCTAAAACCTAAATGCCTTATTTTCTTCTGCAATGCCGCTTGACCCCAATACAAACTCAACAGTAGTTCCAAATAGCCAGAAAATGGCACTTTGAATTTTTCCATCCTGCAAGATCTAAATAATTCTTGTTGTAAAATAGGCAAACGGTCTGAGATGCCTGACGTCCAGGCATTCTTTTACACATCAGTCCCTTCCTAGTCTCTGTGCCCAGTGCAACCCGTCCCAAATCTTCCTTCTTTCCCTCCTTCCTGTCCCCTCAGTCACAACCCCAAGCATCGCTGAGTCTTTCTAATCTTCCTTTTCTACAGACCCATCTGACTTCTACCCTCCTTGCCAGGCCAAGCTAGGTCCCAATTCTTCCTCAGCCTCTGCTCCTCCACCCTATAATCTTTTTATCACCTCTCCTCCTCACACCTGGTCCAACTTACAGTTTCGTTCTGTGACTAGCCCTCCCCCACCTGCCCAGCAATTTACTCTTAAAAAGGTGGCTGGAGCTAAAGGCATAGTCAAGGTTAATGCTCCTTTTTCTTTATCCCAAATCAGAAGCGTTTAGGCTCTTTTTCATCAAATATAAAAATCCAGCCCAGTTCATGACTTGTTTGGCAGCAACCCTGAGACACTTTACAGCCCTAGACCCTAAAAGGTGAAAAGGCCGTCTTATTCTCAAAATACATTTTATTACCCGATCTGCTCCCGACATTAAATAAAACTCCAAAAATTAAATTCTGGCCCCCAAACCCAACAACAGGATTTAATTAACCTCGCCTTCAAGGTGTACAATAATAGAAAAAAGTTGCAACTCCTTGCCTTCACTGTGAGACAAACCCCAGCCACATTTCCAGCACACAAGAACTTCCAAATGCCTGAACCGCAGCGGCCAGGCATTCCTCCAGAACCTCCTCCCACAGGAGCTTGCTACACATGCCAGAAATCTGGCCACTGGGCCAAGGAATGCCCGCAGCCCGGGATTCCTCCTAAGCTGCGTCCCATCTGTGTGGGACCCCACTGAAAATTGGACTGTTCAACTCACCTGGCAGCCACTCCCAGAGCCCCTGGAACTCTGGCCCAAGGCTGTCTGACTCCTTCCCAGATCTTCTCAGCTTAGCGGCTGAAGACTGACACTGCCCGATTGCCTTGGAAGCCCCCTAGACCATCATGGACACCGAGCTTTGGGTAACTCTCACAGTGGAAGGTAAGCCCATCCCCTTCTTAATCAATACGGAGGCTACCCACTCCACATTACCTTCTTTTCAAGGGCCTGTTTCCCTTGCCTCCATAACTGTTGTGGGTATTGACGGCCAGGCTTCTAAACCTCTTAAAACTCCCCAACTCTGGTGCCAACTTAGACAATACTCTTTTAAGCACTCCTTTTTAGTTATCCCCACCTGCCCAGTTCCCTTATTAGGCTGAGACACTTTAACTAAATTATCTGCTTCCCGGACTATTCCTGGACTACAGCTATATCTCATTGCCTCCCTTCTTCCCAATCCAAAGCCTCCTTTGCGTCCTCCTCTTGTATCTCTCCACCTTAACCCACAAGTATAAGATACCTCTACTCCCTCCTTGGCAACCGATCATGTACCCCTTACCATCTCATTAAAACCTAATCACCCTTACCCCACTCAATGCCAATATCCCATCCCAAAGCACGCTTTAAAAAGATTAAAGCCTGTTACCACTCGCCTGCTACAGCATGGCCTTTTAAAGCCTATAAACTCTCCTTACAATTCCCCCATTTTACCTGTCCTAAAACCAGACAAGCCTTACAAGTTAGTTCAGGATCTGCGCCTTATCAACCAAATTGTTTTGCCTATCCACCCCGTAGTGCCAAACCCATATACTCTCCTATCCTCAATACCTCCCTCCACAACCCATTATTCTGTTCTAGATCTCAAACATGCTTTCTTTACTATTCCTTTGCACCCTTCATCCCAGCCTCTCTTCGCTTTCACTTGGACTGACCCTGACACCCATCAAGCTGAGCAAATTACCTAGGCTGTACTGCCGCAAAGCTTCACAGACAGCCCCCATTACTTCAATCAAGCCCAAATTTCTTCCTCATCTGTTACCTATCTCGGCATAATTATCATAAAAACACACGTGCTCTCCCTGCCAATCGTGTCCAACTGATCTCTCAAACCCAAGCACCTTCTACAAAACAACAACTCCTTTCCTTCCTAGGCAAGGTTAGCACGGTCAGAATTCTTACACAAGAGCCAGGACCACACCCTGTAGCCTTTCTGTCCAAACAACTTGACCTTACTATTTTAGCCTAGCCCTCATGTCTGTGTGCAGCAGCTGCCGCTGCTTTAATATTTTAGAGGCCCTCAAAATCACAAACTGTGCTCTACTCACTCTCTACAGTTCTCATAACTTCCAAAGTCTATTTTCTTCCTCATACCTGACGCATATACTTTCTGCTTCCCGGCTCCTTCAGCTGTACTCACTCTTTGTTGAGTCTCCCACAATTACCATTGTTCCTGGCCCAGACTTCAATCTGGCCTCCCACATTATTCCTGATACCACACCTGACCCCCATGACTGTATCTCTCTGATCCACCTGACATTCACATTTCCCCAAATTTCCTTTTTTCCTGTTCCTCACCCTGATCACGCTTGATTTATTGATGGCGGTTCCACCAGGCCTAATCGCCATACACCAGCAAAGGCAGGTTATGCTATAGTACAAGCCACTAGCCCACCTCTTAGAACCTCTCATTTCCTTTCCATCGTGGAAATCTATCCTCAAGAAAATAACTTCTCAGTGTTCCATCTTCTATTCTACTACTCCTCAGGGATTATTCAGGCCCCCTCCCTTCCATACACATCAAGCTCGAGGATTTGCCCCACCCAAGCCTGGCAAATTAGCTTTACTCAACATGTCCTGAGTCAGATAACTAAAATACCTCTTATCTAGGTAGACACTTTCACTGGATAGGTACAGGCCTTTCCTACAGGGTCTGAGAAGGCCACCGCAGTCATTTCTTCCATTCTGTTAGACATAATTCCTCAGTTTAGGCTTCCCACCTCAATACAGTCTGATAACAGATGAGCCTTTATTAGTCAAATCAGCCAAGCAGTTTTTCAGGCTCTTAGTATTCAGTGAAACCTTTACATCCCTTATGGTCCTCCATCTTCAAGAAAAGTAGAATGGACTAAAGGTCTTTTAAAAACATACCTCACCAAGCTCAGCCACCAACTTAAAAGGGACTGGACAATACTTTTACCACTTTCCCTTCTCAGAATGCAGGCCTGTCCTCAGAATGCTACAGGGTACAGCCCATCTGAGCTCCTGTACAGACGCTCCTTTTTATTAGGTCCCAGTCTCATTCCAGACACCAGACCAACTTAGACTGTGCCCCAAAAAAACTTGTCATCCCTCCTATCTTCTGTGTAGTCATACTCCTATTCACCATTCTCAACTACTCATACAGGCCCTGCTCTTGTTTACAGTGCTGGTTTACACTGTTTTTCTAAGCCATCACAGCTGATATCTCCTGGTGCTATCCCCAAACTGCCACTCTTAACTCTTGAAGTAAATAAATGATCTTTGCTGGCAGGACTACGCTGAATCTCCTTGGGCACTCTCTAATCAGATATCCTGAGTCATCCCAATTCTTAGACCTTTTATACCTGTTTTTCTCCTTCTGTTATTCCATTTAGTTTCTCAATTCATCCAAAACCGTATCCAGGCCATCACCAATCATTCTATACGACAAATGTTTCTTCTAACATCCCCACAATATCACCCCTTACCACAAGACCTCCCTTCAGCTTAATCTCTCCCACTCTAGGTTCCCACGCCACCCCTAATCCCGCTTGAAGCAGCCCTGAGAAACATCGCCCATTCTCTCTCCATACCACCCCCCAAAAATTTTCACCGCCCCAACACTTCAACACTATTTTGTTTTATTTTTCTTATTAATATAAGAAGGCAGGAATGTCAGGCCTCTGAGCCCAAGCCAAGCCATCGCATCCCCTGTGACTTTCACATATATGCCCAGATGGCCTGAAGTAACTGAAGAATCACAAAAGAAGTGAATATGCCCTGCCCCACCTTAACTGATGACATTCCACCACAAAAGAAGGGTAAATGGCCAGTCCTTGCCTTAAGTGATGACACTTGGTATTACCTTGTGAAAGTCCTTTTCCTAGCTCATCCTGGCTCAAAAAGCACCCCCACTGAGCACCTTGCCACACCCACTCCTGCCCGCCAGAGAACAAACCCCCTTTGACTGTAATTTTCCTTTACCTCCCCAAATCCTATAAAACGGCCCCACCCCTATTTCCCTTCCCTGACTCTCTTTTCGGACTCAGCCCGCCTGCACCCAGGTGAAATAAACAGCCATGTTACTCACACAAAGCCTGTTTGGTGGTCTCTTCACACAGACGCGCATGAAAGCTACCAGCCACCAAGTCAAGATGAGAGGGACTGGAATTCTAAATATTACCAGCCTTTATTCCAGAGGTCATAAGATTTGCAACTTCCTCAATTACTCTTGAAGATAACATCACTATTGGGAACCTAAGATCGGCCTTTTGAGATGTCTTTTCAGGTTTTTGCATTTCTAACAACCGGATGGCCCCATCTGGACTTGCCAACCAGTTCTGTGGCCACCACCCAGGAACTAACTCAGCAGAAGAGAACCACTTCTATTCCCTATGAGTTCATCCCTGAGCTAACCAATCACCACTCCTAATTCACCAGCCCCCTACTCACCAAATTATCCTAAAAAGCTCTGATTCCCAGGTTTTCAGAGAGACTGATTTAAGTAATAGTAAAACTCCAGTCTCCCACACAGCTGGCTCTGGGTGATTACTCTCTGTCTATTGCAGTTCCCCTGTCTTGATAAATCGGCTCTGTCTAGGCAGTGGGCAAGGTGAACCCCTTGGGCAGTTTCCTATGGGGAATGGTGCCTATAGCACAGAGTTGTGAGAATCAGGCGGGAAGGGGTTCTGTCCCTGCTCCTCAGATGTCCTTGACGTGTTCTCACTGCAATGCCTTTCTGCAGCCTCATTTTGGCTCCATGCTTCTTCTTAGGCTCCATCGTCTCTTCAACCATCCAGGGAGTGCACTTGGTATTTATTTTTCATCCATTTCAAATGTATAAAGTTTTCACCTTTTTGGGCTTATATACACACTACATAAAATATCCCAGTTACAGAAATATTCAAAATGGAATGTAGAACTTGGAGCCATGAAACCTAGGTTTGAGTCTGGCTTGGCCAGTTGCATGGAGGATAACTGTGAAGATGTTACAGGAAAGGGGTTCCAATCCAGATCCCAAGAGAGGGTTCTTGGATCTCGCACAAGAAAAAATTCAGGGCGAGTCCATAGAGTAAAGTGAAAGCAAGTTTATGAAGAAAGTAAAAGAATAAGAGAATGGCTACTCCATAGACAGAGCAGCCCCAAGGATTGATGGTTGCCCATTTTTATGGCTATTTCTTGGTGATATGCTAAACAACAGGCAGATTATTCATGCCTCCCCTTTTTTGACCATATAGGGTAACTTCCTAACGTTGCCATGGAATTGGTAAACTGTCATGGCGCTGGTGGGAGTGTAGCAGTCAGGACGACCAAAAGTCACTCTCATCGCCATCTTGGTTTTGATGGGTTTTGGCTGGCTTCTTTACTGCAACCTGTTTTATCAGCAAGGTCTTTATGACCTGTATCTTGTGCTGACCTCCTATCTCATCCTGTGACTTAGAATATCTTAACCACCTGGGAATGCAGCCTGGTAGATCTTAGCCTCATTTTACCCAGACACTACTGAAGCTGGAGTTGCTCTGGTTCAAATACCTCTGACAGAAATGTCACTAAACTTTGCAAGGACATCAGGGCATGAAAATCACAGACAGGAGACCACCACATGAGTGTAGCTGAGAACTAAAGCGAAGCCAGGAAATGGAGAAAAAAATGACAGATGCAAAAAAAGAAAAAAAAGAAATCTAAAAAAAAAGCAGACAAGGCTAGTCACCTGACCAATTATGGGGCCTGGACCTGGGACAGTGGGAGAAGTCATATTTGTCTGGCAGGCCTGCATGAACAAAGATAGCAAGGAGAGAAAGACAGACAATAGGATGAGGAAAACGTCTGGGGAGACAGATTGAGTTTTGCATTAGACATCCTGAGTCTCAATGCAGTGGGGGTGTTCAGTGCAATTAGCCCTTCAGGCTGGCTCAGCATTAGGGATATAAATGCTGATCATTTTCCAGGAGAGGCAGTGGTTTGGTTGAGTTCTCCACAGAACAGATAGGGTTAAAAAAAAGGGAGCCCAGAGTTCTAGAATCCATTGCAATGAGATGCGGGAGATAGAGCCAGTGATATATTCACAGAAGCAGGACTAGAGAAATAGAAAGTAACCAGAGTTCTGTATTTCCCCAAAGCCTCAGGGCCAAAGTAGAAAAACAAAGGAGGGGACATAGGAGGGAAAAGTTAGTAGAGAGAAACAGTGTTCAAAGAAACAGAAATTTGAAGAAATAGAGATGAAGGAAAGGCACCTGATCAGTCCTGATCATCTCTAAAGGGCTCTCTCTTCTGCCCTAGTCCTTCACAGCAGGGCTGTCAGGTAAGCTCTCCACTCCCGCATCAGTAAGGACAGCTCCCATAGGCTCTGTGTACAAGGTTTTTTGGTAAGACTTTATCCTTTAAATTTTAAAGGTACCGGTCTCTGTCCTAGGAGTTGGGGACCCCTGCTTTTAAAGGATGCCTTTACCTGATGATAAAAAGTAGAACATTTAAGTAGAAATGAGTAGGCATTTACTGAGGCAACTACTCAGTATCTATTATACTACCCTGATCAAATTCCCATATAAACGTATGGATAACTCACTATTTTCTCCTCCCACACTCATTCTGTCCTGGTTTCTAAACTCCAGTGTAGGTGGTGCCTCCAGCTTCCTCCAGTGATTTGCCTCCTGGCATTTGGTGGCATGGTTCTCCTTCATGGCTCCCAACACAGTGCTCCAGCTCCTGGGCCCCACCTCTAGGTCTGATCATGGAAGAGGAAAGATCTACATCAGTATTGTTTCAATTTAATGAAGAATCTCAGAACAGGAAGTTTAGGAATGAGTGTGAAATGATGTTCGGAGTACGTCTTCATTGCTTTGCTTGGGACAAAATGGCAAGGAGACAGTATGTGGGGCAGGCAGGAATGGCAAAATTAAGAGAAATGCTGATTTATTTTGACTTGTCATTTCCAGATTGGAGGAAACAAGCACATGTTACAAGGTCAAAATAAAGCTGTCAGAGAAAATAAAGAGGTGAAATGAGTTAGAGAGAGATCCTGGAACACAGTGAGCAAACAGAATGCATGAGACCATCAGCAAGAGGGAGGTCTTAAAGAAGAAACTTTGGCCGGGTGTAGTGTCTCATGCCTGTAATCCCAGCACTTTGGGAGGCTGAGGCAGTTGGATCACGAGGTCAGGAGATTGAGACCATCCTGGCAACATGGTGAAACCTCATCTCTACTAAAAATACAAAAATTCACTGGGCATGGTGGCACATGCCTGTAGTCCTAGCTACTCGGGAGGCTGAGGCAGGAGAATCGCTTGAACCTGGGAGGCAGAGGTTGCAGTGAGCCGAGATCATGCCACTGCACTCCAGCCTGGCGACAGAGTGAGACTCCGTCAAAACAAAAAAACAAAAACCAAAACAACAACAACAACAAAAAAGAAGAAACTTCACCTTGCAGAAAGTAACAGATGCTAATTTATCATTTAGAGATTGCTAAAAGGAGAAGAGGAGAATGAGAATGGAGAGAAAATTGTTTGGATGTGGGAGGGCATTAGATTCCTTCAATCTCAGCCTCAAAAATAGCCTGAGAATCTTTATATCAAATAAAGCAGAAACAAGAAAGAGAGAAGGGAGGGAATAAGGTAGAAAGTTTGTTGAACACTCAGGATTTATATGCATTTGCATATTTAACTATCATCCTACTAAACCAGGTAGGTTTGCATGACCGGGAGAAGGTAAATAATTGTCCTTGAAGTCAAATGTTAGTTTGCGGTTCAATTAGGACTTGGATGTGGATCTGTCCAAGTCCATAGGTTACATTTCTCCATTTAGTTTTTTTCTCTCTTTTTCTCTACATCTTCCACTCTTGTTTCTCCTGCCATCAACAATTTTTTTTTCAGTGAATTTATATAAGGGCAAATATTCTTCTATGATCTCATGAGCTACCGCCAAGAAAATTTTTCACATTTGCTTACATCTACAAATAAATAAGAACACGATTTTATTTCCTGGAATCAAAAAATTACCTATATATAAATCAAATACTTTTTTTCTCATAGGTTTCCTTTCTCAGTAAAGCCACCGTGTTCTATGGCCAATGATGCTACCTCCTCAGCATTCTCCTTAAATCCAGTCTTGCTGTCTCTCTTCCTCTTCTTCTTGTGGTTCAAAGCCTTATCTTCACTCGCCTGGAAGACCTTTACATATTCCTCCAGCTTTTTCTCTTACCAATCTTCATCTCCCTTACTGTCACCCTATTATCCTACATCACCTTAGACATGTGGATTTATTTCTTATACAAAGAATTTGACTGTATTCTCACATTCATGTTCAGCCTTGCCCCACTTTCTGAATGACCATCTATCTCCCTCCTCCACCCTGGCACACCTCGCTGGCAAACACCTACTCAGCCTTCAATTCCTGCTGAGGAGGCTTTCCTGAGCAATTCTCTTCTGTTCTCCCCCCAGTAGAATTGCATTCTATTCTCCACGGAATTCCATCAGAGAAGCTGTAACATATCGTTATACTTATTTGCTTATCTTCTACCCTTACTAACCTGTGAGCACACTGGGAACAGAAGCACCCAATTCATCTTTGCATCCCAGAGCTGGGCACATGTTTGTTGAAAGAATGAATCAGTCAATCATTCAAGGTTGATCAAAAGTAACCTTAACTGAATAACCTCATATTTTTTTCTGGTCTACATTAAACTTGGTCATGCTGGCAATTGGAATTAGAACCTTTGTAAATACAAACCTAAACAAATCACATTTTAAAAGAAACTCCTTTTGGTTTTGTTCTTTTCTTGGATGCTTTCTTCTGCCCATCAGAATTTAGGATGGAAACTTGAATAGGCAATTAGCATGACAGCCCCAGTGATTACTCCCATAAGCTACAGTCCTTAAGTGGTAGAAAATAGAGGCCTTGGGTAGACTTGAGTGTATTTCCTTATTAGGAAATCACAGTGATTTCATGAAAGTCACAAAGGAAATGTTTTTACTGAGAAATAGCATGCTGTAACTAATGAGGAAAGGAAAAAAGTATGTATTTTTAAATCCCACATACTAACACTATGTCTAACAATGAAATTATGTATTCAGGAAATTCTAAGCTTACACTTGGCCCAGTTGAACAGAGAGATATTAATTTATCTGAAGCCCCAGTGTATAAAAAGACATCTGACATGGTCATGGCTTGCAGCACTGTGTCTGTTATCAGTTTCAGGGGCACTTTCCCAGGCATGCCGTCATGGAATCCTCACAATGGGTAGGTGGCTTTCACATGTTTAACAGAAATGGGAATTGAGGCTGTGATTTTTAAAGCAGCTTGTCTGAAAACATGCAGTGGTCAGACCAGAGCCAAGACATGAGCCATGTCTGCCTGCTTGTCACAGCTCCAGAGCTGTACTCCTATGACAGTGTGCAGACCACATATTGTAACTCAAATAAATTAACCTAGAGATTAGTATGAAATTGTTTATATGATTACTAAAATACATGGTAGAAGCTTATTGAGTATCTTTGTTTTTTTTTTGAGATGGAGTCTTGCTCTGTCACTCAGGCTGGAGGGGAGTGGTGTGATTTCAGATCATTGATTGCAACCTCTGCCTCCTGGGTTCAAGCAATTCTTCTGCCTCAGCCTCCCAAGTAGCTGGAATTACAGGCACCCACCACCACTCCTGGCTAATTTTTGTATTTTTAGTAGAGATAGGGTTTCACCATGTTGGTCAAGCTTGTCTCAAACTCCTGACCTCAAGTGATCCACCCGCCTCTGTCCTTGAGTATCTTTGAAACTCTCTTGAATAACCCTTGAAAAATGAATTTTAAATGAAAAAAAAAAGGAGGAAAATAAAGCTTGGGACACAAGCAACTCTGGCTCTAGTCCTGGCTTTGATGACAAATTCACAGTTTGCCCTTGAGTGAGTCATTTTTTCAGGCTTGACCTAAGTCAAATAAGATGTTTGGGCTTTGTAATTTCAAAAGTGCATCTATCTCTGGCTATCTTATGCTATGGGAAAGAAGGCAAGACTAAAGAATAAAATATTCTGGATATCCTTGCAATGACCAATTCTTAAACTGGAAAGAATCCTCAGCAGGGTTGACAGTGGCTGATCAGCACCCATCATCCACCAACATTCACTTTTAAATAAATGAATTAATGAATGAATCAGTTATCCCTTCTTATAATTTTACTTGGGTTCAATTTTTAAGAAATTTATATTCCTGTGCATGTTTTTTACATCTTGTCTATGTCCTGGTGTCGACCAACGTGGACAATGTAAATCAGGATAGCATTAGAACAAAGCAAGAAAGATGTACAGAGGGGAACGGAATTAACAGCACATAATAGTGACATCTCAGCTCAGCCAAGGCAGAAGGGCAATTGTCAGGAAGGCTTTTGTGAATCACTGACTTCGTAAAGTGTTGATTTTTTTTTTTTTTAATTTGAGGTGGAGTCTCGCTCTGTTGCCCATGCTGGTGTGCTGGTGTGCATTGGCGTGATCTCGGCCCACTGCAACCTCAGCCTCCTGGGTTTGAGTGATTCTCCTGCCTCAGCCTCCCGAGCAGCTGGGAGTACAGGCATGCACCATGACACCTGGCTAATTTTTGTATTTTTAGTAGAGACAAGGTTTTGCAATGTTGGCCAGGCTGGTCTCGAATTCCTGACCTCAAGTGATCCACCTGCCTTCCACCTCCCAAAGTGCTGGGATTACAGGCGTGAGCCACCGTGCCCAGAAAATGTTGATATTGTTTATTCGATCCTTTTGTACAAACAGATCTTTTCTTCTTCAAATATTTTCTTACTTTAAGCAGTGAGAACACAAAAATGTCGTGAATGTAACTTTTCTTCTTAACAACTGTAAAGAAGAAGGAAATCCACATGGTCCACAGCTTGTAAAAAGTCTTTAGAACGCCCTTATATAAGCCTTGGTGTCATGTCCAGAATTCTTTTTTCAATACTATATATCCATAGTTTCTATCTATTGGAAAACACCAAGCTCTGTTCATTTCTGTAATGCATACCATTCTGATCTTAGTTATACACTCAACACCTCTCTCTGATCCGAGGTATTGATAGCAACCTCTTGACTCCTATTAACTCAATCGGTATTTAAACAAAATCTGTGGGTTAAGAGCACAACTCAATGCATTCAGGCAACACATTCCAAATGTCAGGTTCTGGGCACTGAAGATACAGTGACAAACACACACAAACTCTTGCCCTGGATGGCTTCTCTTGCTAATAGGGAAGACAAAGATGTAAAACGGCTCTAATAAAAATAAAGTGTATGGCATAGTGAGCTTTACAGGAAGGGCCACCTGATTCAGAATGAAAGAGGGTTTGGTTTGCATAAACTCAGTTATGTGATGATAACAAATAACCTTAAAATCTTAGCAGTTTACTATAAGCCCTGATTGGTTGCTCATTTCACATAATGATCACAGGCTAATTTAGGATTGGCTTGATGCCATCTTTATTCTGCAATCCAAGCTAAAGGAAGAGCCTCTGGAACATGTGGGTCTCCTGCCAGAGACAAAATGGCAGATGGCGTGATGGGTCAGCAGGGGCACTGCCACTTCCTGTTGTACTTCATTGTACCTCATTGGCCAAAACAAGTCACATGGACAAGACTGACAGCAAGGGCTGAATTTATTTAATGTTCCACAGGGAGGGGCCCAATAAGGAGCAGTGTCAACCATTTTGAACAATAATATAGCCCACCTCAGGGGAAAATGCCATTGATTATGGCTAGTGCATAAGGTAACAGGGAGTGTCTGTGAGAGCTGAGACTTGATATTAAGGCAGAAAATAGATAATTGGAAACTTTATAGCCCTAAAGAGCTTGGGTTTGATTCTATGAACAATAGTAAAATTGGTGGGTTTTTGCTTGAGATGAAGGAAAGAGATGGTATAGACAAAGGTCCAGTTTAAACACATTACCCATATGTGTTGTGGAGAATGGTTTGTATGCAAGGGACAGTTGACAAGCTGAGGCTGGGAGGCTGCTGAGGAATTAATGGAGGAATAAGCTCAGGTGGTGGAGGTGGAGTTGGAGAGGAAAGAGAGACTCAGGAGCTTGCAGGGGCAGCTTAACTACACTTTATGTAGATTAGACACATGGATAGAATGCAATTATTCTTTATTCCATGAAATATTAATGCTAAAAAAATGTCTACTTTGCTTGCAAAATACAATGGAGGAAAGACAATAGATGGCTAGTGTTAGACTCTATGAGGCTCCAGAAGATCTGACAGAGTCTTGGACTCTCTGTTGTAGCTCTCAAAAGTGCAGTACAGACAATGAGGGATGAGAAGCCAAAGCCAGATTTACTGGGTGACCTAAGTGTCACTCACAGAGCTATCTTATGGTTTGCAGAATACTTCACAATTCACTACATGGAAATGTTGAAGCTTTGGAGGCTTTGGTGTAAGACCCACCTGAAATGCAGATTTGGCTACCTACAAGCTTGTTGACCTTGGGCAATTACTATATCTCCTTGAGCCAATTTCCTAATCTATAAGGAAGGTGGTAGGGAGAAAAGGAGAAATAAGGGAAATAAAGAAGAAAGGATGGTATATTAGGGTTCTTGAGAGAAACAGAACTAGCAGCATGTGTGTGCATATATGTAGGTATATGTGCGTGTGTGTGTGTGTGCATACATGTCCGTACAGAAAGAGAGAAAGAGAGAGAGAAATTTATTTCAACGAACTGGCTTACACAATTGTGGAGGTTTTGTGTGTTCAAAACCTAATGGGATAGGCTGGCAGGCTGGAGACTCACAGAAGAGTTACAGTTCTAGTTCGAAGGCAGTCTGCTGGCAGAATTCCTTCTGCTCAAGGGAGGTCAAACTTTTGTTCTATGCAGACCTTCAACTGATTGGAAGAAGTTCACCCATATTATGGAGTGCAATTTCTTTTTCTCAAAGTCTACACTTTAAACTTTTTATAATAAATGTTAATCTCCTCCAAAAAACACCTCACAGAAACATGTAGAATAATGTGTGAACAAATAGCTGGGCACGGTGGCCCAGCCAAGTGATATATAACATTAACTATCACAGAAGGGAAAGAAGAAAGAAAGAGAAGGAAAGGAAAAAATTAAGAAAAACTGTGATCATCTATGTAAAAATAATAGGACCTAGTAGTGACTCACCAAACTGTAGTTTATTTTATTAATCTTGTTGTCATGATATTCTTTTTATCTGTTTATCCATCTCTATTTTACAAATGACAATTTGAGATTTGGAGATAAATCCCCTGATCAAAGACATACAGCCTCTCTCTTTCCTGTCTGTCCTACTGAGGTCATTCCGTCAATCACTGGATAAGCTTGGTCATTTATCAGTCTTTGGTTAATTCTGAGATGGACAAAATATTCAGGTTTTGTATGTAACAGACTTAGTTCCCTGTTTGGCAAGACCAATCAGAATGATCACTTAAGAGTATAATAGAATTCATTTGTAAATAACAGAAACAAAACCTGACCTAGTTTAAGTTGTTGAGTGGGGCTCCAGAGCTTCCATCTCTGCATGAGAGGAGCTAAGAGTGTCAACAGGCTTTGTTTCTGTGGACATCATCAACTCATTTGCTGATTTAACAGGACATTATAAACATACACTACATATTGTATATGCCTAGCATAGCACTAGGCTTTGGAGGAACCCAGAGAGGTAGAAAACACAACATACGTTGAGTGCTTATGTTCCTGGAACTTTATTCACATGTATGACCTCATTTTATTTTAAGCTGAATTTAGCTCTGGGAGATACTAATCTCCCTGGTTTTGTTTCTTTGTTTGAATTGATGAGTATGTTGTAAGAGGAGGGGACGCTGCATCCTGCCTCAGGATTACATAGGTAAGTAGCCAAAACCTCAACGTAATAGGTCAGTTGCCTTCCTGGACAGGCAATGCAGATTGTGGAGGTGCAGGAACATTAGATGGACCAAGCACCCAGGGCCGACACTGTATGAAGGGAAAGGTCCAGCATTATAGAGTCATGAAGACAGACCAGTGAGACCACGAGCCCACGAGCCCCTCTGGAGGGCCTGGGAGGTAGCTCAAAGATGAGTCCAACTTGGCCAGGCATGGCAGCTTGCGCCTGTAATCCCAGCACTTTGGGAGGCTGAGGCAGGCGGATCATTTGTGGTCAGGAGTTCGAGACCAGCCTGGCCAACATGGCAAAACCCTGTCTCTACAAAAAATACAAAAATTAGAGGGGCTTGGTGGCATTTGCCTGTAATCCCAGCTACTCGGGAGGCTGAGTCACAAGCATTGCTTGAACCTAGGAGGTAGAGGTTGCAGTGAGCTGAGTTCGTGCCACAGCACTCCAGCCTGTGTGACAGGGGGGAAAATGAAAGAAAGATGAGTCCAACTCACACAAGTCATGAGCAGCACAGCCAGATCTGAGCATCTGGAGAGACCAGTATGGTGACTTTCCCTGGCTCACATCTAGCAGCCCTCCTCATCAGTTGCAGTCCCGCCCTGGAGCTGCACTCTGAAAACGAGTACTGTGCTGTGGCAGAAGAATAGTCTCGGAATCAGAAAAAAAAAAAAAAAATGAGGTTTAGCTGTGCCTCACACTTGCTGTGTGCCTTTTGTAAGCGACTTGCCCGTCCACTAAAATGAGGGTGAGAATGCCCACTTTGCTGGGCTTGCCCTGAGGAACGATGGCTGGCATGGCTGCATGTAAGGTGCTCAACCTGGTGCCCAGCTCACCCTCGCCTCTCCAGATGGGGTGCTTATGCTTTTTACTTTCTCGCCCCAGTTATGGACAGCACTCCTAGGGAGCTGTGGAAAAGAAGTTTCTGCTTTAGCAGGAATTCAGCTATTATCTTCTCTCTGGAGAAAGCCGTCTGCTTTTGATCTGAGATGGACAAACGAGGCTATTCTGAGAAGGACTAATTACAGTACACATCCGGTGAGTGCCCCTCTCTCGCCCACACACAGATATCAGCACTGCAGTGTGACATGCAGCCAGCCTGGCCATGCAGCCCCAAATCTGTGGTACCTGTTAGCAGTGGTTGCCCATAGCAACAGTAGGGGAAGAGAGCCTTGAGGATGGAAGTCACTTACAGAGCTTGTGCTTGGTTTTTGTTCATTAGTTCTTGTTTTTTTTTTATGTGTGTGCATGTATGAGGGCGCAGGCAGTTAGAGGTGGGGGAAGCTGGGGTGGTAGTTGGAGAGAAGAAGTGCTTGCTGTACCCACTAGTTCTTTCCAGACTTTGCCTTCCGTGGCTCCACAAGGACGTGGTTGAGTCCTTTTGACTCCGAGACACCTTTCCCTGGTTTTAAAAATGGAGCTACTGAAGCCCATCCCTGCAGACTAGAGTCTCCTGAGGACTGGAGGCACTACAGGCCATGCTCACTGCCTGGCTGTCTGCATTAATTAATTAATGTGTAACTTCTTAAAAAAAATAAATGTTCAGTTGAGAAAACAACTTATCCTATTTATTTACTACTTCTATGGGTTCCTCCAAGACCTAGTGCTATGCTAGGCATATAGAATATCTAGTGTATGTTTATAATGTCCTGTTAAATCAGCAAATGAGCCCATGATGTCCACAGAAACAAAACCTGTTGACACTCTTAGCTCCTCTTACGTAGAGATGGAAGCTCTAGAGCCCCACTCAACAACTGGAGACCCCTGCCTCATCTCACTCCAAGTCACATTAACCCCTTTCTGGGAAATGGTTCTAGGCTTCTCTGGGGCTTTAGGATAGGGATTTTGGATGAAGTAAAGCTGAAGAAAGGAAGTATATTAGTCTGTTCTCATGCTGCTAATAAAGACATACCAGAGACTGGGTAATTTAAAAAAGAAAGATGTTTAATTGACTCAAAGTTCCACATGGCCAGGGAGGCCTCGCAATCATAGTGGAAGGTGAATGAGGAGCAAAGTCACATCTTCCGTGGCGGCAGGCAAGAGAGCTTGTGCAGGGGAACTCCCCTTTATAAAACCATCAGATCTCATGAGACTTATTCACTACCATGAGAACAGTGTGTGGGAAACAGCCCCCATCATCCAATTATCTCACATAGACCTGCTCTTGACTTGTGGGGATTATTACAATTCAAGGTGAGATTTGGGTGGGGACACAGCCAATCCATATCGGGAAGTAAGGCAGAAGAAGAGGCTGTGGAGTGCCAGGGGAACTTCCACCATGGAAAGACAAGAATAATGATAATGAAGCAGATCTGAGTGTGCTCAGAATGGGAGCAGGGAAGGTCCATGGTTCACCATCTCTGAGTAAAGTAAGCTCACAATGAGGGGCTATGCTTCATCAGAACATCATTCCTCAAAACCTGGGGGGCTTCTCAGGAACTTCTCCAAGTGGCACAACCTCAGGCAGGTCACCAGCCTCTCAGCATCTGAGGTGTCAGTACTGTGATCCATCAATGGGAAAAATTTCTGTCCTTCTTTGGGTTGCTGAAGAATGCACTGCAATGTAGAAAGTTCCTAATCTAATGCCTGGCACCGTGTAGGACTCAACAATTGCAAATTTTGTCCCTGTAAGGGGATACACTGTGACAAAGCAATGAGAATGAGCCAAGGGTCAGAGAAAATTTCCTGCCCACTTTTTTTGCCTGCCTTATGTGCTTGTTGTACCCACTAGTTCTTTCTGGACTTTGCCCTCCCTGGCTCCACAAGGATATGGTTGAGTCCTTTTGACTCCCGAGACACCTTTCCCTGGTTTTAAAAATGGAGCCACTGAAGCCCATCCCTGCAGACTAGAGTCTCCTGAGGACTGGAGGCACTGTAAGTCATGCTCACTGCCTGGCACCATGGAGGTAAGATTTGGTCCCCTTGTCAACACTCAACCTTCTTAACACCAAAGCATGACGTAAGAAGGAAGAGTGGTTTGCTTTTTTTCTTTCATTTTTTGCCAGTTTGGTGTAGATTCCATACTCTTAATTTCTTAGCTATATAGTACATTATTGCATAAGATAAATCAATTTAAATATCTTGCTTTTGCTCCTCTACTCCTATTTGTTTACTACTCACGATTAAATTTAAAAACATTTTGTCTTTTAACAACTCTAGAATTTTGACATAAATGTGTTAAGCCCATAAATCAATCTGCAAAAGACTGATGTTTTTGCAGCACTAACCACATTATTGTTATGTAGGTCTCAATCACATAATCATCTCTTCTGATACTACAAACAGCATCATTTCCTGATATTTTCCCCCAAATCGGTGCTCATTGCCTAACTCAGAGCCTTATATGTAGTGAGTACTCATTACATATGTGAAAACATAGAGCTCTAGGAAAATACTTTTTTGGGGGTAGCTGTTCTGCTAGAATCCATACATCCTAGAATCTTTTAAACTCAGAATCCATGACAATTCCTAAAGCATGTGGTCTTTTTTGTTTTACATGTAAGTTGATTGAATTGTATTTTGTCAGAGGAAAAAAACACAAGCAGAACAAGCTTCTGAGAAGATTACCATTTTTGAAAAACACCTTTTTCCCCCGGAATAACTGTATAAAGGAACACAGCACTTTGTATCCATAAAACCTTTCACCAAGGATCAATATTTTATATTTGTAATGAGTTAATGCTGAATATGTAAATAATTTTAGAATAAAATTTTATAAAAATGTATTATATTTGTCTGCACTTGATAGCTCATGCTAATCATGCCAGTAAATAAATTGACACAGGGAATTCTTATCCCAGCATTCTAAATACCAATGACTTATAACAAATTAGATGACCAAGAAAATCACATCATGTTGACCAAGAGCTAGAAGGTGCAGTCCTTCTCCCTCTGAGCCTCAGATTCCTTGATGTGAAATGTTGAGATTGGAGCCAAAGATGATGGAGGAACCTTAGGCTAATTATTTCTAGGGAGTTATTTCTTCACCTGTGAAAGGAAGAAGTAATCTGTAAAGGGACCTTTCAACAGTGACATGGATGGGATTATATTTGAAACTGAACTGCGACCCTCAGGAGACCAACTGTTACTGTGGTGGTGGGAGCTGAGAGTAGAGACAAAGAGCCACTGAGTTTGCTAAATCCAAGCTCACAGAAACTCACACAAGTCATGGTATATTGAAGGACCACCCAGAGGAAACTCAAGGTAATTTCAAATAGCTTTTTTTTTTTTTTAAGTTCTAATACCACTCTGCATCAGTCCATTCTCATGCTGCTTATAAAGACATACCCAAGACTGGGCAATTTACAAAAGAAAGAATTTTAATAGACTTATGGTTCCACATGGCTGGGAAGGCTTCACAATTATGGCAGAGGGTGAAAGGCACATCTCACATGGTGGCAGACAAGAGAAGAGAGCTTGTGCAGGGAAACTCCCCTTTTTAAAACCATCAGATCTTGTGAGACTTATTCACTATCATGAGAACGGCTTGGGAAAGACCTGCCTCCATGATTCAATTACCTCCCACCGGGTCCCTCCCGCAACGTGTGGGAATTCAAGATGAGATTTGGGTGGGGACACAGCCAAACCATATCACACTCCTAGGTTTAGATTGTATTTCTTTGTTAAAATAGAAATGTGTTAAAGGAAAACAAAAGTAAATCACAAAGCCAAATGTCTTGTGACTGTGGAGAAAATGAAGACAGGAGCCTATTCCTGTCCATATGCAGGCATCTTCCTACAGCTCATGGAAGTTGAACCACAGCTGCAAACTAAGCATCGATTTTAAAGCCCTGTGATGGACTCGTCTGTGAGTCCCCAGCCTTGCTGCAGCCTCTGGTCCCACCTCCTGCCATGGTCACCCTTTTTGCTTCAGAAACCCTGTGGTATTTCTTTCTGTCTGACATAGATACGGGTGAAGTTGGCATACACATTGCATTCTCTTTCTCCCTCCTGCCCTCTCTTTCTTTTTCAAGCACTTGCTGTATGCAGGCCCTGTGGTAGGCAATGTGAAAACAGATGAATTGGCCTCAGTCCTGGCCCTCAAAGCAGACTCACAGTTTTTCTCACAGTACAAGGCAGTACACCATGATGGAGGCTTATTCAAGAGAAGGTGAGAAGGGACATAATGCATTTACATGCAGGTTCTCTGAGAGCACAGAGGTTAAGCTGATTACCTGTACCTGGAAGTTTTTAGAAAGAATAAAGAAGAATTTACCAGAAGGCAAGGAGTGGAGGGAGAAGGTCATGTCAGGCAGAGCATATGATCTGTACAAATGCATAGAAAATGTTCCTGTAAAGAGGCAATTATGGTTAGGCATATTGGAAAGGATTTCTGTTCTCAGAAAAAGACCAAGTTCTCTTTGTAATGGCCAAATATCTGTGAAATCAGAGTACCTATCAAATTATTAGCATCATTGTATATATTTGAATAGAATCTTATGCTTTATCGAAAATATTCTAGGATACAAACTGTAATGATGAAGCATGGAAAAAAAAACAAAAAACAAACATGGGCTAGGAATGAACATGCCACATAGTAATGTCAGCTCCACTACTTGCCATCCATGTGATTGCGATCCAGTTATTTACCTCTTTGATGCCATTTATTTATCAACTAGGTAGAGCCAATATTAAGGTCTATCTTGCAGGCTATTGTCAATGTCACAGGTGATGGTATAGTTAAACTACAGTACATGGTACATGGGGGAGGCAGCTCTCTCACTTGATGTGCGGTATGCAGTCATGCGGTATGACAGGACAATGTACCAACCCCAATTTCAGAGATGTATCAAGTTATGGTTGAAAGTCCTCTGTCCAAATGCTGCCTCAGTTCTGATCCTTATTATAGAACAGGCAATTACACTGCCTCCTAAAGAAGCACTATTTTTCCAAGGAGATTACTCCTCGATTGATTTCACCGTTGTCCCCTGTTATATAATCCCCTTGGCTGTCACAGCATGCAGACTTTTATAAAGACATTCAATACTGAGATCAAATGAAACTGTATCATTTGTATCCAAAGTTGAGAGATGCTCAGTTTTTGAAGGTTATAAAAACATGGAGCCCCCAAGAATAAAGCTATAATCTGCATGAACAGTAGCCTTTAATTGCCTGGGAAGATGAGAAGTCTTTAAAATGAAACACTGGTCAATACTGGTCATTCCCACCAGCATAGCCTCACACACAAAAACCCAAAGAAGTGCATGCTTATTATTTATGACTGGGAAACACCAGTGCTTATGGTTAATATTTCTTTTGATTTTTTCTTCAGTTTCTCTTGTTGATCAATATTTTTTAAATCATCATAGTCTTGACTGACTGTAGGGAAGACTGGGAACCATAGAGCATGAGAAGTGTCCTGGAGAGGAGAAGCCATTTCCAGCAGGGTTTGGTTCATTCTCCTAGTGGGTTCATGACTCAGATAAACAGACATTAGACTATGGCAATAGAGGGTCTGCAGAGTAGAAGAAACCAGTACTTTGGACTTTGCTCAGACTACTGAGCAGACATTTCATATGCCTGTTGCTTTTTTCTCTAAATTTAGTTGTTTGTGCCTCTACCTCCTCATCTATGTTATGAGCTTCCCAAGGTCAGACACTGTGACTTACTTTTCTTTTGTTTCTCAGCATCTAACATAGGCTTAACACATAATGACCCTCAGTAAATGTTGGATTTCTTTATGTTAAAAAGCCAAATATGCACTAAAGCCACGCTATGTGTCAGACACTCTGCAAGGTATTGCTAGTTTTCCTGTACTCCAAGAAGGCATGGTTAAGAAGGTAAAACAAAAATGCCACAGTATATGCGTGTATGCACTGAAGAGAGAAAAAAGAACCTAAGACTTCCAAACGGATGGAGATGTCTTCCTAAAGAGGTAAAGCTTTACGTAGTCATTGAATAATGCCTTCGAATTTGCCACCTAGGCAAATAATGGAAAATAAATGAATAAATGAGCAATTCTATAGATGGCCTTTCTGACTCCACAAGTCTGTGAAACTGAACTATTACAATATGGGAGTTTCCCACTTACCAGGATGCAGTGGGATTAGAAATCATTCTGATTCTAAAAAGAAAAAATAATAATTTGGCTCAGAATATTAATGAGGCACAGATGGCCCGAAGAACCATACCAGAGATTAATTGTGATGGACACGTGATAAGATCAATCCCACCAACTCATCCAGAGGACCTGGCAGCACACGCCCAGCTGCAGGAGCAGGTGTTCGGATATAACCTACACAGTCCTGACCTGTGTCAGCTGGGTGCTCCAGGAAGATGACACTGAGAGAGAATAAGGAGAGTGCAAGGACATTATGCGGGCAAGCATGTGAAAGATATGAAAGGAAGGACATCAAGATGAGGGACATCAAGCTTTCAGAGCATGAGGTGGATCCAGCACCTGTGAAAAGAAGGGAGGAAGGCAGTGACCAGGCCTGGGCAGGGAGAGACTCAGAGAGCAACGCAGATCTGATCTTTTCAGCCAACCCAACAATGAGTGTCCGAGAAGGATCATCTATCAGAGGAGTCCTGTGCTGGGAAGAAATGTCCAGATTCTAGTCCCCTTGCCCTGCTCAGACATTGTTTGAAGGCTTCTCAGGAAGAGCACAGCCTTGCCCTGAAAGGTGGGGTAGATCCTGGAAATGCTTTGCAGCACAACCACCAGTTCTTTATTGAAGGTTGACCCTGGGGGTGCAGCTCAATGGCCACCACACTCCTCGGCACCATCCCCACCTCTGTGCAGCTTCTACACACCTGGAGTTACCTAATCCTCAGCCCTAGCTCGGGGCGGTTACTCTGTGTCCATCAGTCCATAGCTGGATCTCTCGGTGCCAGTTCTGCCTGGCAGCCTGCCCACTCTATTCACACACTTCTGTTCTAGCAAACGGACATCACACTTGCTCTAGGGCTCAAGCTACCGCATTGCCCCAGTTCCTTAGGAAGAGATTCTATCCTGCTGCCTCTATCCCCCATGCCAGGAGACTGACCATGAGCTTCAGATATGGGCTTTTCTCCTTCATTTTCTCAGGATGGAACGGCCAGCTGGTTGTCTTCTTTACATTCATAAATTGAGGGTGGTCATGCCTCCCTCACAGGGTTCAGGATTAAATGTGGCAGCAGCTGTGAGTGAACCTCCTTATCCAGAGGATGATATCTAGAGATGAGGAGCCACTGCTGCTCCCTACTCAGTCAGTCTTCAGATTCACCACCGCTGCTGAGCAACCAGTGCGGGTCAAATTCCAACTGCGGCTGTGAACACTGTGAGTGATGTGCACATACCTTTCCTCATTATTTGTGTGTGGTTTTCTTTTTTTTGTCTTTTACTCCCCAGTAGACTGGAAGCTCTGTGAGAATTTCTGTCTTAGTTTTTCTGCTGTGCTTCCTGTGGATCCCTCAGTTCATAAAACAGGGGCCAGGCAGATACTAAGTGTTAAGCAAGTATTTGTTGAATAAATAAATGTGGTCCTGTCAGCAACTCTCACAGGGAAGCATAATATTGCCTACATTTTAAATATGGGGAAACTGAGGCTGGAGGAGGTGAACTGACTTGGCAAAAATCACCCTGGTAGTCACGGCTGCTCCAAACTCAAGGTCTGACTGGCTGAGCCTTCCATATTAATTCTGCTCCTGACCACAGATTGTACAGGAGTTCTACCCAATTCATTCTCTCAAACACCTGCATGTCCAACTACTATATAATAAGGAGAAATTGGGGTGTCAGTGAGGTGGTAGACATACATCTGTTTTTCTCATTTAGTTGTCACAACAAGCCAATAAACTAGTTACTGATACTGTCCCCATTGCAGGGATGAAGAACCTCGAGCTCAGAACAGTGCTGTCGGCTGGTAGGAGGCACACAGAGCTGGGGTGTTTGGTTTCATTCTCTTGTTGTCCCTCTGCTGCAGACACTCTATCCCTCTGTGTCCACCTGGGTGCTGCCTTCCTCCAGGTGACAACTCAAAAGACATCTCATCAGAGAGGCCTTCCTGGACCACCCTTCAAACACAGCCCCAAGTTTCTCCCTATCAAGTTATCTTCCCATTCTCATCAGAATGTGATACCACCTCATTCATTTTGGAGTTTGTCTCCCATCACTAGTACCAAGGATCTTTGCAGACATGTGCTCTTCCCCATCCCTGGTGTCTGGACGGTGCTGGGCACACTGGAGGAGTGTGATGAGTGTATGCAGACTGACTGCCTCTTCCTTTCTTTTTTCTTTTTCCTTTTCCTTTTTCCTTTTTTTTTTTTTTTTGGTTTTTTTTTTTTTTTGAGATGAAGTCTTGCTCTGTCGCCCAGGCTGGAGTGCAGTGGTGCAATCTCGGCTCATTGCAACCTCTGCCTCTCAGGTTTAAGTGATTCTCCTGCCTCAGCCTCCCGAGTAGCTGGGATTACAGGCGCATGCCACCATGCCTGGCTAATTTTTCTATTTTAGTAGAGACAGGTTTCACCATGTTGGCCAGGCTGGTGTCTTGAACTCCTGACCCCATGATCTGCCGACCTCAGCCTCCCAAAGTGCTGGGATTACAGGCATGAGCCACTGAGTGCAGCTTGACTTGCCTCTTTCTACCACGATGAGCAAATTCTTCTCTCAGGGGATGCTTTGTATCTCCTGAGCCCCATAAGACCTGTCTGGTGTAAAGGGACCTGAAGAGGAAACATAATTCATATTTCTGCAACTTAGAGACAGAGGAAAATTGTTCTAACTTTCACATCCTCTGAAGATGAAAATTACAACTTTGCTCAGGAACTCATCCCATTGTCTAACCACCCTGCCAGGAAATTCTTCTACGGATCTGACTGAAATTTGTCCAGCTGTGGCTGAAACCGACTCTGTCCTGGGTGGTCCTCAGTCATGGCAGCCGGTGAAAGAGCTCTTTGTGTCAAATGATGACACCCCACCCAGACCTCTCCATGAGAGAGAACAGTGGACTTCCCACAGGGTTACAGCCCGAGTGATTTCGCAGGCTCCAGGGAGGCAGCGCGAGTGCAGATGACGCCCCAGAGAAGCCTGGAAGATCTGGATGCAAATTCTAGCTCCTCATCTGCCTGCTGGGTGACCCAGGCTGAGTGATTTAACCTCCAGAGTTTATTTGTTCATCAATAGTGTGCACAATACCTGTCTCACAGGACTGTTCATAAGGGACATGATGGTTGTAAGCTGTTGCTTGTTTCTCTTCTTCTTCATTTATTTAAAAGTTGCAAACCTGGGTGGCTTCACGTCTGTAATCCCGGAGTTTTGGGAGGTTGAATCTGGAGGATCATTTGAGGCCAGGAGATTGAAACCAGCCTGAGCAACGTAGCAAGACCTATCTCAAACAAACAAACGAACAAACAAACAAACAAACAACAATAGCCAGATATGGTAGTACATGCCTGTAGTCCCAGCTACAAGGGCAGCTGAGGTGGGAGGATTGCTTGAGCCCAGGAGTTTGAGGCTGCAATGAGCTATGATCTTGCCACTGCACTCCAACCTGAGCAACAAGTGAGACCCTATTTCTAAAAAACATTAAAAATAAAATAAAAGGTGCAGCTAATTTATAAGGGTTTATGAGTCCAGAAAAGAAAAAATGACCAGTCCAAGCTCACTGAACAAATTTAGGGCAGCGGTCACAACATCTCTTTCATCACAGTTACAGAATTACCTTTGTAATTTTCCCCTCATCTCTCATGCAAGTTTGAAGCTCCCTCTGATCTCAAATCCATAAGGGAAAAGCGTTCGCTATATAGAGAGAGGGCTTTTGAACCAAATCATTTTTAAGGCACCTGATATGCTCCCAGGAGGAGACTTGAGGCCTCACGGCTACCTGGCTGACAAATGTGAGGCTCATTACATCTCCCAACAGCCCCACATCTCATTCAACTGAACTCGCTTCAAGTCATGCCATTCCCATCCTTCCACGGAGCCTAGCAGTGTGGGAGCTGACAATGCAAAGACTCAGAGGCGGCCAAGGCTGCAGACGTGGGCTGTCTTGGCTCCCGTTGTGGGTAGATGCAGTCACATCAGATCCCTCGCAGCCAAGCAAACACAGCTGTGACCGATATTGTCACTGTTTCCACTTCAAATTAACACTTATTTTCAAAATTTTACCTACAGTCATCAGGCAAGGAATAAATCCTTAGTGCCGGAAGGCATCTTAGTTTGTCTTATAGATGCAGAAGCTGAAGAGCCCAAGAGGGGAGTGTCTTGCCCGTTGATTTTATGGCAGAGCAGAGCTAGAACCCAGGCCACACACTAGCTGTGTGAACTCAGGCAAACCATCCCATTTTCTCTGTCTCTATGTCCCCATCTATAAAACAGTGAGAGTAAACTTCAGAGGCCTCATAATGCCAATGTGAATATTAAATAGGTGACTAGATATTCACTGCTTAGAATGCCTGGCATTTAGTAAGCACTGAGTGAAAGCTATTATTTCACCATTCCTCTTTGATAGGTAAGAAAACTGAGATGCCCAGATGCAGTATCAGAGAGTGAATTAATGAAAAAGTAGAAATTAACACCAAGCTTTCCTGACTCCCTGTGGAATGCTCTTTCCTTCACAGCAATTAAATTAATAGGATCACAAAATGTTAATGATAAACCCAGGCACAGTGGCTCTCACATGCAATCCTAGCACTTTGGGAGGCCATGATGGGGGAATCATTTGAGCCCAGAAGTTCTAGACCAGCCTGGGCAACATAGTGAGACCCTATCTCTACCAAAAAAAAAAAATTAGCCAGTTATGGTGGCTCACACCTGTAATCCCAGCTACAAGGGAGGCTGAGGCAGGAGGATTGCTTGAGTCCAGGAGGTTGAGGCTGCAGTGAGCCCTGATCATGGCACTGGCCTCCAGCCTGGGTGACAAAGCAAGATCCTGTCTCAAAAAAAAAAAAAAAAAAAAAAGAAAGAAAAAAAGAAAAAGAAAGGAAGAAAGAAAAAAAATGTCAATGACAGAAAGGGCTTTAGACTCTTGCCCAGTTTCTCTGTTGTGCAGCATGAAAACCAAGGTGCAAAAAGGAGAAATACCAGCTGTGTACTGGACCTGCCTGGGAAGATGATGAGAAATAAAGATTACTGGACCCAACTCTGAACCTACAGAATTGACATCTCTGGAAGAAGCACCTGAAATTTTTTTATTTTTAACAGTTACTCTCATGAAGCCAGCTTAAAACAGACTTGTGGACTGATGTTTCTAATTCAGAATCACTGTATTATAGCATTCCAGCCTGGCTTACATAAACGTTTTGGTTGATTACATTGGTAACTCTAGGCCAGTAATCTACAAATGATCTTTATTTCACTTCTTTTGTATGCCTGTATATTGATTTATAAAGTATGTGATCAAAGTACTTCACTCAAAATATTATGTTTATTATTGAAGTGACATGCAAAATATAGAAATTTTGGAAAAGAAATATATTTTATTATATAAATTCTATTTGTAATAGAATATAAATGGAAAATAAATAGAAATAGAAGTTCCAACACTGTCTTCCCATCACAACAGGTCATCCTCAGCATTGCCTAGAGAACCACCCCCAACCCTGGAGACCACAGCTCTAGAGATGAACGTATTGTTTGAAGGCATCAAGGGGCATGCCACCAAACTGCTGCTGCCCAGTCTCCTGCCCTCTTCTGTCATTCAGAAGTGCAAAGTTTTGAAGGAGAAGCTGGTGTATGACCCCTGATGGTACTGCCTTCCCTGAGACAGCAGGAACTGCTGAACTTGTCCTTGAGATCCAATCTGTGTCAGGCTAACTCCCTATACTTTATCTAATATCTCCACTTCTTGTCCTTGCCCCAAGTAGTATAGGTGCTAATATAATTGGACATGCAGTGAGTCATGTCATTAGTGGACGGCCCACAGTGCATTAAAAGTTATCCTTGGAAGTGTGGTTCTTTCTACTCTGTCCACATCTGGCAGGAGGGATGACCTGACCTCAGAGAAAGCCATATCAGCTCTGCTACCTTTCTCCCTGTCTTCTTTAACTCCAGAAATTCATTTCTGGGTTTTAGGAATTTAAAGATATGCGTCTTTGGGCCTGGTGTGGTGGCTCATGCCTGTAATCCCAGCATTTTGGGAGGCTGAGGCAGGCAGATCACTTGAGGTCAAGAATTTGAGACCAGCTTGGCCAACATGGGAAACCCCATCTCTACTAAAAATACAAAAATTAGCCAGGTGTGGTGGCACACGCCTGTAGTCCCAGTTGCTTGGGAGGTTGAGGCAGGAGAATCGCTTGAACCCAGGAGGTGGAGGTTGCATTGAGCTGAGATGACACCATTGCACTCCAGCCTGGGCAACAGAGGGAGACTTCGTCTCCAAAAAAATAAAAATAAAAAAATAAAGATATACGTATTTGGCCACATGCTTACCCAAGTGCTACTAGAATTGGTACCCAGCCCAGGGGACACTGCTCTTTTGCAGTGGTGCTTTGTTTTGCTGTTGTCTCTTGTGTCCTCACAGAAAGGTGGGGTGGCAGGCCAGGCCGATGTGAGCCCCACAGTCCCATCCTGTTTCCTCTTTGCATCATTTAGACGGGTCTCTGCTACGGTATATTCTGTACTCACCCCAGGCCAGCTGGATTCCAGCAACATTTTTCAATAAACTTTCTAACAGTCAACTTAAGTTCCAAACTTAAGCAGTGCAAATTCTGCTGGCTTTGAGTCAGATATTATTGGTAATATCACTGAATGCTTCAGTGACCTTGGACAAGTCAATTGATCTAACTGGGTCTATGTTCTTATCTATAAAATGAAGATACTTATCTGCCTTGCCTAACTCATTTGACTGCTATGTAAGATGAAATTTGAAAATGTGTTTTGTAAGCTAAAATAATCTCATCCAAATGAAAGAGAGGCAGAACCATCAACCATCAATGAAAGAATATATATTTTTGTTTGCTTTTTACTTACTTTTGTTTTGTTTTTAATGCAGTGCAATTTGAAATTCAGTGGGTTTTCTTCTCTTTAAATAAAATTATCATTGGAATTAGCATACTTAGAAAACTTGGTAAAGATCTTGAAAATGGGAAATTTTATGTAAGTTGTAACCTTTCATTCGTCACTTCATGCTAACCATGTACTGAAGCCCTATTATATGTCAAACGTATTCTGCTGAGTACTGGAGAAAGATGAATAAGACACAGTTCTGCTTCTGAGTGAGCTCACAATCAGATGAGAGGGAGACAGAGAAGTAACCCTACAATCACAGTCCAGTGCACTGAGTCCTGTGAAGGGAATGTGAACACGGTGCCTGCGGGAGTGATCAGGAGAGCTGCCAAACCTAGCCCAGGTTCAGGGAGCCGAAGTCACTGAAATACACATAGGAGTTAATAAAGCTAAAGAGGTAGGGGAGGCCGGGCACGGTGGCTCAGGCCTGTAATCCCAGCGTGTTGGGAGGCCGAGGCAGATGGATCATGAGGTCAGGAGTTCAAGACCAGCCTGGCCAGGATGGTGAAAACTGTCTCTACTAAAAATACAAAAATTAGCCAGGCACGGTGGCAGGTGCCTGTAATCCCAGGTACTCAGGAAGCTGAGGCAGGAGAATCACTTGAACCCAGGGGTTGGAGGTTGCAGTGAGTGGAGATCACAACACTGCCCTCCAGCCAGGGTGACAGAGTGAGACTCCGCCTCAAAAAAAAAAAAAAAAAAGAGGGGATACCAAGTAGAGGGAGGGGATTTGTAAAGAATTTGAGATGAAAAAAGGCTTTGTACTTTCAGAGCGTTATAAAGAGCCCTGCATGGCTAGAGGATCTGGCGTGTAAGTGTCAGAAAGAGTTTAAGTGGGACACAGAGCAGTGGAGGCTTTAAGTTGAGAAGGGGCATGCTCTGATTTCTGTTTTAGAAAGATTACTCTGGAGATGTCTTCAATTAGTTATGTACTGGAATCAGTGAGAGGCAGGGTTTCCCAAACCTGGCTGAACCATCAGAATTATTCAGGGAACTTGTACTCAATTCAGATTCCTAGACCCCTCCTACTCTGAGCTGAGTCCAGGGATGTGGCTTTTGAACACGCTCTCCAGGTGATTCTCATGAAGCCATGGCAACTGTAGTGGGATTTATGAAGCCTCCCAAAAAGAGATGCCAGAGTCCTTAGCCCCCTAACCTATGAATGTTTACCTGGTTTGAAAAAAGGTTTGGCTGATGTATTTAGAGATCGTGAGAGAAGCAGCTTCTCCTGGGTTTTCCAGGTAAGCCCTAAGTCTGCTGACTTGCACCCTTAGAAGACAGGCGGAAGACAAGAAAACACAAGACAAGAGGAAAAGGCAGAGATACAGCCAGAAGGCCCAACAGGAACTGGCAGAGGAAAGGAACAAAATACCTAGAGCCTCCAGAGCAAGTTCAGCCGTACCCATTTCTGGATTTCAGACTTCTGGACTCCAGAATTCTGAGAGGATAACTTTCTGTTGTTTTGAACTTCCCAGTTTGTAATAATTTGTTACGGCAGCCCTGGGAAGCTAACACACCAACCGATGATAACTTAGCTTTTCATTTACTAGGCTCCATGATGGCAGGACAAATGGTCACAAAACTGAAGCAAAACAGAATACATTGTTAGATGGAGTTTGTTAAGAAAACAGCAAATAGTATACTGAAAAAAATAATTTAAACCTGAGCCATAGTTCCATCCTCGTCCTAGGCTGAGCTTTGAGCACTGCCTTCGTTTCCCCTTCCCTTCTCCTTTCATTTGATTTCAAGGCGCCATGTTTTTCTCACTCCTGGGGAAAGTGGCCATGTGGGCAACCTTAAAAACAAACAAACCTATTTGTGTCTCACCGGAAGCCTCAGTCACCAGCTCTCATGGGAAAACTGCCAGTCACTGGTTGCCTTGAAAAGTCAGGCCTCTGAGGATGCAGGGCTTCGAGGAGGCAGTTTCCCTAGTATTTCACTCTTGATCCTGGTATAGGGGTGGTGCAGGCCAGAAACCACTTCATTGAGGCATCTGAGTCCTGCTGACCGGACACCAAGGAGTTTCTGTATTCATTGTGTCAGGTTGTAAGAAGAGAGTTTCCTTAATGGGTAGAGAGAGAGAGGGAAAGAGAGAAAGAGGGAGTATGTATATGTGCATTCGTGTGTATGTTTGGGTGTCCTTGTGTCTGGGCATATATAAGCCTGTGTATGTCTGTGTGTGTCTGTGTTCAGCTCCTCCCCAGGCGACATTTATTTAGGAAATAATTTTCATGATAGTAAAGAAACTTCCTGAGCATCTAATGTACCTCAGGCCCTATTGAAAACCAAGAGGACACAGAAGGAAATGAGAGATGCAGTAGCTGCCCTGGAAACCATTCTCAGACCAGTGGAAAGACCCACAGTGTAATGTAAAAGTGGAGGAAAATGACTTTGGGCTCAGACAAATCTCAATTCAAATTCAGGTGCTGTCCTTCATCAGCTGAGTGATTATTAACAAGTTTCCTAAGCTCTTAAACACTTTTAATTCTTTATCTGTAAATGAAAATAATACTATCTACTCTCAAGGTTGTTGAAAGAATTTCATGAGTCAATATGTGCAGAGCCTTTGATGTAGTTCCTGTTACAAACTAGTTCTCAGTAAAAGGGAGTCACTGGTATTTTACATGTGTTACAGTAGAAGTAGGCGAAAGATCCAGTAAACACAACAGAAAAGAAGGAACTAAGGTAGCCTGGTGGACTCAGGAGAATCTTTTCAGGGATGTCACAAAGAATCAGGAGGCTGCCAAAATGGCTAGTGATAGGGTTTAAGAAGAAAGTTAGAGTTGCATCTGGGAGAAAGGGTCATCAAGAGTCCTGGCTTCCGTGTTAAGCTTGACCTGGTTTCCATGTCAACCTCTACTGTGTAGGTTGTGGAGAAAAACCTACCTGGTTTTCTAATTAATGCTGATTGAGAAATAACACTGTGTCCTGTAATTTTATACTTAGGAAATAGAAACTATTTATTCAAATAGTGCAGTGTTTCGCCTTATAGAATCATAGGGCACACAAGCCAATCAATTAAAGAATTAAGTCTTACCTACCCTTCAGTTGGGGAAGGTGCATTCAACTACAAAGATTTTCTAAAACACTGATTTTTATCCTGCTTAGGTCTAAGACAGAAATGAAAAAAAAAACTTTATACATTTAACATTTATCATTCTTTTGCTTTAAAAATACCATATTATCACATTTTCTGATTGGTATGAGGCCATTTTTATACATCAGTTATTCAATGTCACCATTGATGGACCCAGTTCCAGCCATTTACCAATGGCAAAGTGCCCCCAGCTACATAGCTCACAGGGGTCACGTCTGCCCTTGTCTTGATCATGAGTCTCTTCTTTAGCTGTGTGTGGTGTGTTCTTGTCAAGCTGAACCGTGGCTCAAAAAGTGCATTTGTACATAGGATTTTGTCTCATTTTAATCCTCACAATAGTCCTGGAAAGCAAATATCATTATCCTCATTGTAAAGAAGGCTTCAAATACAGTGAGCAACTCACCTAAGAACGTGCAACCAAGAAATGGCAGATTCAAGCTGGGTTTATTTGACTCAAAGTCTAATCTCATTTGCACACCAAAGCCTTTTCTATTTCCATTAATTCACTTATTTATCCACTAAACAGATATTAGTTGGGTCCACTGCGTGGTCTCCATGCTAGATGCTGAGCTCACCACATATGGCGTTGGTGCCTCTTTCACCTATTTTGGTCCTCATTTTATCCCGTGAGATACAGCAGATTGTCTACTCCTTCAAATGCCTGAACTTGGCTATTGGAGGATCACTCTCATGCCCTACAATAGTATCTCTTATGACCTGGTTTCCAGCTACCACTCAATCCTGGTCTCTTTTCTCTGAATATGCTTCATCTATCAATGCCCTTACAGAAGTATGGTGTTCAGATTCATGTGGAATCATCAAAAATTGCCTTGACCCATGCAGAGCCAAGCCAACCTGTTTCTGCTCATTCTGGAGCAGCTGCCACTAACGAAGCCAAGAAGACTGCAGGAAGATGGACTTCTAGTCTGAAGCAGTGTTCGCTTCCCATCTTCACAGTGATCCCCTTTACACAGAGAAAATTAGAATGAGGTATACCAAAACAGAAAAGCATCACCAAATGTGAAAATCATTCCAAGCCTTGGAACCCACATACATCTGAATTTGTTTGTTTGTTTGTTTGTTTTTTAGACAGAGTCTCACTCTGTTGCCCAGGCTAGAGTGCAGTGGTGTGATCTCATCTCACAGCAACCTCTGCCTCCCAAGTCCAAGCGATTCCGCTGCCTCAGTTTCCCAAGCAGCTGGGACTACAGGTGCACACCACCATGCCCAGATACTTTTTTGTATTTTTGTAGAGATGGGGTTTCACGTTGTTGGCCAGGCTGGTCTCAACTCCTGACCTCAAGTAATCCACCCACCTCAGCCTCTCAAAGTGCTGGAATTAATTTTTTTTTTTTTACCAGCTCAATTCACTGAGCTGCATATTCCACAGTCTACTGTTTTATTAGAACTACCTCCAAACACTCCAATAAATCTCAGTGGAGTGCTCTTCTGAATGTTCAGCCCAAATGTTCATGAAAGAGATGTGTAATCACGGTGCTCCATGTTTTTAAATAAGATGAGACAAGTAAAGGCACGTATTCCATAATTCATGAAGTACACTCTTTCAGAAAACTTTTTTTTTTAAGAATTTGATTAATAGTCTAATCATTGCGCACAGAGATTGCTTTCCTAGAAGCTAGAAAATGCATATATGTTTCAGAAAAATGCTGAGGATCCTTTCAGCGGCCTTTCCTCATCTAGGATGGGGTGGTCCGGAAATCAGAATGAGAAGGCAGGCAATGCACTCTCCTTTGCTGCTTTCAGCAGAAATGCTTCTGTAAGAGCCTGAATTAGCCAAGCATTAGGTCTGTTCAACTGGTTACATCCTTAGATGGGAGAGACAGCCTGGTGATCAGCCCAGAGAGCAGTCAGGCTGGCCTGGTATTGACTCCAGGCTCTGTCACTCGCAGGCTGTGTGCCCTGCAAGGGAGTTAGCATATCTGAGCATCAGTTTTCAATTTTCTGGTTGTGAGAATTAAGTCACACAAAGTACACAAAATTCCAGCTTCACAGCAGAGGCTCAATAAATGGCAGCTGCTTTGGGTTCAACATTAACCAAGTTACCTAGGTAGAAAGTCACTTTCCACTCTTAAAGAAAAGTAGACAATTACATTTTTCCCTAAATGCCTGGGTAGAATGCCAACATTTGCTGAGCCCTGTGTCTGTGTAGCAGAGATCAGCTAGGTTCACACACTTAATACTCACACTATCTGTAGTGGGTTGCATTGTTGCCCCTAAAAACATATGCTCACATCCTAATCCCTGGAATCTGAGAGCGTGACCTTATTTGGAAAAATTGTTTTTGCAAATGTAATTCAATTAAGGATCTTGAGATGAGGAGACCATCCTAGATTATCTTGTGGGGGACGGGGTGGGGGCACAAATTCAGTGAAAATGTCCTTATAATAGACTCCCAGAGGACAATGCAAGGTAAAGATGGAGGCAGAGATGGGAGTGATGTGGCCACAAACCCAGGAATGCTGGGGCAACCACTAGAAGCTGGAAGGTGAAGGAATGGTATCTCCCTGGAGCCCCCAGAGGGAGAATATCCCTAACAGATTTCAGACTTCTAGCATCCAGAATTGTAAGAGAGTAGATTTCTATTGTTTTAAGCCACCAAATTTGTTACAGCAAGCCCAGGAAGCTATCATCTTGTCCTTGCCCTGTGGGCATTATTGAGCAAGAAACTTCAGAGAGGTTAAGTAATCAGCCTAAATTCAGACAGTTAGTACACAATGGAGCCAAGATGCAAATCCAAGCCTCCTTCACATGAAAACGCATGAATTTGTTTGTTTCTCCTATTGAATGGTTATGCTTAAATGATCCACAAAGTCTCTTGGATCCAGAATGAATTATTCTTACTCAGAAATGGAAGAGGTCACTGGGAACATCTCAGTCACTCCCATCCAACAAAAGATGATTTTGAATAAATCCAGTAATCCCAGTTTCTCATGGGGTATTCCATATTGTTAGCACTAATAGATATAAACATAGACAGATATTTATTTGAGAGAGCAAAGTATTTGGATAGCTCATTCCCAGTGCCAGTCCAGGGTAAAAAACCTTTTTAAAAAGCTATGCCATAAGGGAAAGTGGAAGAATCAAACAAACAACTGAATTGAGAGCAAGAAGATCCAGGAGTTGCCAGCTGCCTGTAACAGATATGGGTCAAGTCTTGGCCTTACCACCAACTTCCTATTTTATCCCTAAAAAATCATTAAATTTTTCTGGACTTCATTGCCTTCAGCAGAAGACGTAGGAGCTGTAACGTGTTTTTTTGAATGGCTCTTCCAGCAAGATTCCCAAGGACCACCTTTAGAAACATTTGTCAGATATATCTAGATCCTGAAATATACATCTAGTTGGGGCTTGTTTCTGTGGCTACCTTGCCAACAGTCATTGGTTTATTATATAAAGTCCAACAGAAACTTCAAACATCCCACTCAACCAAACATTAAACTGAATACAAAATCCAGGGCCATTTTGAATCTTAGCTGTCAAGGAGGGCTTCATTTTCTAGGCATCAATTTGTCATCTAGTCTAAGCAGGTTTTTCCTACATAAATAACCCCGAACATTTGACATCACTTTGCAGCTTGCAAAATGCTTTCATCCACACATAGTCATCGATTTCCACCCTGTGAGGTAGGCAGGCATCATCTCCCATTCACAGAGGAAGAAGCTGGTCAGAGCCCGTGTACCTTGTGGAAGCAGAAGGAAGAACCAGGACTAAACTCAGGCCCTTCTACAGACAAAACCTCTGTTCTTTCCACTGTAGTTTAGTGCCTGCTGCTGACAGGTGGGCCTGAAAAAGCATTATAATAAGACCTGTTTTTCGATTCTATGAATTAGAGAAATGGCTCTCATTTAATAAGTAAAGATCCCTATTTGTCCTTGAAGCCAGTAGTTTTATTTCATTTTTCCTGGAACATGGGAGACACTGTATGGAGATTTAATGACTAAATGAACAAATGAAAGACAAAATTAATTCATTGATGTGGGAGTTGAAGTCGAAAGAGGAAAAGCAACTTGCCCAGAATCACCCAACAAAGAGTGCCAGAACAGAATTCATTTCTAGATGCCTCATTGTGAGTGCCATATATAACCACATCTCTTTTTTTAAAGCCTTACTTCAGTTATGTTTAATGATGAGAAATATATCTTACATAAGATCCTGGACAATTTAAAATTATAAAATTTCATAATATAAAGATGTGTGGCATACGCTCAAAATCACTGTCTTCTTGAAATAAGGCTATGGGATACTGCAGAAGAACATGTCAGGATTCACTGGAAAGTCTCCTAAGAATATATTTGTGCTATGGTGTGGATGCTGGGTCCACAGTTTAATGTGTTCATCTGTCTCTTGTGCTCACTACTTCCTCTCTGTTCCGGGCTGCAGGCCCAACTCCTTATTTTTTGTTCCCTTCAGCCTAACTGTTCTGGTTATGTAATTGTTCCCTTCACCAGGAGACCTCAGAGGTCACTCACTACAGCCTGATATCAAGATGAGGGCATCCCGTGCTAATTAGACAGTGGCAGACGGCAGGCATTGGCCCCTTCTGCGTGATGCCAGCCACGCAGGCTTCTCTCTGCAGCTCAGGGGGCTGGCATTGAGGATTTTAAGAGCAGGAGAAAATAAAATGTGTCCTTGTGGCAGCTACGGAAGGAGCTGCTGGCCTTCTCTGTCCCCCAGGGGAATATCAAAGGGGAAGAATAGGGAGCCCTTTTGCGGTACTTGGAGCTTATCCCAAGGGCGGCTGCAGTATTTGGGGCTGGGGTGAGAGGGGATGTGGGATTCATGGAATTCACTGCCTGTGCTTAGCCTTATCATCTTGTCCAGATACAATCAAAGCATGCCAAAGATTAATAGGTCCTAAGGGACCAGTTTTATACCTTCATTTCCTCCGCAGAGAGAGAGGAAAGGAAATACCCAAGGTCACTCGGTGAATTTCTGGCAGAGTTCCGTCAAGTCCCATTTGCCCAGAGTGTTCAAGGCTCACTCAAATCAGCACCAAATGTAGCAAGTAAAAGGGCCTCAGGAGTAAAGAATCACCTGTTAACACCTGTTAGAATTAGGTTGTCTGTTCCCTTCTACATCACTGAACTTGGCAAATCTCAGGCACATAATACATACACCCATTTCTGCACAGTCTACCAAGTGTTATTTTTCAAAAATTGAGAAGAGGAGCCTGATACACACAAGCTATTCAGAGTCTGTTTATGCCTTTTATGCACCTGTCTTCCTATCCCATCCATCCTTTCTCCTCGCTTCTGACCTCATCTCATCTTCCCAAGACACATTCCTCATGTGCTTTTCTCGTGTCACAACGCTGCCACATTTCTCAAAACTACACTTTGGCCCCTAACAACTCCGACCTCATTAGCTCTAATTTCTTTGTTGTCTAGCCCCCAGGAAACCCTGGAGGGTGTTCATCCTAGATTTACCCACTGAGGAGAGTCAGCAACCATCATCTGGGTGTGGCTGTATTAAATTGGAGTCATTTACAAACGATTTTTCTGATTCAAAGAATCATAAAATAAAATTCGATACTGTAGTGGCCAGGAAATTCAAATTCTAGCCTTATTGACTTAATTGGTAACCTCGAAGTTCGTCTTTCTCTTACCTTGGTCTAATTTTTTTTCATCTCTTAGAGGAAACAGTGAAACTTAAGTTCTGGCATCAGTGTTATATAAGCTTATGAATTGGAAGAGATTATGCAGGTAAAGAAAGAGGCTTTTCTGAATTAATGATGTCTTCCATCAAATCCATCACAAAGAAATTCATTCCCTAGAGAATTATTCAGCTAAGCAAATGCTATGTAACCATAAGAAATGGCATTGATTTTCTTAATGTCACAAGCTGTAAACTAATTTATAAAAAAAAGAAAAACGAACTCTCTTAGCCCACTGGGAGCCCTTTCTCTGGTGATATATTTTCTTCATCTGAACAGAGCATCTCAGATCAAAATATTTTGGGCAACTTCTGAAAAAGCTGAATTCTGCAATCACAAGAATGTTTGAAGTAGAATTTTGTCCTACGCTCTCAATCTCATTTGATGCCTCCTTTATCAACTTTCAAATTTTCCCAGGATTTTCTTCCATTGTTCGTGCATTCTCTATATCTCAAAGGAGGAGAGAGTGTTTGTGTTGTCTGAGATTAACCTGGCCTCTTAACTCTGCATCCCAGTCATTAACTACCCACGCTTCTTTCTAATTCTCCCAATATCTTCCTCTCAATGGATTCCTTTTAAATTCCTCCCTCCCACACTGCAAGAAACTCCAAGTGATCTCCTCCACAGGAGATGAGCCAACTTTCTCCTCTGCTTGTTGACAAACACCTGTAAAAACCTGGCCTTATTCTCCTGAAACAGGGACCTCCTGCCCTGCATCAAATCTGACCCCTTTCACTTTTTACCTGGATTCTGCACTTACCCCTGGCCCATGACCCAGCCTCCAGACCTACTCCAGCTCAGCCCTCTTCTCCATACCACAGCCAGAGTGGAATGTCATTTCCTTAGGTCACTCCCTGCTTAACAGCCCCAGTGTTTCCTCATTGTTTCCAAGAAGCCCACACTTCCTGGCTTCTGTCCTATGACCTGGCACTGTCTAGCCAAGTCTTGTATTGCATTTGCATGTGTGCCTCTGTTAATTCCCACCTTCCTTCCTCTACTTCAGAGGGGAAATGCCTAGGCAAGCTTTATTAGCATTCTTAATGTGGCTTATATAAGCAGAGGTACCCTTAGCCCACCTGTCACCAGCCTGTCTTTCCATGAACCACGTATATCCCAGGCATCCTTAGGAGAGCACAGAAGACTGCACCAAACCTCTCCAGGCTGGCTCTCTCCACCTCCAACCTACATATCAGAAATACCAGGCTTGCTGATGGTATCTGTGTTTTTAATTCTTTCTCATTTTTTACTTAATGTTTACTCTGTCTACAATTACTCTCTTGAATGTTAATTTTACTAGTAACAGTGATAACAAAACTATAATTAATATTTCTATTGTATAATTTTATATCACATTTATACATTATATTTTTAAATTAATTTTTTATTTGAGATAATTCTAGATTCACATGCAATTATAAGAAGTAATACAGAGAGCTCTCATGAACCTGTACCCAGTTTTCCCAGTGGTAACATGTTACAAAACTATAGTGCAATAACCCAACTAGAACACTGACACTGATGAAAGCAAGATACAGAACATTTCCATCACCACAAGGATCCCTCCTGTTGCCCTGGATAGCTACATTCGCATCCGACCCAACCCACCCCTCCTCAACCCCGGCCAATGAATATGTTCTCCATTTCTAAAATTTTGTCATTTCAGGAATCTTCTATACATGGAATCATACAGTATATAATCTTTTGAGATTGGCTTTTTCAATTTGTTTTCCACATTTTTATTATTAGTATAGGTAAATGTGATTTTTTTTTAATGTGTTGATCTTGTGTCCTGTGACTTGATGAAATCATGTATTAGTTCTGGAAACTGGAAGAGGGGGTTGTTTGGTGGTTGTTGTTGTTGTTTTTCAATTTTTGTAGATTCCTTGAGATTTTCTTCAGAGAAAATCATATCATCTGCAAATAAAATAGCTTTTTGTTTTGTTTTGTTTTTCCAATTTGTTAGGCTTTTATTTATTTTTCTTGCCTTATTGCAGTGGCTGGAAATTCCAGTACTTGGATACAAATGATGGAAATGTACATCCTTGCCTTGTTCCTGCTCTTAGGGGTAAAGCATTCAGTCTTTCATCATTCATGTAATGTGTTGCCTCCTTGGAACCACCATATAATCTGTCTGGAACTCAGTTTTCTAATCAGCAAACCACAAAGACTAGATTTGGTCCATCAGTGAGTTACAAAGTAAAGTCTCTAGGAGATAATCCTGGGTCCATGTTTTTCTGTTTTATGCTATTGGTATTTTGATAACATTTAGTATGAAAAGGAATGCTACCCTTTAAAAAAATATTTCAATATTACTAAAAGAGAAGACTTCATGGTTTTTCTGATTCTAAAGTCCCCTGATTCTGTGGTCCCTTTGCAACCTTGATCATCATGGTGATGCTTCAGTTTGTATACTCTCTATGAGGCACTTTTGCTTCATTCTTTCATTTAATTTTACCTATAATCTTAAGTGTGATGGGTGGTACTGCATTATTGTGCACTGGAAGCAATTAAATTTAAAGACATTAAGTGATTTGTTCAAGGTCACACAGAAAACAAAGAGAAATTGCTCTTCATTTCGCAATGCTCGTGAGACCAGAAATATACACAATTAACATAGATTTAGTATATCTGCTCCTATGCAGGCCTGTCAATTTACAAACTTTGGCTGGGCGCATACTTTGTGCCAAACACAGTACAAGAGAATATCCAGCTTAAGGGGGAAGAAAATGGAAATTTAAGGCACTGAACTCCTTGAAGACAGAAAACATTTCTGACCCATCTCTGGATCCTAGCACAGTGTCTAGAACACACAAGCACTCCATAGACAGTGAATAAATCAATGATTTGCTAATGCGTGTGCTATGTGACACATAAATGGCTCAAATACGCATTCTGGGGCTCTCTGGAGGAACAAGCATTGAACTGAAATTTCAGAGCTGATAGGATGCATCTCAGAGGAAGCTCTAAGAGAGCATCATTTGGTGAGAGGAAGGCTGACATAGGAGAAAGGTCAGATTTGAGTTTGAGCCCCAGTTTATCGAGGTCTATATCTCTTCACTGTGGGACAGTTACTTAATCTCACTAAACCTCAGCTTCTTAATTTATACAATAGGAAAGAAATATTCACCTCAAGGGTTATTAAAAATATTTGTGCTCATATAAAGAAGTAACAGACAGCTTAGCTTGTAATAGATGCTCAGTAAAAGGTATCTCTGGCCAGGCACAGTGGCTTATGCCTATAATCTCAGCACTTTGGGAGCCCAAGGCAGGTGGATCACTTGAGCCCAGGAGTTCAAGACCAGCCTGGGCAACATAGCAAGACCCTTCTCTGCAACAAATACAATAAAATAAATTAGCCAACATAGTGGTGTGTACCCGTGGTCCCAGCTACTTGGGAGGCTCTGGTGGGAGAATCATTTGAGACCTGGAGTTTGAGGCTGCAGTGAGCTATGATCACACTACTGCACTCCAGCCAGGATGATACAGTAAGAACCTGTCTCAGTTTTTTTTAAAAAAAGACACCTAAAAAGGTTGACTCAGGAGCTGTCTTTATAAAACTGAAGGATTCATTAAAAAAAATAGGAGTGGCTTTAAGAAGATGTATGTTTAGTTTTATTTAAGCATCCGTTTCTGGTCTCATTCAGAAATGTCCCCAGTAGAGTTTTCCATTCACAGGGAGTCAGGTTTAGTATTACCTACATTTCTCTAAGTAATTCCTGCTCAAGGAACCTCGGCCATTAATCAGGCATACGTGGATAAGCCTTGCTGTTCACTGCTTTCAGGCCAAATCTGGTTTGAAATATTTAAATTAAAGCATCTTCTTTCAACAAAAAGTCTTGTCAGTTGGCTACATGAGATTAAAATACCTTTATGAAAATTGTAAGTTGTCAGCTCCAGGAGGACTAGAGATAAAGCAAGCTCTCAACACGGCTGCAGTCCATTTGGGTTTCAATTGACTTGTTTTCTTCTGAGCTTTGATTTAAAATCTGTGCCCTGTCTGAATCATCGACCACTACTCCAGAGGGGATTCTAGACACAATGAAAGATGAAGAAGGGAAAATTCAAGAAGATCTCAAAGTAAGATGCCCAATATTGCAGCTCTTTCCCGCCTGAATTTGTCTGTTTGGAATGTGCAGTGGCTTCACCCACATTTGTGGACCCCAAAGTAACAGATGATTGGACATAATCACCAGACTGTGAATTAGGAACCCTGTGTGAGCCTGGGCAGCGACCTTTCCTTCAAGGGGTCACAGCCCCCTGCAAGAGGAGGCTGCACAAGTGAATCTCTCAAATTGCTTGAAGATCTACATTTCTCTGAACTTCGAACTACCATGAGAGCTTCATTTTTCTCTTCCCTCCCAGCAAATGTGGCCAGGCATTGGGCATTGAGTCACGTATAGTTTCACAGAAACCTTTGTCTATCCTAATATTCTGAGATAAAAAGAAGAAAATGAGAATTGAATTCCCTGGTCATTAAAATTCCTTCCTAGACAACTGAGTTCATATGCACTTGAACGAATTATCCAAGAATCAGTGTTAGTGCTTAATTGGAAGACAGAGAAAACCACAGAGTCTGACAAGAGAAGGCAGATAAAATAGAAATGTCTCCAGGCACTGAAAAGTTTGACAGGCAGAAGAGTTTGTGATTTGAAAGACAGCTAATGCTGTACGTGAGTCAGCATCAGATAACTAAAAAAAGTTAAATAATTAAGCTTATATAATAGCTATCTGATTGTATATCTAGACTTGGATTTAATTAACATTTCTAACCTCTCTTTGTCAGCAACTATATATTATTAAATTTAAAAGTGAAGAACTCTAATTATTTTTTTAAATTATTCATTCTACAGCATATCAATGAACTTATTTCCAAATTTAGCAAACTATTATCATTCCAATTCCCGCAGCCCCTGCAACACATAAAACTTACAATTAGTTTTCTAAAAGAAAAGAAATTTGATGATGTGGTTCCCCATCACCATTTTCTACAGGTAAAATTGAAATGTAAATTATATCATTAATTTAATTCATCAGAATATTTACTGTATGACAGGCCCTTTTCTAGGCATGGGGTTGGGAGTGTGAGGGAGATATTGCAAATTTTAACCAGACTGACTTGTCACCTTTGAGGAGCCCCCAGGCAATAGGAAAGACAGGTCATTAAACACCATTGAAGGTGAAGGAAGTATGAGATCTGCAAACAGGACAGAATAAGGCTCGCAGGGTCTGGCAGAACAACTGGGGAGGAAGATAGGAAGAATCTCAGGGATTGAATCAGGGCCGAGTAGAAGGTGTCCACACAACATCATAGAAGAATTATGAAGGTACGTTGCTGCAAAGTTGATCACAAATCATGCCTTAGTACATAATTTTAATTTACAAACTACTTTAGAAAAAGTGGATGTCTACTCAACATTTTCAGAGGGCAAATAAGATACAAACCTAGATTGCAGAGCATTAGATGGTAACGTCTAAGTGCTGTAGGCATGATGTGGGGGAAGAAGGGGAGAGCACTGACCTGGATCTAGAACTTGAGGGATGGACAAAATTGAAAAGTGAGGAAGAATTTGGCGGAAAGGTGCTAAATGTTGAATGTTGCTGGTGCTGAGAGTATAAGAAGGCATAAGTTACAGCCTGAGGGTGAAAGACTTTGAATGTTAAGCCAATCAATTAAGATTTTATTTGTGGAATTTCTACAAATCTACAACAACCATATACCCAATAAACGAGTATACTCAAATTTTGTTAAAAAATGGTGTTTCTATTCTACTTATCGTACTCCAATGAACCAATAAGGTGACCTTCAAATTTGATGTTCTCTGTTCATTCCAGGTATACATACATCTTCAATTTCTCCTGTTTTCTCAGTGTACTTAGTAATCATACCCTCTTACCCTCTCAAAAGTATCTTGGATGATAAATTATTTGGACACCCTAGTTATACCTTCAACCACCTCTCCTGTCATCTGAAAGATGTGACCACATTCTCTGGGGGCTCTGGCCTATGGAAGTTTGGGCTCCCTGGCTTTGTTTACACTTTGCTTTCCTCCAGGTTAGCCTCTAGTTTATTTTGATACTGGCCCCCATACTTTCTCTCTTTTGGATTTGATGTTTGCATATATGGCTTTACTCTTTTGGCCTTAACCTCAGTTGCTTTGGAAAAGGCCCCATTTATAGCCAAACCTTGCTCAGCAGGAGTGGCACCCCAGTCCTAGCTTTGCATCTGTATTAAATGCCTCAACAGGCAGGCCACGCACCAGGAAGCTAGTAGCACAAATGGGAATATTTCTAAAAACAATTGGATTTTTGGTAGTTTTTACAGAGCATTCACACAGTCAATTTAGTTGAAATTGCTTTTTATTTTGCAGCTGAGTTTTTGGTTTTTGTTTTTATTTCAGATGAAAACATGAAAATCATTGCGATGGATAGGGCCTCTCTCCATTGTAAAATCTTCCTTTTAACCTGCTTGGACCCCATCCTCCCACTCCTGATTCAGTAGGTCTGGGGTGGGCCCGGGACTGACCCTAACCCTCAGTATGAAATGGGTGAAACAAAAAGATATATCGATGAGGCCAAAAGAGTAAGAGGTCATCTAGGGATGGGTTTGATCTTGGAGGGTGTTATTAAATTTGAACAAGGCCAGGGGAGTAGGATTTAATTGAGTCTAATTAAGGGTGGGTGTTGTAGATGGGGAATAGAATGAAAGCACCACCTGCTCTGGGAATAAGGACTTCTCTAGAAAGAAACTACATATCCTCACTGGTCGCATGTTCTCTAATTCTACAAGATTGGGATATAATTCTGTTCCTCTACCCATCCTGTCCTGGCCATGAAACAACACTTGGCCTTATATCTTCTCCTATTCTGTGGACTTTCTAAGAGGACTTGGACTACCACCAGAAGTACTCAATAATACCAGCACAATCTGTGCCCTTTTACTTGATTTCAACTCTTTCCATATGTACTAAATACCAAGGAAGATGAAGAAAAGGAGGTATTGTCATTTACCATATGCCAATAGCTTTACGTCTTCATTCTAGGTGCTTTACATAAATAATAACCTTTGATTATCATAAAGATCAACACTAGCAGGTGATGTCAATTATCTCTTATTTTAAATGAGAAAACTGAGGCTCAAAGTGTTTTTGAGAAATCGCTTAAAGAACTACTAGTAAAAGTGGGAATCAAATGCCAGTTCATTCTAGTGCAACACACTGACTCATAGAGCTGCCTCTGGAAGATTCTATTAGAAACAAAAAAGTTCAATAACCTTTGGTTCCTGCACTCCCAACAGATTACAATCTAGCAGGGAAGCAAGTGCACATAAATCTATCCTGAACAGTAGCAACGTACCCAGAAAACATACTGCATAACCCTTCAGGATTCAGCTCAAACATCCCATTGCCTAAGAATCATTCCACAAATATTTCCGTCACAAGTATTGCTCTCTAGTTTCCACAGCATGAGTGTGTGTGTGTGTGTGTGTGTGTGTGTGTGTGTGTGTGTGTATGTGAATATGTAAGTGTGTGAGAGGGATTTTATATATATATATATATATATATATATATATATATATATATATATAAAGCACTTACCTGCTTTTATAAGTTGAAATTACTTGCTTATTTTTCTGTCTTCTCAACTGAGCATGAATTTTTTGGAAGGAGACAGGAGGAAGATGTGTGTTAGGAGGTGGTAATTAATCACTATGTCCCCAGTACAAAGCACAGTATACAGTACATAATTAACAAAACAAATGTCTAGTGAATAAATATATGAAACCGAGAGAGAGAGAGAGAGAGAAATCAACTGACCTACTGTATTTGTGAATTATGATGTGTCCTATGTTAAACCATCCTATACTCTAATTAGACCCCCTATTTTGACATTTTAATGTACTACTAGAAAATTATATGAAATATAACATTATCATGCTAAGTTCTCATTCACTATATTTTTATTCAAGGAATAGTCATTGAATGTCTTAGAAACCACTTCCCACCTCAGGTGTTAGGAGTATAAATGCAAATACAATGAGAGTCGTGTCCTCAAGGGACTCGCAGCTGGTTTAATGACTTTATGAAGATGCATGGCACAGTTCTGTCCCAATGGTAATCCTGTTTATGGGGTCTGTGGGCTCCATTTCTTAACTAGCTTGTGGCAGTTATCACTTTGCCAGGCACATAGAGGGTGTGCAGAGAATTCTTGCCAATGGGGAGGGCTGCACACCGCTCGGCTGTGGGGTTGCGTCAGTGACGGAACAGGAAAAGGGAAGGGGAATCACCCTATTTTCTGGAACATAACCCACCAGGAGGACTTTGCTGAGTGTATATTTGGGTGCAGAATCTTTAGCAAAATAATATGGAATGATACATTTCATATGCTATAACCAGGTTCTCTCTGAATGAAACAACGCCCCCTGACACCCTCTCACTGTTTCCCTAAGGATTTTCCTGGTGTGTGGGTTGGAGTATAACACAATTTGGGAGCCCTTCCAGATTTTCCATCTCAGCAAGCATGTATATGTACTCACGAACACTAGCAAGAAAAAGACAAAAAAAAAAAAAACTCCACACTTTTTAAAGGAAAAAATGAGAGCTCTTATTTTTCTTTGTTCTCAGGAACCCAATTCTGGGTAAAGCAAATTTGCTGTGAATATGGAAGCAGCATAATCAGTGCCTTGGACATTGGCTCATGTGACTGTAACTGAGGGGTGGGCCTCTGCCCTGCTATGAGGGGAAAGCCTTCCTTCTGGTGCCACTGGGTTACAGGAAAAATATGCTTGAGGTCCAAGGGGAGCATGTATCCAGGCACAGATGGTACGTGACGTGGCAGATCTTGGCTGGAGAAACTCCAGCCAGTTTTAGTTCTGCTGGTGGGGACTCCAGGAAAATCCAAGCTCCTACTTTGCCAATCCAGGAGGTATCATCACAGCCTTTGCTTCTGAATTAAGCCATGAAGCTTCCTGGAATGGGAAATACCTCATCAAGAGAATATCGACCTAAAAGCAAGGCAACCAGTCTCCTCCAAAAAATAAAAATTTTAAACAATAAAGCCCAGGGAGTTGATATTTTCCCATTCTTTACCCTCTGAAGTGGTAGAAAAGACAACTGGTTTACAACCATCTTTGCTTTCCATGTCTGATGCTGCAGCTGCTGCCATGGAAGCTGAAATGTAAAAGATAATAATTCCCTACTAAACCTACAAAAGCCTTTCACAAGCTTCCTTCTGCTTCAGTATTCTCTCAAAGCATCTCAAAAGAGAGCAACTTCAACAAGATTTTTTTGAAACAGAAAAACAGCCAGGTACCCCAACAGGGGAAGGGGCCTGGAGGTGCAATCCTGACATCTGAGTCCAGGTTTTGCTACTAACCAGCAAATCACTTTACATCTGTGAGCTTCACTGCTCTCATCCATTAAATGGGATGACAATCTTACAGCATTGCTGTGAGATGCTGTTCATCTTTATCACCTTTGAAGTTTAATGAAAGTGCTAGCTATTATTAATGATGCTGAAACAACCACTACTCGTTTAAATGTCATCTCCTTTTCATTTCAGGGATTCTTTTCCCTGCTGCATCTGCCTGCTTATCAGAGGCTCCTGGGATTCTGAGAGTGATCTTCTACAGGAAGCCGTTGAGAAGGGCATTGGGTCTTTTGTTACCAGGCACAATGAAGGCAAGTTGTTTTTGAGATTTTAGCTTCGAAAATGTGGTCAAAAAGTGCTCAGTTTGGGGCCAATTCAGGAGCTTCGTTTTTGGTTTCTCATTTGGGGAAGCTCCTTGAGGGTGGAGGTGCCGTCTGTTTTGATCATGGCTCCATTTGCCTGCTGATGCTCAGGAAACGTCGGGTGGTGAATAAATGTAGGGCACTGGGGAGCCTGGAAGAAATTCAAGGCATCTCTTCCTGTATCCATGAGTTTATTATTGAATCCACTTTAAACAAGACCAGTCTCTATTTAGGCTCTCTTTCTATAATGAATATTTCCTCAAGAATAGCTTATTTTCACATAAAGTTTCCACCTGCCCTCTTTTCAATTAGAGCTGTGGAAAAACTGAAACACAACACAGCAACAACAAAACCCCGAGTGGTGAAAAATGCCGACTAAGGCCCTGCCACATGACCAGGGTTGAAGTCCTGGAGCTGCTATCAGTTGGATGACCTTGGACAAGTTAATGCACCTCCCTGAGACTTAGTTTCCTTATCTATAAAATAGAAATAATATGAGTACCTGCCATTTGGAGAACATTTGAAGGTCAAAATGTGAAACTTAATATCAAGTTCTTTAAATAGTGTCTGGCATGTGACTAAGGATCTACAAATTATTATCATGAGGGCAATGTCTAGACTTTTAAGACAAGCTGCCTCTGTCTCCAGGCTGTGGGAACACTGCATTTCAGGGCCTTTGGAAGTCTTGGAACTCCAGGAACAGATCCCAAGCCAGGCTAATCTGCTTCTGTTGGGAACAGGGACGGCCCACAGTGGATGCTGCTGGTGGAAATAGGCTCCTGACCCAAATCTACCCCAAGCCATCTTCAACTCCCTTGTAGATGTCCCTGGAGAACTTCTCAATTAGCATGTCCAAGTTTGACCCAAGTACTGTCAGAGTTCCTATCTTGGTCAGCAATGATATCATCCCTATTGTTCACCCCTGTCGGAAGCATGAGCCCCTTTCTAGCCTCCTCCCTCTCGCTCCGAGCCAGGAGGTCATCAAGACCTCCTGAATCCATCTCCTTGCCACATCGAGAAGCCTAGAAGCCAACCCCTCCTCCTATGTTCCTCTGTTGAGCAGGCTTTCTCGTCCCTCACACTGTGAGCTGGTCTCCTTATCTTTAGTCTCACAATCTGGTGCTATTAGAAAGTCAGTCCTTCCTCCTGCTCACAGCTATGGAATTAGTCATCTTAAGTAACAGATACGACCCCGCCCACTCTTCTCAAAGTCCTCATGTGGCCCTTCCTGGTCCAGGATAAAGGGCACAGCCCTCATTGTTGTGTGTGGGTCCCAGGAGCTCTGGCCCTGCTCTGCTAGCCTTCCAGCCTCTTTCCCACCACACCCCTCCCACCCTCTGCTCTGCCAGCAGAGGACACCCCTGTACCTGTCACTAAGCATACCGGCTCCCCTTCATGGAACGCCATACCTGATCAACTTTCCCTCCTTTACTTAGGCTCATTTGATTGTCACTTCCTCTGAGCCTCTTCTGCAGGCCTGAGGTCCTGACCCTCTCCTTCTCACCCTGGTATTTGGGATGATCACTCTTCGTTCTCATACTGCTCTGAGCTAGAGACCTTATTGCACGGCATGGTCATTGTGGACTCGCTTTTCCTCTCCCCAGCTGCACTGTGACTCATATAGTAATTGCCAGGATAATCTCTCGTTTATCAAAAGCCATGGTATCCAGGGCAGAGCTTGGAACAAAGCACGTAATCACAAAAGGCTTAATAAATGGATGAAAATCACTAATTAATCAAGTGTCAGGTATGGCTCTTTCCTCCAAGAAATCAATATGAAACAATTAGAGAACATGTAAAATCGTCTGCCTAGCATGCTATGAACGCAGCAGCTACGTGGGCCACTCTCTAAGTCACCTTCTAAGTGAGGCTTTCGCTAATCATCTTACTTAACATGCCCTCCCCCTGCACCCCTCATTCCCCCTTTCTGTTTTCTTTCTTTCCAAAGCCCTTATCATCATGTAATGTAGTGTGCATTGTACTCCTTATTTTCTTATTTCTTTCTTTATCCCTCTAACTAGAATGTAAGCCTTATAAAGACAGGAATTTTGCCTGTTGTGTTCATTGTTGTACCTAGAATGGTACCTGACACACTGTAGGTGCTCAATAATGCTATATGAAGGAAAAAAAGAAAGAAAGAGAGAGAGAGAGAGAGAGAGAGAAATAGAAAGATAAAGAAAGAGAGTGAGAGAAAGAAAGCAAAAGAGAGAAAGAGAAAGAAAGGAAGAAAGACACTAATGAACTATTTGTGTTGTGGCTGACAGGTTTGTTAGAAAAGGGAGCAATTGTTTTAACCTAAAGGCTCCTGACTCTTTTGAAGTTCAAGGTCCATTAATCCAATTTTAATTGTTTATATTTATCAAAAAGAACACCTTTGTTGGTGAAATTATCTACTTATATTAGTTTCAGGATAAGCTGATAGACGGGTCAAATGCTATTCATATAAAATTAAAATATCAAACCAAGTTGTTCCGGAGACAGGTAATAATAACAAGAAGAATCAATAACATGGCCAAATATTGTATAGCTTTTACCTTGTCCTAGGCACTGTTCCAAGTCTATATGAACCTATGTGAACTGATTTAGTCATCACTCGAATCCTATGAATCAGTATTATCACTATCTCCATTTAACAGAGAAAAACACTGAGGTGCAGAGATGTTAAGTAATTCACTGCATGTCACAGAGTTGCAATGGGTGTAATCAATGATTCAAGCTAGATTCGAGAAAATACAATAGTTGAGACAAAAAACTTAGATTCAAGTCTTGCTTCTTAACAGTTGAGTCTCTTGGGCAAGCAACTTTATCTTCCAAAGATCAGTAACCTCAAGTACAAAATGATGATGGTTGTATGCATTCCCACGATTGTTGAAAGACTGAAGAACAATTATATAGGAAAGTGCTATCAAAATGTGAGTTAATATTACTCAGTGGATTTTTCTCATTATTGCTTCCCTTCCATTCCAAGAAATAGACACTACTGTCATTTGCCATTAATTAAGGAGGCCCTGGGTGTGTTTTCCAAGAATTGTTATGAGTTGTCTGTCATGCTCCAAAGTAGTCTGTGGCTCAAGAGTGAAAAAACCTTTTTTTCTGAAAGGTAGAGGTCATCTTCTCAGGCCACAACCAGGGCAAATGCTCCCAGATCCCTTCATTATAACAGGGAAAGAGTATGACAGTTGACATCAAAAGGCATGGATTTGTAGAACACCTCTGCCACTTAATGCAGATCTTCTTTCAGTGCTCAAGCGGGTCCTGCTGCAGGGCCTTTGCACTTGCTAGTCCCTTTACTCAAAATGGACTAAATTAACTCCAACTTTGCATGCCACTTCCCCAGAGAGGCTTTCCCTGGCCTCCAGTACTCACCAGGCCACTTGACTCCATGTTTGCAGTTACCTTGTGCACCTCTGCAATCCCAGCGACAGCTGTTACAAAATCACTTGCAGCCAATGGCTGTCTTTCCCAGTGCAATGTAAATTTGATGAGGTCAAGGGCAACCTCTGACTTTGCCAGCATCATAACCCAGTGCCCATTGTAACTACAACATCTTGAATGTAACAGGTGCTTATTAAATATTTTGACCGTAAGAGAGCACCAATTAGGTCCCCTTGAGAATGTCTAGAGCCCTCTGAAGCTTGGTTTCCATATATTTACTTCCTATTTGAATTATTATGGTGAGCACGTGGAATCTGCAAGCTCTTTAGTCATATAACGTTAACATCACAGCTAGGGAATAAGATGCCACAGCTTCTATACAAAGCATTTTAGAAGGTGAGACATGCATTCAAAGATACAAACAAATAGGCATGCATATCAAGGGCTGAATTAATTTGGAGTAAAAAAAATAAAGCCAGGAGAAAAAAGAAGACATATGCTAATGTTGAGGGCCCAAGAACTTCCAAGATGTATATAAAAATATCTTTGGAATTGTTGGAGGCCTTTCAGTATGAATCGGGTTACACTGGAGTTATAGTTGGAATTTGCCTATCCACTAAGTGGTGTTTCACATTGACCACGGAGATGAATTCTAGCTTACTGTAAATAGAATGAAGATATCTTTCTTGTTAAATTATTTATTGCACATTACATCTGGCCCCAAGCAATGACATTTTTAGGTTCCACAAAGGTAGCTGTGGATAGTCTATTGTCATTACATAAAGGAAACTCTGAGGGTTTATGTTATAAAATATAAACTATGTGATCATTAATCACCAAATAGCACAGGGGGTTACTCCATTGTGGCAGTGTGGGAGACTAGAAATAGATTGCTGTATCTTCTCTCAAACACCTGCCCAGATTTTTCATAAAGATCCACCAATCAATTTTTTTCAATTCTGTAGAATATGTGAAAAGCAAACTCTCCTCTCCTCTGCTTGTGAATCAGATTTTGCTTCCCAGTGCCTACAGAGAGAGAGACTCAGGCTCTAGAGGATCCCTCTAACTGGAGTGGAAATACAGCCTAGGCCCCTGATAGCTTCAAGTCATAAAAAATAGATTAGGAAAGCCTTTTGCATTGCCTCCCTCTAACCGCAATGGGGTTGGGATTGAGGGAGATACTAAATAGAGACACTCCTCATATACCTCTTTTTGTATAGATATAGATTTGTGATTTTTTTTATTTGAGAAGCCACCCTTTACCCCCAAATTTTTATTCATTTTCTTGCTTCTGTTTCCTTTGATCTTTTTCAATTTTTAGTTAAATGGTACGTTCATTCATGTAGTGATATATTAGGCAAACATTTATTAATCCCTATTATGAGCAAGGCACTGTACTAAATTTCCTGCACACGCAGGTGACCCTATCGGCCTTCCTTCAGTGTCCCCAGTTCCCCCACTCAGCCTGGGCACCGTACACACAGCCCCTGATCCTGAAAGCTTCCCCCCTTCCACTCTCCAGTGCCGTCATCCTTCAGATCTTAGCTCAGATGTTACTTGCTCAGGGAATCCATCTGGAACCTCAGGCTGGCTCCAGTCGCACTGGTACCTCACCTTCGACACCACAGTCTGAGCTCCCATTCTCTCTCTGCATAATTCCTCTTCAGAACCTTGCGGACATCCCACGAGAGCTGAGTCAAATCTGTCTGTCCTGCTAAGCTACGGGCTCCCAGTGGGCAAGTTCTAGGCTTGTCTTATTCATCATTATAAACCCTGTGCTTAGCATGATACCCAGCACGTGTACTTATAGATGAATGTATTTGCAGGATGAATGACCTGTTTACAAATAACCACAAAATTGACAGTGGCTTCTGTGGCCAAAGCTTGTTCCTCACTCACCACACAGGTGTATGACTCCCTTGGGCAGCACTCCACAAAGTAGCTGTCCTCTAGGTGGTTGCCAAGGGACCTCTGCTGTTTCTATTATGTGCCTGCACCATTCCCACCATTTTCTGGCAGGAGCTGAGCTACTGTCATCAGCTGGCAGATGGAGAGCAGAGTGTGTTGGGAGGTCACCTCATCTGGAAGGGATGCATGTCATGCCATTCTCATCCAGGGTCCTTAGGCCAGGTTATTCGCACAACTAGCCCAGGGCAAGGACGGCTGGTCAATGGAGGGAGCTCCTTGTTATTAGTGAGCCTGGCTGGGCTCTGCCACAGGCACTGACAAGAGTGGTGAAGACCGTGACAGATAAAAGCATGGAGGTGTGCACAGAAGTTAAGCAAACGGCATAAATGGTGGCTCAGAGAGGGGACAACAAAAATTACATAGCTAAGGGTTTAAGAGGAGTGTATTAGTCCGTTTTCATGCTGCTGATAAAGACATATTTGAGACTGGGAAATTTACAAAAGAAAGAGGTTTAATTGGACTCACAGCTCCATATGGCTGAGGAGGCCTCACAATCATGGCAGAACACAAGGAGAAGCAAGTCACATCTTACATGGATGGCAGCAGGCAAAGAGAGAGCTTGAGCAGGGAAACTCCCCCTTATATTACCATCAGATCTCATGAGACTTATTCACTATCATGAGAACAGCATGAGAAAGACTTGCACCCATGATTCAGTTACCTCCCACTGGGTCCCTCTCACAACATGTGGAAATTCAAGATGAGATTTGGGTGGGGACACAGCAAAACCATATCAAGGAGCCATAAGAAATACCAGGGATACCTTTAAAGACGTTTGGTGTCTAAGGGACTATAATCTGGAGGAAAGAATGAACAAATCATTGAATAGGCAGATGAATGGATGAATGGCTGGGGAGCTTGGACGTTCCTTTAGAGGTTTGCAAGTTTGACTCGCCCTCTGGTCATCTCAGCATCCTGTTCTCCCTCCACACAGTCAATGAAGCAGCCACATTAGGAACCGCAGTGAAGAGAGAGCCCTGGGCACCAGCGGGGAGAGGTCAGCCCACTCCACTGAGCATCCTGTCCCTCTGGAGATGTTCTTTGAGACACTTCCCATGTTGCATTCCTTCACTTGTGGATTTAGACTCTCACCTTCCAGCCTGACAATAGGGACAGATGTGGGAAAAGAAATACATGTTCTCCCCAGTTGTAGAGCAAATGGCTTCTCAAAATGTGTGTATGGGCAGCACAATGGAATTTAAACTCCAAAGGGAAGTTGAAGCTCATAGAGACCAGCCCTTTCACAGGGGTGATGAAGACACAGAAGCCCCAAGAGGGCCCTGCCACCTGCTGGGAAGAGTAGAACCACCACTCGGTCTCTCACCAGCTGAAATGGATTCTAGGGAATCATACCTAGCCCTGTGAGAATGATCTAGGATGTGAGAAGATGCCACATGCTAGGGCAGATAAGGAAGGCTACATTTCACCAATGAAGGAAGCCGGATTAGAGATGCCAGGGTATTGGGCAAGGTGTAGGGGGTTTGCTGAAATTTTCTTTCTTTTTTTTTTTTTCTTTTGAGTCTTGCTCTGTCGCCAGGCTAGACCGCAATGGCGAGAGCTCAGCTCACTGCAACCTCCGCCTCCCGAGTTCAAGCTATTCTCCTGCCTCAGCCTCCCGAGTAGCTGGGACTACAGGCATGCACCACCACGCCCAGCTAATTTTTGTATTTTTAGTAGAGATGGGGTTTCACCATGTTGGCCAGGATGGTCTCAATCTCTTGTCCTCGTGATCCACCCACCTCGGCCTCCCAAAGTGCTGGGATTACAGGTGTGAGCCATCACACCTGGCAGAGCTGCAATTTTAATGGAGGTGTCAGAGGAGGCCTCAGGGCTTGCAGGTCATGAGGGGTTCACCATATGGGCAGTGGGGCAGAGTCTCTAGACAGTAAATGGGAAGGCCCAAAGGCAGGGGTGAGCCACATTGGGGAAGAGTAAACAAGACACAAAGGGAAGAGTCAAAATGGAAAAAACTGGACCACACAGAGCTTTGAAGGCTTCTGGAATGAGTTTAGTGTTCATCCCAGGTGGAACGCGTGCCATGGTGAGGCTGGGAGCAAGATGCGGCATGGAGATCCCAACTTGCGGTGTGAAAAGATCACTCTGGCTGGTATGTTGAGAGACACAGTGGGAGCTGAGAGTCAAAGCAGGGAGGCCCTTAGGAGGCTGCTTCAGTAATCCAGGCAGGAATCATGTATTAAAAAAAAGGAAAAATCAAAACTTACATTGCTCCAGGCACATGCCTCATGGACTGCAATAACAATGGGTTCTTCCCATAAAAACTGTGCAGAGTTGATATTTGAAAACCCCATTCCATTATTCTGATGGGAAAATGGAATTTGGGAATTAAGACCTTCCCCAGTGTCTCATACTGGAGCTCAGCTTCAAATCCTGACTCCGCAGCCTTGAGCACCTGCTGCACGCAGCACCCTGCAAGGCATGGAGGAGACTCCACCCTCCGGAGCTCCAGGCTAGCAGCTGATGAGATGGGGAGGGCCACATATGCAAAAGTCAAAGGACAAGAAGATGGGAGAAGCCAACCCTTCTGTGTCTAATGCATGCTCTGCTCCCTCAGAGCTTTTCCCCAGCCAATATACTTCTCAGGGAGGGACCCATAAGACACGAGGCAGGGCCTGGGAGTAATTTAAGGAAGGCATGGAGGAAAACCGGAAGAGTCAGAAGAAAATAACAACAACAGAAACACATCACACAGACTCCAGACTCCAGGGTGTAGAGAAAAAGACAGGAAGGGAGGAATGTAGGACAGAAGGGAGGAAGAACTGGAGTGGGGAAGAGGGGAAGGGAGGGAAGGAAGGAGAAAGGGAGAGAAGGAAGTCAATGCTCCAGTTCAGGGTCGTGTCTCTATTTCTCTGCCTGGAACACTTGCCTCTCTCCTCCTCTCTCTCCCTTCATCAATCTTTATCAGAGATGGGGTTATACAGTTTCACACCTTCTTCCTTGGAAAGTAAGTCCATAAAAAGCGAATGAGCTGTGCAGATCCTGGCCTTCCTCTGCTCTGGTCTGCATTTCACTGGGTTGATGATGCACCCTGCAGTTCCCAGACTCCCCTCTCAGCTGGCTTTGGGCTTCAGTTGGCCATAGTGTCTTGGAGGAGAGCTAGGAAAGGGCAAGAAAGAAAAAGTCTGGGTTGTTTTCCTTTTCCCTCTTCCCTTCAGCCTTTCCAACCCCTGCCCCTTGACCTGGAAAGCACAGCCTTGTCCCTTTGCTGTTCAGTTTGGGATGGACCTGGCTCCCTATTTTTTTTTTTTTGTGCTAATCTCTGAGTTGCTTTGTCCTACTCTGTTTGGTTTTTCTGATCTTCTATCACCACTGAAGCTAATTCATTGGATTAAATTCCTCCTGTTCTAAATACTTAAAGAGGCTCCTGATTTTCTTGAATGACACACAAGCATAATTTTAAACAATAGAAATCCATGCATTATAAAACTAAAAAGAGTACAAAGAAGGATTCCATTTTTAAAACACCTCCCTTTAAAAATGGGTTCCACTTCAGATGGATAATTTAACAATAAGAACTTTTGTTTGAATAGAAGTCAAAGTGTTTACAGGCATAAAAGTATTTCTGAAAGAATAATCATCGGTTTCTTTAACAGTACTATAATGAATTAAGACACAGTACTATCCACAAGTTCATCAATATTTAATTTTCTTCTAAAAACCACATTAGGATTAACATTACAAAGAAAACAGGTTTTTGTTGCAAGGAAAAATGTATCTCTGTGATATGATTGTTTCATGTGATACGTCTGTTAGCATAACGCAGTGGAAGGGAGGTTATTTATATGAACAAAATCTCTTTTTCTGAATTTCTGCCCCTTGTTACTTTTACAAACGAAGCATCACTTGATCAGCAGGAAGACACAGTACACAAAGCTTTGCCACAGCAGGATATGTTCCCTAATGTTTGGCTAATCTTTGGGTGTTCTCAAAGAAAGTAATGGAAGAATTTTAATAGCAGGGGTTATATGAACTTCTTCTTGAATTACCTGGGTCAGCTAAACACTTTGCAAGATGTTATGGCACAAGACCCATATAAGTATGTCCAGAATCTCTACACTGCCATATTCAGAACCAATTTGTAGCTCTTTTCTAAGTGCTAAGCTTTAATAGATAACGCTGTTAATAATTAATCCTTTTCTTAAAGTGCTTTGATTTTTCTGATTCATATTCCGCTAAGTATTTTTTTGGCAACTGAAAGCTTACTGAGCCAAGGCACAATTACAATGGTGAAGGAACCATATATTCCAGTCCCCATGAGATGCTAATGAAGGAGGCTAGGCAGGTGTGCCGACTTCAGCCTGCAAAAGAAGCTTGGCATTATTCATCTCATCACAAGAGGCACATTTAGCCCAAATTAAAATACCCATGCACACTGGTCACCACACATGCTATTCCACATGAGTGCCTTTGTTAGTACCATTGCCTTTCTCACCTCTACCCTGCTACTGCCTGCTCATCTCTGAAGATTCAGCCATCACCTCCTTCAAGAAGTCCTCCTTGATTCCTCCCCCAGCCCAGGCTTGCTTGGTAGCCTCCCCTCAGCTTTGCCTTACTTGCCTCTGCTTTTTTCTGCACATTGTACCATGGTGATCCCTTTGTGGGTCTGCAGCCCCTATGGACTCCGAGCTTCTGCAAAGCATGGTCTATGTGAATGTGGAGCTTAAAACAGCTTCTCAGTACATGTTTTCTGAACAAAGCTGAGCTGAGCAGAGCAGACTGGCTGATAATTTATGAAGTCTAGATTATGCCTCCAGCAAAACTGCAAAAGGCAACATTTCCTCTAGCCCAGTGCTCCATGACCATTTCAGGACACAGCTGAACACTCATCTTATTTCTGTACAGTCGCCTGTGTGCCGACACGGCTTGCATTTTTCCTTTTCTTTTGGCTTTCTTCCTGTAAGAATTACACAATCTCCTGTCCTCCTCTTACCTCCTCCTCCTCCTCCTGCACTATACCTCCAGCTATGAAAAGCTATGAATAAAGAAAGACAGCTGGCACTTCAGGATCCTGTTACTGATTCAATACGTGCATACCTTTCCATGAGTCCTGCCGAGTTGCATCTTCTTGACAATGGCAATGCCAAATCAGCCTTGATTCTTTCCCATACAGAAAAATACAGACCTCAGAAGCCTGAAAGGGCTTGTGGGGCTCAATCAGACTTGCTCCATCCTATGGGAACATAATGGATCACACATAGGCAAACCTGCCTTCGAAAAGCCTCTACCATCGGCTTTCTGTTTGTGATCCCAGGCCAGATACTGCATTTCTTTGCAGCTTTGTTTCTTCATTTCTAAAATAAGATTAATACTCTACATTACACAGTGTTTGGGGGAGGATTAATAAGATAATATTATGCAGACTCTATCACCTAATGGCAAAAAATGGGTAGAAATAATATTGGTTTTTATTTTGGTCCCACCCCCCCAAAATTCATATGTTGAAGTTCTCACCCCCAGTTCCTTGTAATGTGACCTTATTTGGAGCTAGAATCTTTACAGAGGTAATCAAATCAAAATGAGGTCATTAGGGTGGGCCCTGATCCAACATAACTGATGTCCTTACATAAAGGGGAAATTTGACCACAGAGCCAGGCGCACAGTGAGAACGCTGTGTGAAGATGAATGGAGAGATCAGATTGGAGTGAGGAGTCTACAAGCCAAGGAACGCCAGATGTGGCCCACAATCCCCCAGGAGCTGGGGGAGAGGCTAGGAACAGGGTCTCCCTTATACCTCCAGAAGGGATCAGCCCTATAAACCCTTGATCTTGAACTTCTGGCCTCTAGAACTGCAAGATGATAGTGTCTGTTGCTTAAGCCCTCCAGTTTGTGGTAGTTTATGTTTGAAGATGCTCAAAAATGGAGATGTTAAACAAAAACCTAAGTCACCAGGACAGGTCCAGGAGTTAGACCCAGGCCAGCAGCGCCTTTCCACTAGAGCCCTTTGTTCAGCCAGTGGCTAAAGTGTCAGTCACCACAGTCTCTACCCAGGCCCCTCACATGCCACCTCCTGCAGCAGAGCCCCTTCATCTCCACATCATCTCCCTGTCCCAAAGGGCCTTGAGCACACCCTCCTCTCCAACCTGGCCCTTCAGGGAGGAAGGACAGATGGCTTCCAGTGGGATTCTACTTTAATTGGTCTAGAGTGGGGCTCAGTCATCACTGCTTTAAGAGCTCTCTGGATGACCCTCACGTGCAGCCGGTAAGGATGTCTGCCTTAGACCACACGGCCCTACAGTGAGGCCAGTGCTGTCTTCCTTGTGGGTGTCTGCCATGCACCATCCAGTGGGTGCTCCCGTGGGTGGGGAACCAGTGAATGGAGTCCCTGGTAACAGATGAAAACCAATGAACCTCCTTGAGCATATGGTGCCTGCCTAGCAGTCAGGGGCTCAGGCCCTTACAAAAGCCGCTTAGCTGCCTGCCTCCATCCCCCCACCGCCCTCCATGCTCTGTGCTGCCTCACGGCCTCATTCCTGCCTGGAATCCCAAATCACCTGGCCTTCACATCAAGGAGGGCTGAGTCACTACATGGAGGGGTAGTTTCCATCCAGTTTTTTTTTTTTTATTAATTCTATAGGCCAGTCACATTCTCATTAAGAGGGGATGACCCTCTGATATGGCCAGGGTTCTTTCTGAAATAATAACAACAAATAATAATAAAGCAATAGAATAAAAATAAATAAAGATAACCTCCCTGTTGAAAACAATTGAGTATCCATTGTCTGTTTCAAGTAGTCCACCTCCCTTTGTGAACCATCGTAGCCTGCTGCTGTCCTCAGCTAGTAATCATCCTAATTTTTTTTTTTCTGTGCTGCAATAAACTGAGATATGTTGACCTACTTAATTCTCCCTCACCCACAACAGGCTTTCTCCTGCATCGGGACTGTTGCTCCTGCTGTTCCTTCTCCCTAACCACCTGGGACCCTGTTTTCAACACTTAGTTCACGAATCTCCTTCTCTGATCCCCCTTCTTAAAAATCCTCCATCCAGAACTGACCCCCAAGGCAGGGCCCAGTGTCAGGGCTTCCTTCAGCCTCTTGGTTTGCTTTCACATGGTTTTGTCTGTGATGATGAACATCTATGGTCTCTCTCCCCAACCCTCCAGAATCTTGAGAACTGTGGCTAGGTCTTACTCATACCTGTATCATCCGGCAACTGGCACGTAGAATGTGCCAGTTTGTTGAATGAATGAGTAAATAATATTAATTGATGTTTACTAGTGCTTTCCAGTTTACAAAGTATTGCCAATGACAGAGTATGAGTGAAAGAGAAAGAAAGATTATGCAGATTTACGAGCTGTTCCATGCAGGACTCTGGCCAACACCGACTCAATTTTAAATGAGTTACTGCTCTCTGAGGGCCTGCAATGGAAATACGGCTGTGAGGAGACTGTGGTGGTTTTGCATCTGGACAAAAGAGGGCAAGTTTACACACCATGGTGCAGAGGAGCCAGCTTCATCCCACTGCAATTTGATTGATACCATGACTTCGGCCAGTCTTCACATCAAGCGGGAACCTTGAATGCTGGCATTTATAAGGAAAGGTCAGCAGAGTTAACAGACGTGCCTGTGGCCATGCAGAGAGGCAGGTTGTGGTGCTTCCACCAGTGAGTAGGAACACCCTCCCAAAGAGGCCATATCCTGAAAGCAAAGGTGGTTCCCTTCCTATTCATTCATGCCCCAATCTCTGAGGGAGTTTTAATCTCCATTTTGAACTCTAAACCTTTTGCCAAGACCTCTGGTGAAGTCATTTGGAAATGGTGAGGCCCACACAGAAGGAGAACTGGCTTGGAGGCAGCCCTGAACAGGACCTCTTGCCTTGGGCCCTAGAGAGGCTACTGGATGCATCAAGAGTAGATGCATCACCAGTCCTGTCTACTGTTCACTCTGTTTCAGCTCCTTAAAAATACCCAGCATGGCCCTGTCCACCAAAGAGTATCTGAGACAGGTCTCAATCAATTCAGAAGTTTATTTTGCCAAGGTAAATGACATGACCAGGAGACAGGTCTGTTCCTTTCTCTAAGGATGGTTTTGAAGGCTCCAATATTTAAAGGGGAAAAGAGGGCTGGAGGGGAAAGAGGGAGGGTATGGTAACATTACTGAATCCACATTACAAGTGAAAAGGAGCAGCTAGGAGAATCATCAATCATGTATTTGTCTCAGGCTCAGTAAATCAGCACTTTACATAAGATAAGGTGAACATAGAGTAGCAACCTGTGGAGATATTTAACCTTTCATCTGTAGCTACCTGGCACATTCTGACTCTGGAGTTGTGTAGCTTGCCATCTGTAGTCTGTCTGTGGCTCTCTTGCTTTTATTCTGCATTCTTTCCAGATTCCACATCCCTCTTTTGGTTCCAATCCTTAGTCAGCTTCTGTGGATCAACGACTTGATTTCAGATTAGCAATCTCAGCTTTTACCTTCAGTAGCCATTACGCCACCTCCTACAGCAACCCTGCTGCCATCACTGCCTGTAACACACCCAAAGACGCATCTGTGGGTCTCTGACTGACAGCTTCATATGCTGAAACCACAGGGAAGAGGCTTCCCAAGCCTCCTTAAACCCTAGGTCTTCTGTTGTTTATTCCAGCCCAACCAGGTCTCTGTCTGGCAGGGAGATGGCTCTGACTCCAAGGCGGTTATCTGCCCACTGGGTAGCATCAAGCCCAGGCTCACTGCCTAGCTCCAGTCATTCCTCTGTGGTAAATTGCCTCCATGCCTATGCAATGAGGAAGCTTCCACAGAGCCACTCTTCTTCTATTAGAAACACTGATCATTGAGAAGCCCACAGCTAGAGAGGTAACCCACCTTTTCTAACTATGTTGAGTCTTCCTATGTCTATATTACTGACTTTACTGTCATCTCATTTTAGTTTTCTGCCTTACTCTGTTTTTTCAGTTTCTTTCTAATTTTTAAATTCTCAAATCCTTAGGAAAAAGAGATGAAAATAAGTACATAACTTAAATGAAGTATTAGATTAACCAAAACAGAGACGATCCAGGACAATGAAGCATGTTTTATGTTTTATATGAGGTCTCCAAGATGAGAATTAATTGGAGGGTTTTTATGCTCTTGAAATTTCTCAGATAACAAAGGTTTTAAATCTTAGAAACACAGGCACAGGGGGAAGGAGATTTAGAGGTTTCTAATCTAATATTTGAATTCTAAAGATAGGAATATAAAACCCAGGGGGAAAAATTCACCCAAAAGTCATGAGGTAATGTGTGTCAAAGACAACGTCCTTTATTCAATAACCCATTTGATCACTGAGTACCTACCATATAGCCAGAAGGTCAGTGTAGAAAAGTGATTGATAGAATGGACTTTGGATTTAGATAGTCGTGAATGCAAATACCTATTTACATCTCATGCTCTATTAAGTCACTGCAGCAAGCTATGTAATCTGAGAGTTAGCTTCCTTTGCATAAAATGTGGATAGTAGTACTTACTTCAGAGGGTTGTCTTGGTGGCAAAACGAGGTCCTACATTAAATCCTTCAGTACAATACATGTCACATAGCTAAGCTCAATAAATGTCAGCTACATTTTTGCAATTGCCCAGCTCCAAGCACAGGATTATTCCCCCAACATTATGAAGCAACAGAATGCAGAGTAATGTCTGTCAAGATATTTGGACTACAGAATCCAGGTTTTTACCTTGATTATCTCGGCTTCAAACACAGGTATGTCCCAAATGAACTGCTAATTGGATATTATGTAATAGCAATTAACACAGGACAAATTTATTTTAAAGCAACAACAACAATATAAAGCTGGGCCACACAATTCAGCTTAGTGCTAGAGAACCAGTGATTCTATTACAGGGAAAAGCCACACAGCAGACTGGGACTAATAGCATTCCACCGGTGCCAGGAAAATAGATAAAAATAGATAGTTAATATGCTCCTATTTGCCTCAGTAATAATTACATATATTTTGAAATAGTCACTAAACTATTAAAATGCTGCATAGGTAGCCTATAAATGATTTTCTCACTGTATCTTCAGAAAATCTACCACGTTAACTTAACCTACCAAAAAAGCAGCTGAAGCAAATGTAAGAGAAAGAAACAGTTCTTTCAGTCCTAAAATTCATTTGGAATAATGAAAGACCCAAAATAACCAAGGCAATGCTGAGCAAAAAGAACAAAGCTGAAGGCATCATTATTTGACTTTAAAGTGTATTACAAAGCTCTAGTAACCAAAACAGCATGGTAGTGGCATAAAAATGGACACGTAGAACAATGGAACAGAATAGAGAGCCTACAGCAAACAGATTTTTGACAAAGATGCTAACAACACACATTGGGAAAAAGCCTCTTCAACAAATGGTACCTGGAAAATTAGATAACCACATGAAAAAGAATGAGACTAGACCCCTACCTCTCACCATGTAAAAAATCAACTCAAAACGGATTAAAGACTTAAATGTAAAACCCAAAACTATAAAACTACTAGAAGAAAACATAGGGGAAACATTTTATGACATTGCGCTGGGCAAAGATTTTTTAAAATAAGAATTCAAAAGCAGAAGCAACAAAAGCAAAAATAGAAAAATAGAATTAAATCAAACTCAAAAGCTTTTGCACAGCAAAGGAAAGAATTAGCAAAGTGAAGAGATAATCTATGGAATGGTAAAAATACTTGCAACCTACACATCTGACAAAAAGTTAGTATCCAGATTATATTAGGAACTTAAACAACTCAACAACAATGACAAGAACCCAATTAAATATGGGCAAAAGACCTTAATAGACATTTTTCAAAAGTGGACATACAAATGGCCAGCAGGTATTTGAAAACATATCCAGTATTACTAATCATCAGGGAAATGCAAACCAAAACCACAGTGAGATACAACCTCACTCCAATTAAAATGGTTATTATCAAAATGATAAAAGAAAAGTACACTAAGAAAAAAGAAAAGGGAATACTTATACATATTGTTGGTGGGATTATAAATTAATACAACCAGTATGGAAAACAGTAGGAAGATTACCTCAAAAATTAAAAATAGAACTACCATACAATCTAGCACTCCCACTACAGTGTATATATCTAAAGAAAATGAAATCAGTACGTCAAAGAGATATCTGCATTTCTATGTTTATTGCAGTATTATTTACAATATCCCAGATATGGAAACCACCCAAGCATGCAATAATGAATGAATGGATAAAAATGTGTACATACACACAATGGAATACTAATCAGCCATAAAAAAGAATGAAATCTTGTCATTTTCAAGAACATGGATGGACCTGGAGGACATCATGTTAAGTGAAATAAACCAGATACAATGACAGTACCATATGATTTCACTCATTTATAGAATCTAAAAATAAAAATAAAACGTTAGTATGATAGAAGCAGAGAACAGGTACCAGAGTCTGGGGAATGGAGTGGGAAATGGGGAGAGGTTGGTCAACAGGTACAAAGTTAAAATTTGATAGGAGAAATAAGTTCTGGTGTTGTATAGGGTGATGATAGTAACAGTAAGGTATAGTATAACACAGAAGAGAGGCGTTTTGGTTTTGCCAGACTGGCCCCTCACCATCCATGAATATGCATGAACTCTGCAAGCTCTGCATTAAAGCAGCTCTGCCTCTTACCAGCCATGTGACTTTGGGTGAGTCTTTGAATCTCCATGTCCTCATATTTGAAGTGGAGAAAATAATACCTGCCTTATTGGGATGCTTGAGAGTTAATTATGACAAAACCTACAGCTGACAATACATAGTAGGAGCTTAATAGTGGCTTATCCATCCCAGGCTCCATGTGTTTGCTTGTAGTTTGCTCTTCTAGAATGGGTTTCTTTGTACTCTGTCCATTTAAATCCCATCTATCATTCCAGACAAGTTTAAGGCAATAATTCCTCCAGGAAACTTTGCCTATCCTTTCTAGTCCACATAGACCTGGTACTTTTGGTTCATAGCACATTGTTAAAACTGCTCATTTATAATATTGGATTTAGAAACTAAAATCTGAACCCCAAACTATGGTGGCAGCCTGATATTTAGAGTGTTCTGCCGGCTCCCTGTTACTCCACAGGTATGTTAGACCAGCCCATTACTATACTACTTGTAAATACCTGAATAAGCAGAAGATCAATTTTTTGAGAAGATAGATTATGTCTTACTCTTCTTAGTAGCCTTAGAGTCTAGCACTGTTCCAGAATCCTAGCAGATCCCAGATGTGTTAGTATCCTAGAGCTGCTATAATAAAGCACCACAACTGGGTGGCTTAAACAAGACATTTATTCTCTCTCAGTTCTGGAGACTAGAAGTCCAAAAGCAAGATGCTAGCAAAGTCACACTTCCTCTAAACCTTCTCAAGGAAGATCTCTCCCTGCCTCTTCCTGTTTCTGGTAGGCCCAGGAGTTCCTTGGCTTGTGGCAGCACCACTCCAATCTCTGCTTACCACACAGCAATCCCACTGTGTTTGTCTCTGTCTGAGCCCTCACCAGAATCACATTTAACACCCATATTTCTATCAAAAGTCTCTTTGAGGAAATCTAGGCTTTTTCTAACATATGCCTCAAAATTCTTCTGGTCTCTACTTAATATTCAATTCTGAAGCGAATTCCACATTTATAGGTATTTACTACAGAGCACCCCACTCTTGATACCAAAATCTGTATCAGTCAGAGGTCTCCAGAGGAACAAAACAAATTTCGTGTGTGTGTGTGTGTGTGTGTGTGTGTGTGTGTGTGTGCATGCACACATGTATAGGGAGAGAAAATGAGAAAGACAGGGAGAGAGATTTATCATTTACCTTAAGGAATTGGCCCATGCAATTGTGGATACTGGCAACTCTGAATTATGCAGCATAGGCCAGCAGGCTGAACACTCAACAGGATTTTCTCTGCTGTAGCTTTTTTTTTTTTTTTTTTTTTTTTTGAGATGGAGTCTCACTTTGTCACCCAGGCTGGAGTGCAATGGCATGATCTCAGCTCACTGCAAGCTCCGCCTCCCAGGTTCATGCCATTTTCCTGCCTCAGCCTCCCAAGTAGCTGGGACTACAGGCACCCGCCACTACACCCAGCTAATTTTTGGTAATTTTTAGTAGAGACGGGGTTTCACCATATTAGCCAGGATGGTCTCGATCTCCTGACCTCGTGATCCGCCTGCCTCAGCCTCCCAGAGTGCTGGGATTACAGGCGTGAGCCACCGCACCCAGCCATCTGCTGCAGTCTTAAGGTAGCATTTCTTCTTTTCCAGAAACCTCAGTGTTAGCTTTTAGGCCTTAAACTGAATGAGGCCCACCCACTTTATCAAGGCCATCTTTGTCTTTACTTAAAGTCAGCTGACTGTAGATGTCAGTCATACGTACAAAATATCTTCACAGTAACATCTAGACTAGTATTTTACCAAACAACTGAGTGCCATAGCCTAGCCAAGTTGACAATTTAACCATTACACAGGGCTAGGAATGGTGGTTAAATTTGACTTTGCCATTCGTTAATTCACTTGGAATCATTCAGAATTCACAATACCTTTTATTTCTTCAACTGTAAAAGGAGAAGTTTGGAGCAGACTCTAGGATCTCAGTAAGTTCCAAATTTTGTAGTTTATACTATGTTTGATTCTAGGTTGTCCTGACTTGCTCCTCTTCCTCTGGTCCCTCTGCCCTTCAGCAATCTATTTCACTGCCACTCCCATCCAAATCTCTGTCCTGGAACCTAATCCCTCCTTGAAGCAGAATTCTAAGCTAATATCATTGGTTTCAGAGGCATGGGGTGGGGAGACTTGATGTGCATTATACTAAACATGCTATTCTCAGCGGAAAGAAAACATATCTAGGGAAGGTATTCAGTTAGTTGAGAGGAGAAATAATGTCTTTATGTATGATACACGCAGAATAATAAAAAAATGCTTTATTGGGCATAAGCTGGAAGCAAAAACTGAAGGCCTTCAGAACATCATAGTTCCAACCCCATGAGTCATTTGAGTTACCTGAGGAACAAATTGGACAGATACAGAATGATGTGGTGTAATGAGCACACGCAGATGCCACTTGAATCCTGTACATATGGCAGCATTTTTCCAAACATTTTATTTTCTCTAGCCCCAAAGTCTTCCTGATATTACAAATTCATGCTGCGATTTTTTAGTAGAATGAAATTACAGTAGCTCAGAATTATACCAATAATTATATTCTGCTAGATGAGAATGATTATGTGTTCCAAGCTGCTAGCAGGGCCTCTAGCAACAGTCAGGAAATCATTTTCTTAGTGCCAAATAATTTGGTAAAGCATTTTAGCAAAAGAGTTAAGAGGAGAGGCCGAGAGGTCATTCACACCTGCGGAATTTTGTCTGTCATCCATTAGCTCTGTGGTCAAGAGTTCAGTTCTCCAAGTTTCAGTTTATTTGTAAATTGGAAATAATAACATGCCCATCTCATAGAACTTTAAGGATTAAATCAGAAATATATTTATAGATATGTTGTAAAGCATATCACAAAAAGATAGTGCATCAGAAAAATCCACAAAATGAAATGGTAAAACTCTTAATTGGGGCTCCTTGAAAATTCCCTATGTAGTAGTTTCGGTTACTGTTCAAAAATATTAACTTTTTTCCCCCTACTCATATCAGTGGACTAATTTTCTACCCCTTGATTCTGGAATTAGTCATGTGCCTTGCTTCGGCCAATGAGATGTTAGATGTGACATAAAATATTACATGGGCTTGAGAAGCAGGTGCAGTTTTGGGCTTGCTCTCTTCTGCTTGTTATTGCCTTGAGAAAAACTCACCCAGGCTGGCCTGCTGATCCCAGGAGAGGATTAGAGACACACAGATCAGAGTCCAGCCATGGTGAGTTGACCCAAGGGAACTTGAAATAGCATGCAAAATACAGCAAAATGGGACCCTCAGCTGAACCACAGAGCCAGGAGAAGGAATGACTATTGGGTTAGTCCATTGAGTTTTGCAGTGGTTTGTGAAGCAGTAATTTTGTGATATTAACTAGCATCTCTGTATGTATTGTAACCATGTATCACAGTTTACTCAGCACAGACCTAGTTTAAACCTATTGTTTTGTGTCTCATCTATTTTACATTGTCCATTATCTATTTTATTTAGACAGAGTAATAATTATTTGATGCATTGAAATGAATTAAGTTGGATTTGGTAGACCTTCACTTGGCACTTAAAACTTCCTTTATGATCTATCTAGTGAAGTTGAAATGAGTGCAGTCAAGAGACCCCACTTCAACCTATGATTAAATCTGAAAGATGACCAAAAATAACATCTCTTTTCTTGACCCTTTCCAGACAAACTGTAACCAACACTTCTCTTTCAAATGAAAGTATGTAGGATACTTGCAAATAAAACAAAATGTGCTCAAACACTAGCACATAGTGAGAACTAACTCTTCCCAGTCTTGAGTAGCAGTGAGGGAAGTATTTGAGCTGCTGCTGCCAGTCATCTGGTATACTACCCACTGGGCCAGGGCCATAGTGAAGCTTGAAAGTTTCACAAAGTTCCTAGGTCACAAGTCAGATGAAGTGTGTAGAAAACAAGTAAAATAGAGGTTAAATATATACAAAGTATGTAAAAAAAAAAAAAAAAAAGATGCCATTTATTATGTAATGCAACTCTACAGATTTTTTTTAAAGATTTTATTTGATAACAGTTTTCTTTTGCTATTAATCATATTAACATCAAAAACCAAAAAGTATAGTTAATTAATGAAAAGTGTAAATTTCTGTTTTTCAAGAAAATGAATCATGACGTGGCAAAAAATACTCCTCAATGCTTTCTTTTACCATACATGTTGTTGTAATATTAGTAACCACAGGGAAACTGAAAGATCAACTGTGCTGAAGAAACATCAGTATCTATTTCAAAATTATTTTAAGGAAGTGCCTGCCAAGTATGATTTAACATATGATGTGGTAGACAGTGAGATTACAATCACTCTACAGAGCATGACTTTGCAGTTAGATCAAATTATTCCTTAAATTAATTGTACTCACTTTTAAAATTAAGTATTTTTGAACCTGTACCAAGTGTAAAACTATAATTATTAATATGTTGGTTTTACTAGCAGAAGAAATTCATAAAGAGTTAAATAATTTCAGTTTCATTAAAAAATCCTAAAAATAGGAAGTCAGATTAATTTCAATAATAAATTTTTGTTTTTCCATTTTATGGAATCAAAGTAAACCTAATTGAATGTTAAAATGAATTGAAAATTCAATTAAAAGTTCAATATCAAAGATCAAATTATGTGTTTGTGATGTAATGTAAATACAAAATTAAGAAATCTATGGAACAGACTGTCCTTGGAATTTCTTGTGAGATAAACAAAATTAACAATAAAATTCAGAGAAGCTGAAATAATCTGCCAATCAAAATAAAATCCGTCATTGTCAAAACATACAGATATACATATAAACATCTTAAGTAACTAAATTACAAAATTTTTGACAAAGCTAATGTTGAATATTTTTATAATCAGTGTGTGTGTGTGTGTGTGTGTGTGTGTGTGTCTACATTCTTTGTTCTTCTCTGATCAGATTTTAGAAATTTTTGATTTATTCAGAACTATTCTGCACATCAATCTAAGTGCCCTGCAATGCCATTAAACTTTTTGTAAACAGGTCTCTAAATTTGCTCATATTTTATTCAGAATTGGTTGGGAATCTTTAATCAAGGTAGCAAGTGGAGTGCGCCCTCTGCCCAAAAATAAACAACAAAAAACCCTGCAGCTTTTGAAGCTCTTAACAAGTTGTAATTATTAAAAAAAAAAAAAGCTTGCAAATAACAGGACATTCACCTTTGTCCCTGCAAGAGAAAGGAAAGACCTGAATGATGAGAAAAATGTAAATGACGTACAAGTTCTAATAAAAGATTGAAGGAGGAAAGGTGCTATGAATGGAAGCAAAGATAGGAACTGGGACACTATTTGATGTGAAATATGTACACTTTTCAGTATGAAGAAAATTATTAAGAGTATCTTCTGCCAGTAGAATTTGTTCTAATCCTACCAAATACTTCAGCAGCCATAGAGAATGTTTTCACAATTTAAAAAATAGGGTCTATAGAAATGTGTCAGTTGAATGTGTCAAATTTCAAAATTATAACTTTACAATGAAACTTGGAAGAGGATTAGAGACAATTTATTAAAATTAAAGATAAGACCATATTTTTTAAATTTCAGAAAGATACTATGGCATGGTTTTGAAGACACAAATGGCTAAGAAATTGTTCAAAGTAGATAAATATAATCCAAAACTAATTATTCAGGTTAGACTAACTTTTATGGTTCAGATATTCAATATAAAGAAGGGTCGACATTTGTTCAGATACAGATTTGTTTGAAATTTTTCAAATTTTAAAAAGAATTTTACTTTTGAAAATAGGTTTGAATAGAACTATTTTATAGGTCCACCAATATTATAAAATTAATTTGTCATTCAATAAATACATATTTCTAAAAAATATGTAATGTCAATTCTTTTTATACAAATGTCACTCCCCTCCCGAATTGCCCTTGATCCTCAACTCTTAAAAAGTCCAATATTTGGGTTAAGAAAGTTCTGAGTAAGTATCTGCGATGGCAACTTGTGACAGTGTAGGATTTTGATGTGCTTACTAGGTGCTACTTACACGTCGTTAAGTGCCCTTAAAAATCACTATTCACATTTAATTAAGAGTAACCTCCTTTAGATTAACTAGCAAAAAATTTCAAAAAGCTGGCTGAAAACGAGTTGCTCTTTCATGGTCACAAATCAAAAGTAGTTTTAAAAATCTAACTTTAAAGCCATATCATTACCTATGTGCTAGCTACCAGCTAACCAGAAAACCATATCACAAGTCACAACACTTGTGTCAGGCCTGTTCAAATTCTGTCACACTGGTCTACAGAAAAGTGACATGTTTCAGGGTCTTTGCTACAGAATGCAGTGATAGAATGTCAGAGCGAAATGGTCACAAAGAGTTTTAGATAATGATATGCTTATTTTCTGGCACAAACACAAGGGATTTTGATATTTCCTCATTGTTCAAGGTGAATCTGACTAGTCCCCAGCAGGTAAACATGTTACAAAGTCTTTCCCATAAATGGTGAGTCATGTACAGCAAAAGAAAACTTCCCTACTGCATTGTTCTATTAATCATTTGCATCTTTATTGGAGATTTAACCATTAATGCTTCAAGGTTAATACCTTTTAAAAAATACCGCAGATGAGGATGCTGAGGTCAATTTAATGTGGCAATGCATAAGTTATGTCTGTCTTTGGATCCTAAGACATATTTCCTAGTTATAAAACATACATATTCCAAAGGTGTTTTATATTCTATAATCCCAAATATATTGCAACTAAAGAGGGCCATTTAAAGATCAAAATCCAGTAGCAATTCCTTCATGCAACCCTCAAGACTTGACCTTCTAGGTACAATCTCAACAGTTGTGAGCATTGTAATTACTGTTTTCATACAGTTGTGATCCTTTTCATTGGAGAAAACATTTCTACATCTATCACTTCCTTGGATTTTTTAAGTCACCTGTGAGTAGGACAGACCAATGTTATAATTCTCCTTATATATATATAGACAAATAAATAAAATGAGCTACATTTTCCAAGTTTTACTCCTGAAAACAACTGAATGGAAAAGTCAAGATAAACACTTCTCTTCTCTACCCAAGTCTGATGTGATTGTGAAAAGTTACTAGAATAATGCTGGGACATTAAATATCTAATTATCCCTGTTACATACTTTCCTTGTGCCAGACACTAGGATCAATATTTTATATGAATTTCCTTATTTTAATCTAACTAGCAACTCTATGCATAGATATTATTTTCATTTTTGCATATGAAGAAACTGATTCATTGACTAGGCAAAAATCATAGGCTAAAAAGTTATAAAGTCATTATTTTAGTTCTGGGCAGTGGACTGCAAAACAGTGCTTTTATTTGCTGTGCCATATTGCATGGCATAATCTATAAATATTACCTCAACTTTAAGAGAGAATTTTGAGATATTTATGAAGCTTAACATTTGAGCCCAAAGTTTATCTGGATAGTTAAATGTCTAAAAATTATTGAAAAAGATCTAAAATAAAAGGAAGACAAATGTATACACAGTTATAGATACTGTGTGAGCTGCAAGGCAACTGAAAGGCAACTGAAGATTCCAAAAAATTACCCACTTATTATGACTACTTTGTATATGATGAAGTTGATATTTCAAAATGTCAGGGAGGGAATATTCACAAAATAAGGCAGAGATATTAAGTAGCCAATTTGGAAAAAAAATCAGGATGGAGCCATACTTCACACCACACAAAATTTTACATTTGAAATTCTGGATGCAATATGGGCATAAATTATTTATTTAATACATATTTGTGATACACCACTATTACCTAATGCTACATAAGATGGCACTGACCCATTTCCAAAATGATTCTTAGGTCCAGTTGGTCATTTCAATAAAATATATTCTCCTGAATTACAATTATTTTTTATTCAGCAAACACTTACAAAGCACTTTCTCTGGGTCATGCACTAGGATTGCAAAGCTAAAAGGCATAGTCTCTGTCCGTTAATTCTGTCTGGTCTACAAAGAGTTTTGAATACTCATTGATAGCTAAGAAGTTTGCTATAATGCAAACTTAAGGAAGAAGAGGAGGATCAGGAGAAGGAGAAGGGGGAGAAAAAGGAGAAGGGGAAGGAAGGAAGGAAGGAAGGAGGGAAGTGGACTACTAATTAGTCTCTGCATTTAAAAAAAGTACACTGTGGTTGGAAAGATATACAGGTAAATTATTTCAATATAACATGAGAGGTCCCCCCAAAGATGTTACGTGTGACTGTTAAGTATGCACAGAGAAAGGTTGTTTAGCTGAAAGTGGGCGTCCAGGAAGACTTCCTCAAGGTCATGATGCTAGAGCAGGATTCTAAAAGCTCACAAAAGTCAATTAGTGGAAAAAAGAATTGGCACATACTGGATGAATACATATTGAATTGATTGAATAAATAATGAATGATTGAATGGATGAATAAGTAAATGGATGGAGGAATTCAAAATGTCTAACGAAGTTTCTGGACTCTAGGCTTTTAATGACCTGCTGGAGAGAAGAGTCAGAAACATAAGAACTCAATTATTTCCCCAGAAGAAATCTGAAAATAGGTTTTTAGTTGGCATGCTTTCAGCTGCACGTAACAGAATACATGTCTACATGTGGCCTAAACAATCAGTGTTTGTAAATGAGTCTCTAAACACAAAAATTCTCGAGATAGGAATCTGGTATTTCGCACCTCAATTACACTAGATCTCTGGGCAACATCTCTTCAGTTCTCCTGGCTTCCCTTTGTGGTCTCAAGATGCTGCCAAAGCCTTAGGCATCATAGCCTCCATGATAATATACAGAGCAGGAATGGGCTTCTCCCCACGAACCCCTCACTTCTACTGGAGAGGAAAATCTTACCCCAACGTTTCCCAGATAGAATTTCCCTAAGTTCCATTGGCCAGGATTGTATCATATTGCCTTGCTTATTTGCATGGAAGGCTGGAAACATAAGTATCTGGCATTTCAGCTTCTATAGAGAGAATTGGCTTTGACCATTCGTAGATGGGAGAATGGCTGCAGCTTATACAAACAGCACTGCCTGTCATATGAGCTAGGTGAATACTGAAGAGAAGAATTAGTGACACATACATACGGTGCTCCTCCACATGCTAAGGCAACACAGGTGAACATCAGTTCCTACACATGAAACATAATGATAGTTTGGATGTGTTCTGTAACTTTCACCATTTCTTGTGCTTCTGTCATGCAGAGAATCCCCTCTAGCAAAAGAAGTGACTGTTTTTACACCTTACATCAATTCTGAGAAAATCAATGACCCCTTTGTCTTACCCCTTATATAAACTCCAAGAAAATCAGTGACCCCTTGGTCTTACACCTTATGTCAACTCCAAGAAAATCAGTGACCCCACAAGAAAGATGGAACAAAGTGATGGACATCTATGACATGCCAGGCTCTTTACTAGGAATGTGACACATATCATCTCATTCAGCCCTCACATGGATCCTGAGGCAGGGATTAAAAGGAAACTGAGGTTCACAGGTTCAAGTACTTGTCTCAAGTCAGAATACTGAGAGATCCTATAGCTAGGTGTGCATTCCTGGCCTGCCTGACTGTAAATAGCATCCCTCTGTTAGTACATCCACATGTCAGAGGTGATTTCATGTATGTCTGAATATGCTGAACATTCTACTTTTGTGAGCACTCCTGCTTGTATAATTTCTGAACAGTAACAATAGGTAGAAAATGTCTCTTTTAAGTCCCTCCTTGCTTATTTATTACTTCACATTTTAGACCCCATTTTCATAGTCCAAGAAATTTACACATTGTGCAATGACAACTATAAATCACATTCAAAATGACTCCTAGAACTAAAATGCCAAGTATTTGTCTGAGGTTTACAGAAGTTTTCATTTGAAAGATTTACATAGTTTGTTTTGAATCTTACACATTATTTGTTCAACAGATTTTCACTTCACATGTACCATGCATCATGCTCTATACACATGCAGATGTTTATAAACGTTTATTTGTGACCAGCCTCTAATTCAATAAATATTCCCTGATTATTTACCATAGCACCAACATCATGCTAGATTTTGATGGGTTAAAGAAGTAAGCAAAACCTTGTCCTTACACTCAGAAACTCTGTTAGTTGAGAGTCATTCTTCAGCTATTCCAGAGAAAATATTTATTGTGCTTTTTTCCCTAACTCAGAAATGAAATTTATAAAAGCATAAAACGTGTGCTGGTTTTTCTGTTTTCACCCACTCTAGATCCCACTCTCTACCCTTCTTCTTTGCTCTTCTCTGTGCCACATGAGGCCAACTCCTGTGGACAGCTTTCTTCCCTTCCTGAATGGCGTCCAGTTGGACTCATCCAAAGAGCAGCACTAGGGAAATACGTTAAGCTTCAGGTCACTTCTTCCTGGCTCCCTTCTTGCTTAAGACTGTGTTTCTGGCAGGGGCTTCCTCCTCCCAGGAAGATGGCTCCTTCCGGGGTCGGGGGTCGGGTAGAGGATGGCTCTCCACCAGAGATCTGGTTCTCATTGGGTTCCAGTAACACCATTTTTCCTGGGTGTCTTGACCATGGAGATGGTAATAGCAGAAGCTTTTACTCATCTCTGGGTGCCTTCCTCTTCCTTGTTTGTTCTCTTAACTAGCACACACATCTGTGGAGTCCCTTTATTAAAATCTCTTCATCGAAACCACCCAGGGCAAATTCTGTTTCTTGCTGGGACTTTGAGTAATCAGAATATCAGAGCTGATGAAGTTAGAAATTCAATCTCTGTTTCTTATTTTACAGGAATGGAAACTAGGGCTCAGAGGTTTCACTTGCCAGAAGTCACTCGGTCCCTGGGAAGGATGCAAACCAGCTCACCTGGCTCTCCAGCACATGCACCCCAGACCACCCCCAAGGATGTGACCCATTCCTTCTGTGGAGTCTGATCTTCCAAACTTTAGACAACAGCTCCTTCTGCAAGCTTTCGAGCCTGCAAGCTAAGGACATGAATGAACTGAGTCATCCCCACAGAGCTTCATTAATTTTAAGGCAATTTAAGATTTCTGAGTCATAGGTTTCAGTCATTTAGATTTTCCCAGCTGGTACTGTACTTGCCCACACACACTTTTCTTTAAAGATTGCATCTGTCTAGATGTGTGGTTCTGCCCACCCTTCCTCAGTTTCTGAGAAGAAACTCGCCCTCGTGGAGTGCTACATGCAGGGCTAAGCCATTTCCATTTGCCACGTGCATTAGAGTCTTTGCCTGAGGGATTAATGGGATTAGCAGTCTGCAGCTTGATCTAGACTCTATCCACCAGAGACATGCACAATTCCAAATTCTATATCCAACACAATATTTTACCCAGTCTCCCAAGAAAATTCAGTTATGCCATATGGTGACTCCACTCACTGAATAATATTTAGCAACTTGATGAACAAGGACTGAATCATATCTTAACCATCTTGGCCAAATATTGTTTTATATAGCAACAGTATTAGTAATATATATGTTTTATTTTTTACACTAGTACTTCCTGCTACGCCCACTGAAAATTAAGAGCTAGACCTCACTGGAAGTAGACTACACAATAAAAGAGTTCTCGCTCATTAGCAACCTCCAATTCAATATTGCATTGTATGTATGATACATTCAGAATGTCTGCTTTTTCCTTCCTCCAGAGCAGCTGCTGGGATTGAGCAATAGTCTCCCAGGGTAACGCAGCAGGGAATCCTGGGGCATTTCCCAGACACTGAAAACAAAGGATATGTATCCATGGGGAGGATAGGGCTTCAGCTCTCTCCCTCCCACTAAGAAGTTCTCCATATCCTCAGTATGTGGGGGAGAAAATTAGCAAGCCTCTGAGTGAGGAGCCCCTGTGACCCAGGGATTTTAAGAAAGTCGTTTTCCTCCCTGAGCCTCAATTCAACTGTTCAAGAGGGATAATCATGAAAACCCTTTATAAACTGTAATACAATATGCAAATGCTAGGTTGGTCATTTACAATGTGCAGATTCTGTTAAAATTGTACATACATGCAACCATGAGGAAGATGCAATCTGTATCTTCAACCATCTTACCAGTGGAAAATAGAAACTTGTGGAGATAACAGAGATAATTTCAACAAAATACAACTTGGCTAAGATAGAGTTATGAAAAGTAGAGAGACTCTTAGGTCAACATGAAAGTTCCTGAAGTTGCCAGTACCCAAGAGGAATCTTGAATGATCAGCAAGATTTATAGCGGCTATAAGAATATTTATTCCCAGCAGCCAGGGGCATAAGCATCAGTTACTAGTGAGTATAATGCATGTCCCAAAGTGGCAGGAAATAAGGCCATATTTATAGCAATTAAGAAATATTAGCTATTATTACTGTAGCATCAGGGCTTTCTGAAAATCAAAAAAAAGGGATTTCTGGGAGAGTCTCATGCTAAGGCTTCAGCAACTCTTCTCACCCCACCCTGTGGGGCCACTATTGTGCCCATCTTCTGGGAAACTGTTGTAAAATGCTCCCTTGATTTATTACTGAGTATAAAACTAACCCAATACTTACTGATGTAAAATAACCCACTTCTTTATATCATGGTTTTGTGCAGCAGGAACTGGGGCAGATGGCACAACTGGGGTCACTTAGTGATGTTCTGTTGGTTGCTGCTGCTGCTGCTGCTAGAAGTATCGAGATGGTTTTATTACCATGCCTGGAGTCTTGTCAGTTGGTTGGAAGCCTGGGCTCTACCAGGCCCATCTCCTTCTTCACATATTCTTGGGGCCTTTCCTGCTGATTTCTCCGGCCAGGTAGCTGGTTGGATTTATTTCCTGCCACCTCGAAGCTTCAAGAGACTATGGTAGAAGTTTCTAGGTCTCTCCAAGGCAAAGCCTGGGACTGGCCATATGTCATATCTGCCATTTCCTATGGGTCCAAGCAGTCTCAGGTCAGTGCAGATTCAAGTGGAAGGAAATAGACTCCACTTTTTAATGGGAGAAGTGTCAAGTATGTATGGCTGTCTTTACTCTGGCACATTTCTCTCTCCACTTATGGTCACGCTGTGTGTGTAAGAAAGTCTTGTTGATTCCTGTGATAGGAAACAAAAGAAAAAATCTCCAGTAAAAAAAAATAGTGCAGCATAAAAGAGGCTTCTGTCCTTCTTCTGTGAGTTCCTATATGACCCACTGTCCTGTGTCCAGCACCTAGCACAGTGCTTGGCATACAGAAGGTGATCAATCCACAGAACTTAGCTGACAGGATTTTGCTACTATATTGTTATGTGAGTGAATTTCTCACAGTGAACCTTCCAGGAAAGGTGCCAGGGGAATCTTATTGCAAAACTAGCAGTTTATTGGGTTGACAAAGAGAACATTCAATTAAAAAGATTTTTCAGAACACAATGGAATCATTTTAGTTGTGAAATGTGAGCTTAAAAGTTATCATTTTGAAACATCCAACAAGCATTTCAAGACTCCATGGCAAGATGCAGCCCCCTGTACATAGGCACAGATGGAGGGTCCTTGTTGGGCACAAAAAAGCAGAGGCCCCTGTGTAAATCCCAGGATTCTCTGCCCCAGTAAAAAGCTCAGGCTCTGTCCCTAGTGCCAGGCATGTAAAAGAATGCTACATATTGATTTATCTAACAAACAGTGATGACAACCACCATGTGCCTATCACCATCCTAAGCACTGTGAGTATAGAGGGAAATAAGACAGGCTCTAGGTCTCAAAGGCCTCTTGTCTCCACAGTAGGAAATTTTCTGCCCATTCTTAGAGTCTAGGGAAATACTTGGATGTTATGAGGTGGTAGACTAAGATGGTGAGGGGCAGAGAGGCAGAGTCAGCCCACTACCCAACCACGGAACCACTATGCCAGAGGGAAGAATCTTCACAGTATTAGAGAGATATCAAGTGTCTCAGTGTATATCAGTAGCTTTTAGCTTCTGCCTCCTTCCTGTTAAACACAATAATCTCTACCCCAAAATTAGCCTAGAAGAGGGTGTGGCTTCTATTTGGTTTATACTCTGTCTCTGGTTCTTCTCACATTTGCCCTGGATAAAGCAAGCTGCCATGTGTGGGCTGACCTATGGAGAGGCCCATGTGGTCAGGAACTGAGAGTGGTTTTCAGCCAACATCCAAGGAGAAAATGAAACCATCAGTTCAACAACTTTCAAGAATCTGAATCCTGCTAGTAACTATATGAGTGACCTTGGAAGCAGATCCTTCCCCTGTTGAGCCTTCAGATGAGAGCACGGGCCTGGCCTACACCTTGATTACATGCTTGTGAATGATTCTGAGGCAAAAGACTTAGCTAAGCTATGACTGGATTCCTGACCCAGAGAGATGATGATTTTTTTTAAGCCACTAAGTTTTGGGGGATAACATGTTATGTAGCAATACATAACTAATACAAGTGTATAAAAGAAGAATACAATTCAACTAGCTCAGCTTCCAGTCTACTGCACTTTCTACCACCCCATGTGATTTCTGGCTCATAAGGATCTTTCATCTAGAAGCCACGGGAGCATCTGGCTAGAGGAGTGAAGTCCTAGGGTTTTATTTCAATAACTACATGTTTTCATGGTCTGACTACAGCCTTGTGTTTGTTCTCTGCAGCTTCTGTCTCTACCTCAGACAGACCTAACTGCTGTTTCTTATCTCAGCAGACCTGTGTCTTCCTGCCTCCAGGGCTTGGCGCACTATCTTCTCTTAGAAACACTCTTCTATCTTGACCTGCTGATAGTCTACTCAAATTTCAAGGCCAGTTCAAAAGTGTTCCTTCCTTGTTTTCCTGGCTGGCAAGATTCTTCTTCTTCTCTGAATTTTCCATATATATATATGTATATATATAGAAGAATATATATATATATGTATATATATAGAAGAATATATATATATGTATATATATAGAATATATATATGTATATATATAGAATATATATATGTATATATATAGAATATATATGTATATATATAGAATATATATATGTATATATATAGAAGAAAATATATATGTATATATATAGAAGAATATATATATATATGGAAGAAGAATATATATATATGAATACATATATATTATATGTATTCATATATATACACACACACATATATACACACACACATATACACACACACATATGCACACACACACACACACACACACACATATATGCCCTACTCTGTGCCAAGGGGTATTCTCAAGGATAAAATGGCAAATAACATTCCCTGCCTTCATTTATTTTATATTTGATAATTAATTGTAGTATCTACTGTTGGCTTTGCAGTAGAATTACTTTATGCAAATATTATGTACCTCAACTCGATTATCAATTCTGAGGGCAATGATACACACAGCCCCTGTGATGTCTATAGTAACAGAGTCCCAAAGCAGAGTAACTGTTTGTTATGGACTGAACTGTGACCCACCACAAATTCTTATCACAAAACCCTAACCCCCAATATGATTATATTTTCGGAGATAGAGCCCTATAAGGAGGCAAGTAAGGTTAAAATAGATCGTAAGGGTGGTTCCTAATCCAATAGGACTGGTGTCCCCACAACAGGAGGAAGAAATACCAGGGATGCTCAGGCACTGAGAAAAAGACCCTAAGAGGACCTAGCAAGGAGGCAGCCATCTGTAAGCGAAGAACAGAGGCCTCAGGAGAAACCAAACCTGCTGAAACCTTGACCTTGGACTTCCGGCCTTAAGAACTGTGAGAAAATACATTTCTCTTTAAGCCCCCAGGCTGTGCCATGTTATTACGGCAGCAGAAGCAGAATAGTCCTGTCATTGACAAGACTGAGCCAAGTAGTGTAGTCGACTAAGTAGGTCCACAATAGCATGACAAAGCTATAGGCCAGAGGTATCCAATCTTTTGGCTTCCCTAGGCCACACTGGGAAACGAATTGTCTTGGGCCACACATAAAACATACTAAACTAATGATAGCTGATGAGCTTTTTAAAAAAGGTTTCATAATATTTTAAGGAAGTTTACAAATTTGTGTTGGGTTTCATTCAAAGCCATCCTGGGCCGCATGCAGCCCATGGGCCACGAGTTGGACAAGTTTGCTATAGGCCATGGGCTCAGACACATCTGAATTTCAATTTTGTCTCTACCCAACAAAAGTAACTCGTTCTTGTTGAATCTCAGTTTTTCTTGTCTATAAAATGGGGTTAATCCTCCCTGTATTTCACCGTTACCAAAAGGAAGATATGAGGTAGTGGTTGCAAAGTGCTTGTCATAAACTTAATGTAGAAAAATGTATTACCTCCTGGAACCTTCCTTCTTTGCTCCTCCCTAGGGAGTGAGATGGAATCAATAAGATGGCCAGGCCAGATATTTGGAGCCTGTGGCAAAAGTTAAATCCATCATACTGATTCACTCTATTTATTTAAAATCTTGATGGGTTTTTCATCAGAGTTTTTTGCCTTAATATTTATTTTTTAAAATATTGTATGAAAATATTTGTCTTGATTACTGATTTTTTTTTAGCTCCCCCTTTCAATTTTTGCACCTGAGACAAGTGCCTGGCTCTCCATACCCTAGTTGGGATCCTGGATACCTAACTAATCAAGAAAGCCTCCTTTGGCCCGAGCACAAAGCTAACCAGGATTCTTTCATAATATCACAAACTCCAAGAGTCCCTGTACCCCAGATGCTGGCAGGCTGTGGATGGAACACTTTGGTCTGCAATGCAGAATGATTCTCTCATCATCTGGGGACGTAGGGCTTTTCTTATAGCATCAGGGTAAAACTTTTTTCTTTTTTTTTTTTTTGTCTGAGATGACCTAGCAAGGGTCCCTGGTTGGAAGGGAGATGAGCTTCCTACAATGGGATGTTTTCCCAGTCTTATGTGTGCTTTGTCTGTTTCCCTGAGGAATTTTAGTGAACTTAGAGAAAAGGAACATGTTAGCAGCACGTGGGGCTGGCCTGGAAGAGAGGCTCTGCCAGGCCCTGATGAATCCCCATTTTCTGGCTGAGAATCCTTGCCATGCCTTCTGTATGTCATACCCGTATGTTGAGGTTTGTGCCTCTCCCATCAGGCTGAGAGCAGCCAGAAGACACGAGATCATAGCACATCCTTAACTTTCTTGCCTTGCACAGGCTCAGTGAGGAGAAAGAGGCAAGGGGAGAAAGAGAGAGGAGAGGGGAGGTGTTAATTAGGATTCTCCAGAATGACAGAACTATTAATAATAGGATATATGTATATATGAAAGGGAGTTTATTAAGGAGAATTGACTCACACTATCACAAGGTAAAGGAAGTCCCATGATAGATCCTCGGCAAGCTGAGGAGGTAGGAAACCAGTGGTGGCTCAGTCTGAGTCCAAAAGCCTCAGAAGTAGGGAAGCCTTCAGTCTGTGGCCAAAGGCCCGAGAGCCCCTGGCAAACCACTGGTGCAAGTCCAAGAGTCCAAAGGTTGAAGAACCTGCAGTCTGATGTCCAAGGGCAGGAAGCATCTAGCACGAGAGAATGATGAAGGACGGAAGACTCAGAAAACCAGCTTATTCCACCTTATTCTGTCTGCTTTGTTTTAGCCACGCGGGGCTGGCAGCCAATTGGATGGTGCCCACGTACATAGAGTGTGGGTCTTCCTCTCTCAGTCCACTGACTCAAATGTTAATCTCCTCTGGCACCCTCACAGACACACCCCAAAACAATACTTTTCCAGTTATCTAGGCATCCTTCAAACTAATCAAGTTGGCATCTAGTATTAACCATCACAGGAGGAGAAAGAGAAGTTTAACTAATGTGTTTATATTAATATTGGCCGTGGTGGTGGTAAGAGCCTACACTCACTGCCAACCAGACAGAAAGTGAGCACTTTACCTGTGGACCATCTAAACCTGACAATCACTCTATGAGGTCTGTACTATTATTGTGTCATTTTAAAGAAGCCAAAAGTAAGATTTAAGGATATTATAGAGTTTACCTAAGGCCATACAGCTACTGAACTTCAGAGGAAGTACTCAGGCAAATGCTTGGCCTATTTAATGATAGTTGGTTGACTTTTGCATTCAGCTTTTTTCTAGATGTGGTTTCCCCAGGGTCTGTCAGAGATCACACCTTGGAGTCACTGAGCAGCTGTGCCATTTAGAAAGCTGTTTACTTCCTGGAGTCAAAATCCTGTCTAACTCACATTTGTTAGTAAGCTCTTTTATTGAATCATGTGAAATTTGAATGATATCAAATTTCATATTGTCCAGAGTATAGAAATTATAGTTTTTAACTGCCTAAATGAAAAAATATGAAATCTGTTATTTGTCTACATTTTTGTATTTTATTAACCACAAAAGCAGGTGTAAATATTTGTAATGAGAATGTGGAGATATGGGTGAGCCAGATTGTTTATTCCATCCATAGTCTACTGAGTAGATTACTTTACATAGAGCTGAGACTCCATGCTACACTTGCTCTACTACAGTCCACCTGAGGATCCAGGACTCACAAATCAGAAACCACTATCCTACAGATGTCACCTTTTTGTTCAGACATGCTTTCCTGTTTAGCGATGGCTAATGTTGCATTCACATCAAATTCCATGCACAGGGCCCTGATGCATGATCCAAAAATTGTCTTAGATTTAGAATGCTATTTGGACACAGAAGGTAATAAAAAGTGGAGCAAAGGGGACAAAAGGAGAAAGTGCAGGGGGAGAGAACAGGGAGTGGCAGGAAGGAGAACTGTATCATACAAAGATTGCAGGATTTTCCACTAGAATGACCAGGTTTGTGTTCACGGGCTAGTAAATTCCTTGAGACGCAGGTTTCTTCTACTGAGGCTAATAACAAAACCTCTTTTAAGGAGTTGTTGTTTGGATTAAATAAGACAAAATGCATAAGGGTGTTTGTTAAATTGGCAAGCCTGGTACACATATTAATTCTCTTCAACCTTAATCTGAGTTCTCAGGGTCATCCAAGGCCAAGTTGATGATTGATTTGGTGCCCAAATTGGATGGAATCTCAATGCATCGGTGTTCAGATATTGGTCTACTTGTTACATGCCTGATTTTCCCACACTAAAGGTTATATTGTAAAAGCTGAAGGGAATCTTAAGTGATAATTTGATTTTGCCTATTTTCTTCATAAGGAAGGTATTATTATCTCCATTCCATCCAAGAGCAACGATGGTCAGGGAAGTTAAATACCATTCAAGGCCTCTGAAGCTTGTGAAACCAGGGGTGGTCTGGACCCAGGTCTGTCTGCTCCTTTGAGGTCTGTGTGCTAGGTGTGGGAACGCGCACTAGATTTACCAGAACACCCTTCAAATGGAATCATTTACAGTAACCTAGCACTCTACATAATATGTAAATTTGTAGCACTTCCTGGACTAGCTGCTTCATTTTACCTGTTTTTACTTTTTTTATTAGCTGCTCAGCAATACTTAACAGGACGGTAGGCAATTTGCAACACTCAGAAAATTCCCATATGTTGGGTTTCCCACCCTACTCTAAGAACAACAACAAAATTTTCTTGTATCTCATTTCACTTGTGAGCACACAAGAGCTATTTTCCTGTATGAGAAGAAGAGTTACAAAACCAGGGCCTAGAAAGAAGTGGTGCTAATATTACTATTTCTTCTGTATTTATACCCTGGTCTTTTCCCAGTGGACAATTTATCCAGAGACAAAAACACATCCCCAGCCTAGCCATGGTAAAGTAAGCAAGTGAGCAAACAAACAAGCAAAAAGGCATAGGTCACTCAAGTGGAAAGTCCTGCAATTTTTGTATGATACAGTTCTCCTTCCTGCCACTCCCTATTGTCTCCCCTGCACTTTCTCCTTGTGTCCCTTTTCCTCCTCTATGACCTACTGTGTCCAAATAGCATTCTAAATCGAAGACAATGATTGGATCATGCATTGGGGCCCTGTGAGTAGAATTGCATGTAAATACAACATCAACCACTGCAAAACAGGGAAGTACATCTGCATAAAAAGGTGACATCTAAAAGGTGACCTTTTAATAGGTACTACTAAAAAATACCTTGTAAATAAGCAGCTGCTTCTCCAACACGAGCTGTTAAAAAAATTGAGAATGGAAATCACCATTATGGAAGGATTTTACGTGGGCCATTCAATCCAAAGGTTCAGTCAACTCTAGAAAGCCTAATGACAAGTAATGTGATATAGTAAAAAATAATCATATAGTTTCAGAATAAACTTTTCTCCTGCCCCCTTTCTTCTCAATACACACATACACATACACACACATGCACATACACACACATGCACATACACACACATGCACATACACACACATGCACATACACACACATGCACATACACATGACCTCCAGGGCCACTGAGTAATGGGCTACCATGGAATAAATTAATTAGTCTCTCTGGGTCCTGTTTCCTCAATCCATAAAATGGAGTAATAATTCAAAGGGTTGTATAAGAACTAGAGAGAAAGAAAGTAGCTGGTCTAGCATTCAAAAGGCATAATTAAAATACAACTATTATTAAAGTTAGTAACAGAGAATATTCTCAAAGTGATGGGGCAATTTATGACAAGGAGTTAACACAGTCAACACGAGCCAAAGCATAGCAGCAAGTCACTGACTCCATCACCACCGAAATGCAGCTAGGCAGCATGACTATCTTCAAAGCAAAGGATCATGTGGATCACGTGGACCAGTGGCTGCAGCTATGAAGGTGTGCACCTCTTCCCTGAACCTCTTCCTTCTTCTCTACCTACACAAATGGATGACAGAACCTCTTCATAAGTTAGCAGAACATTCAAGGAAGGCAGCAAGGGAGTATGAAATTGAATGCAAAGTAATGTAACACTAACAGTAGAACTAAGGCAATGGTGAAGGACTCAGTTTAAGATATGGCACCTTCTAAAACATTACAGAGCAGGATGTATCCTGATTGGGTTTCCCATTCATGGATTGGTTAAATCTTGCATGAAGCAGTAAGTGGGAGCACTTATCTTCTTGGCTACCTTTACTGACTGACACTAGGCAATCTGTAGATTCCATCATCAGGAGTATCTAGATTGGAGCTCAGGCATTAACACCACAAACCTCTTCATTATTGTCCAAGCACAACCATGTCACCTGGATTTTGAACATGTCATTTAAAACCTGACACATCCACATAGCCAAATAAGAGAACTGGGGAATGTAACCTTGAACTGAGGGAGTGCAGCCAGGTGAAGGGAACATCCTGGAAAAGATTCCAGGGAAACATGGAGGCACCAAATACGCAGGAGGAAATGATCCAAGTCATAAACACAAAAGTAGGAGCCTGGAGTCCATGGGGTGATGAGCAGCTGGCCGGTAGGTAACCAAAAGTGAGAGACGAAGTTGTTGGGAAGTTCCTGAATTTCAGGCCAATGGGTTTATGTCTAAGGCTCTAACAGCTGCTTGGTCAGAATGCTTGTGTCCCCCCAGATTCACATGTTGAAACATAATCACCAACGTGATTGTATTAGGACATGAGGTCTTTGTGAGGTGATAGGTCATGAGGGCAGAGACCTCAAGAATAAGGTTAGTGTCCTTATAAAAGAGACCCCAGAGAGCTGTCCTGCCACTTCCACCACGTGAGAACAGTATGAAGGTGCCATCTATGAACCAGGACTCTGGCCCTTACCAGACACAAAACGGGCCGATGCCTCGACTTGGACTTTCCAGCTTCTAGAACTGTGAGAAATACATTTCTGTTGTTTATGTGCCACCAGCGTATATTTTATTATAGCAGCCCAAACAGACCAGGACAACTGCATTTTGCACAACTTCAGGGTTTCATTCACAGAGCTGTCAGTGAGAATGGAATGTTCTGGAGTTCAGCAGGCCACAGTCTGCGTGCACATCAGCATGACGTGAAACTCTCTACAACTTAAACTAGAAGTTTATCAAATAGTTTTGAGCCTACACATGACTTGCTGCCCGAGTTGAAACACGGGAAATGTTGTCACATATGGTAAAGGCCTTAAAGTGATATAGTAGTCTTATGGTTTCTTCTCCAAAAGCATTTATTATTATTTGATCAACACACACAGCACTTAGTTTAGGGCTTCACATTTAGCAGAGGCCCACTGTGTGTTTGTAAATGAATGAACTAATGAGCAATAAAGTGAATGAGTGAGTGAAGGAGCAGCTAAATATATTGCAGAATAAAGAATGTTCTAGAAAACATGCACAACATGTTACTGACCCAAGACAACTGGATTTGTCCTACTGCAGAGTAGACTGGTTTAAATATATCCCCTTGTAATTATATAATCCTTTTTTAATTGCCACATATTTTATTATTGTTGCATACTGTATAGGACCATTCTTATAACTATGTTTAACAACTCCCACACACCTTGCCAATACTGTAAACATGTTATCTATTACTATTACTTCATGTTAGATTGCTTTCTGTGGATGAATTCCAACAACAACAATAGTAAAATAGTAACGGCTGCTTTTTTTTTTTTTGAGATGGAGTCTTGCTCTGTTGCCAGGCTGGAGTGCAGTGGCGTGATCTCGGCTCACTGCAACCTCCACCTCCCAAGTTCAAGCAATTCTCTAGCCTCAGCCTCCCAAGTAGCCGGGACTATAGGCATGTGCCACCATGCCCAGCTAATTTTTGTATTTTTAGTAGTGACGCGGTTTCACAATGTTGGCCAGGATGGTCTCGATCTCTTGACCTCGTGATCGGCTCGCTTTGGCCTCCCAAAGTGCTGGGATTACAGGTGTGAGCCACCACACCCGGCCTTGAGTTTTTATTATAGGCAAGACATTGTGCCAGATGCTTTATACACATCTTCCATAATTGCTATACATTAAGACAAAATTTCTATTGTAATTTCACTTTATAGATTAAAATATTCCAAACTTGACCAAAGTCATATGGCTAAAAAGTGAATGAATAAAGATCCCCACCCAGATCTTCCTACTACATGCTTTTTTCTTTTCCAATTTGCTAAGAATTACCGAGTTAACAGACATAACAAATATTTAAGGCACTTGATACAAATTATCTAATTTATCCTGCACTGCAATAGCTCCGTGAATTTAATCAACAAACATAGCACTAAGCCATGAATTTGGCCTTCAAGGACAGGCAGGAGAATGGCCACTGTGTAATTTCATCACAAGTCATAAATTCACTATTAATCCTGTACAGCATCACTAGAGGTTTATACTATTTCTGCTCTCTCTTTCCTTGGAAGCCCAGTAGTATCTACTCCCTGTGATCTGCAGCAGGATCTAAATCCCACAAACGACCGTGTCACTTCCCAATGTCAGCCGTGCTTCGCCATCTCCTCTACTAGGAAGACCACTGTTGCTAGTTGTGTCTATCAACCCCTTCCCGATCTAATCCCAATCAGTCCACTTTGCCAGCCACATGCCTGGCCACTGCTCCCAGCTGCCACTGCTGGAACATGGTGCATTACTAGAAATTTCAGAACATCCCACTCCCTTGCTTTTCCACATTCCTTCCCTCTGCCTGAAATGCCAACAACAATCTCTTATTCATTTTATTTTATGACTCATAGGGCTATTTCAAGGTCCATGAAGACAGGAAATATATTTTTCAAATCATTGTATCTTCATATCCAGTGTCTGGCACATAGTAGGTTTCAATAAATATTTGCTCTGGATTAGTTCAAGGTAATAAAAATCACATTTTCTGGGAAAACTCCCTGACGTTCAGGAAAAGTCATTCCCTCCTCCATGCTCCCTTGAGGCCTTGATATTCTAATTGCCACATTGTTACACAATGACATTATTTGTTTCCCAGTCTTTCTGCCGGGCTAGACCCTGCGCTCTTGGGTGGCAGAGACCAGATCTTACTCATATTGGATCCCTAACACTCAGCACAGAGCCCGGCTTATAGTAAGCCTTCATAGATTTCCTGGAATTGAAAATATAATTCTAAAGCAACCACATGAGGTGAGCAGGGCGGGTATTATGCTTCTCATCTTACAGATGAAGAAACAGGGATCTAGGGAGAAAAAACAAGGTCTTCACCCAATTTCCATTTGAAATCAGAGACCCAGCCAGGGCTAGCACACAGGTGTCCCAACCCCTAATTATTACAAAGCTCTCTTGGCCACTGCATAGAGGAGGCTAGGCACCTCTCTTTCTGACTCAACAGCAGGGGTTGCTTCGAGACTGTTCCTAACACAGGCCAAGTGTCTTCCTGGGGTAAGACTGGATTAGGGGACCCTGCTCGGTCAGTGGTCCTGGTGATCGCCTAGGGAAATAGATCTATTCTGCTGGGATCTGGGACTGAATCCTAGGCAGGTTTGTGGGGAGTAGGATGGTGAGAGGTGCTGGAAGGCACGGGTCCACTTCTTAACCTTCCTTTTAACTCTGTGCTGCTGGGTGGAAGCTTTATAGTCAATGTCCTCTCCATCTCTGGCCACATTCCCAGGACTCCTGATCATTAGAGTGACTGTTGTCCCAAGTGGACATAATTATAAATAGCTCCCTTCTTTTACTGAAAGTGTCCTACAGTGGACAATAATTTAGTCCCCTCCTCCAGTGGAAAATATACTACACGCATGCAAAAGCTCAGAGGGCTCCAGGAGTCGTCCCAACTCCCCTTTCTCAGTTCCTTGGGATTTTTTTTTTTAAGTTTGTCCTCTACTAGATCGCTTCTCATTCACCAGGATATCTTAGATCAAGGCTGGCGTTTGAAGCCTCTGCCTGAGTTCAAGCCCCTTGCTTCCGGTGTTCCTGTCCAAGCCCGCGGACTGGAATCTCCCAAGGAAGTTACGAATAATTCGGGGGGGGTGGCGAAATGGGGGGTGGAGTGGGGCGTGAAACTGCAGCCTTCACCTGGCTAACAGAAGAGGACTCAGGACGCCCAGCACCCTGGATAGGACCCAACAGCGCTCCCTGGAGGTGTGGGTGCAAAGTTTTGTCTAGCTTGGCCTCCAAGGCCCTCCAGGCAATGCACTGGGAAGGGAAGAATTAGTGATTAAATTTGACCTGAATCAAAAGATGCCTTCAGTTCCTCTTCTGCTGAAAACACTAGAAATACAAGCCCAGGATGTGGGGATCGGGGGCAAGCGGTGACACCAACTAAAAGGAAGCAATGGATTTCCTTTTAAATGGAGAGGAGGATGTCGGAGAGATACCATGAAACGAATTCTCGAAACTCCAGGCAGCAATACCGATGAAAGCGCATTCTTCCAAAACAGAGCTCCTCATTCAGGGCCACATCTGAGCCTGGGGGCCCAATGCTCAGAGCGTGCCTGGCTTTCTGGGGAAAAGCGCCAGGAACATGAACGAGCTACGAAGAGCTGGAGCGGGCGCTGCGGGAGCAGCGTGTGGGGAACGGCTCGGGAGTCGCTGCTGGTAACCCCGGCCCAGCCGCCCGCAGCTGGGCTCGCAGCCGGCTCGCAGCCGACACCCAGGGTGCTGCGCCCGGGGCCCCGGGCCGCGGAAGGATATTTCACTTTGTTTACCTCCCCGGCCGGGCGAGGGAGCTGCGAGGCCGGTGCTGGCGCCCCCGGCACGGAGCTGCAATGGCAGCGGCGCGGGGAGCCGCCCGAGGACTGGCAGCGGCGGGGCTGATTGATGGGCGCCCGGCGCAATGAGGGGGGCCCGGGCGGGGGCGGGGCGGGGCCGGCTCTGGGCTGAGCCAGTCGCGGGGGCGGCGGGGGGGGGGCGGAGGCTCCGTGGAAATGTGTCGGTGACATTGAATGGGGAGACCGAGCGCGAGCGAGGCGCGCGCGCGCACACGCGCACTCACGGCCCCGCTCGCTCCGAGATCCCCGGCCACGTAAGTAACTATTAATACCGCCTCGCCGGGGGATGCGGGCGTGCTGAGCGCGGGGATTGGCCTCGGGCACCGTCGGCCGTCCCCTTTAATTTTTAAATACACGGTCCCCTCTTTTCTCTGGGGGGGGCAAGCAAGAAATCAAAGAAGGAGGAGACAAGCCGTCAATTTTCTCCAAAACAAACCCCACCGGGCAATTTGGTCTCGGGGTAGGGGGAGACGGGGTGATTGCAAATTATTCCAGGACGAGATCCAGTTCTCCAGCGGGAAAGGGGCAAAGGAACGCCGCGCGTTGGAAGGGCCAGGGACGCAGCTCCCCTTGCAGCGCCCGCAGGACCCCCGCAAGCTCGTGCCGGCGAAATCGGAGACCGCCGATCTGTCCTCGTTCTCTCCTGCACGTCTGGCTGCATTCGGAGGAAGACCTGGGGCGCGAGCGAGCGGCGACAGCATGAGCCTGTGCTGACCTCCGCGCGGCGGGCCGAGCCCAGGGCTTTGTCGCGGTACCTGCGCCCAGCCCGCGCCGCAACTCTGTGCCCAGCTTTTGCAATCTTTTGTTGGCAGCGCTGACCGCACCAAGTTAAATGCTCCCTTGCAATTTTTCTTTTTTTTGTTTGTTTGTTTAATTTTTGGAGAGCTCGCGATCTTGGAAAAGCCTCAGACGCCATCTACAGTTAAAACGTAGGTAACTGCCCTCTCCCGCACCCCCCCCTTACACGCCCCCCACCCTTTCCACCAAAAAAAGGGGGTGCAGCGCGGATTCTGGCTGCCGTGCGTCGCCAGCCGGTAGACCCGTGCTTGTTTCCTTTCTCTTTTTGTTTGGCTTCTAACGCGTTGGGACTGAGTCGCCGCCGTGAGCTCCCCGAAGACTGCACAAACTACCGCGGGCTCCTCCGCCCCGTCTGCGATTCGGAAGCCGGCCTGGGGGTCGCGTCGGGAGCCCTGGCGCTGCAGCTCCGCACCTTAGCAGCCCGGGTACTCATCCAGATCCACGCCGGGGACACACACACAGAGTAACTAAAAGTGCGGCGATTCTGCACATCGCCGACTGCTTTGGGGTAACAAAAAGACCCGAGTTGCCTGCCGACCGAGGACCCCCGGGAGCCGGGCTCGGAGCAGACGAGGTATCCGGCGGCGCCCATTTGGGGGCTTCTAACTCTTTCTCCACGCAGCCCCTCTTCTGTCCCCTCCCCTCTCGCTCCCTTTTAAAATCAGTGGCACCGAGGCGCCTGCAGCCGCACTCGCCAGCGACTCATCTCTCCAGCGGGTTTTTTTTTGTTTGTCGTGTGCGATCCTCACACTCATGAACATACACAGGTCTACCCCCATCACAATAGCGAGATATGGGAGATCGCGGAACAAAACCCAGGATTTCGAAGAGTTGTCGTCTATAAGGTCCGCGGAGCCCAGCCAGAGTTTCAGCCCGAACCTCGGCTCCCCGAGCCCGCCCGAGACTCCGAACTTGTCGCATTGCGTTTCTTGTATCGGGAAATACTTATTGTTGGAACCTCTGGAGGGAGACCACGTTTTTCGTGCCGTGCATCTGCACAGCGGAGAGGAGCTGGTGTGCAAGGTAAAGGGCCAGTGGGTTGCTTTTTGTCTTTGGAAGGGGCCCGAGGGAGCGGGAGGGCGCCAGGCCCTCGAGTCTGGGAGAGGGAGATTCGCGGGATAATTACCGTGGCCTTATTAAATGGGTTTATTTATTTATTTGCTCAGGTTCGGTAAGTTGCGAAGTTTTTAGACCGTTTCAGACAATGGGGCGGGCGGCAGTGGGGGCGTTTCGGGGAGAGCCCGGGGAGGAGAGGGCGGCGGGACTGCGCGGGGGCCACGGACACGCGTGCACCGAAGGCTCCAGGAGCTCTCTGCGCGAGGCCGGGTCCCGCTGCCCGGGGGGGATTTCTTCCTGTGTCTAGCCCCCTCCCCTTCCAACAAGGATTAGGGAATCCCCCGGTAATTTTAAGACTGATGACTTCGTTCTTTTCGCAGCCATTGTTCTTAGCAGCGGGCAGGTGTTAAACCTTTGTTCCGAAGGTGCCCTTTAAAACAGACACACAAAGGTGCCCCCTTCGGCTGAGCCCAGGGGCCCAGCGCAGGGAAGGAGTTTACAAAGACCTTTCTTCTGCCTGGAGCCTTGAAAGGAGGGTTGGGGTGGAAATCAAAGCCTGAGCACTTTCTGGTGAATAGTGAATGCTTTGGGTCTTTCTCTCTGGTCTTGGTCTCTCTCCCCATCTCTAGACTTCCCTGTCTGCTCATCCCCTCTCTTCCGTGCCCCCCTGAACAACACCTTTGCCTGTAAGGTTAAGAGGCTCCCGTTTGGAGCCCTAGGGATCCGCAGTGGTAATACCACTGCGATGGACACTTCGGTTTCCTTTTTTGTCTTTAACCCTGAACAGTGACTGGTTTATGTATATGTGTGTCTGTGTATCTTTGTGTGCACCCACCGGGCCCCAGACAAGTGGATGAGGGGCGAAATAGTTGCGAAAAAGAAAATAACTATAATAGAGCATACTACTACCCAGAATTGGACCTAGATCAAGGATTCTTTGTCACTTAATTTTAGATTTGCTGACTGTTTTTTTTTTTTTTTGAGGGGGTAAGGGGAGAGTGGGGGACCCATTCTGCCTTTGAAATGGTCACTGGGCACGGTTGTGCTGCAAATAACACATCGCGCTTTTGCCATTCACCACAGACTACTTTGCGGACTTGCCTTATTTCCTAGTGGACTGGAGTATTTCATTGCAAAATTTGGGTTTAGTGGAGATCTCCAGTCAGTTTTGCGATTGTTCAGTTCAGCCCTTAGGGGGAAATCGGAGACTCTTTAAATGTTGCCCTTTGCTTGTACTGAGCATTTGGTATTTTGCATCTTCTCTAAGTTATTGAGACCCAGAGCAACTGTGCCCAGTTAACCAAAATTCAGTAGCTGGATTGAATTCTCAGAAGTCTGCAAGGTTGCACAATAGGATAGTCATCCTTTGAAATGAATGAATTCCACAGAACTGCCACTCTTGTATGAAATATGCACAATCACCCAGCAGTGAATATTTTCATTCCTTTTGCTCAACTTCAGTACAGCATTTTAATATTTTTCAAAGGCTGGAGATGCTTTTAAGTATAGGGACTCTGCAGCCAAATTCTGCAGGGGCATCTGGCTGTTACTTCTTTGTTTAAAATCAGAGGTGACTCTGGCCTCTGCTCATTCTTTCTCCAGATTTTGCAAGACATATTTCACTTTGGGCTGACCTTACAGTGTCATTTGCAGACTTGTGCTCTGGCCTCAAATTGGACTTAATCTGCTGGTTTAGTTATTGCAAAGATTGAATCAGCCCCTCACCAATTACAGTGTGGCTGCAAGTGGATTTAAGTGCAGTATCATTGTTCTGCTTGACAGAGGTCATCCCTTTAAGACACAGCAGCTTCTGTTTTCCTGACTTTTTACCATAGATGATGTGGGTGACTTCTTATGCAAGCATAGTTGTGTATCTCCGAAGAAGCTCCAAGAGAGTTTTATAAGGCTGCTTCTCTGAACTGCCCTGAGAGATATATATGCTGTGGTCTCTTAGCTTACTTTAAGGCTCAGTGAAATCTACACATTGAATCTAGTTCCTTTTGATGTCTTAGAATAGAAGGCTCATGTTTCCTAGCTGTGTGTTGACCAATGAAAAAATTCTTTGCAAAAACAGATCAAATGTAAAGATGCTATTTATTATAGGGGACTGCGTAGAGAATTCCATAGGACACTATTTGGAGGAATAGAGATTCCAGAGTCATTTAAACAAAATAATCAAGGCTGCTTATTGTCTCCATGTACCTACTTTTGCTAGATGAATGAAGGCACTTTAAGGAGTCTTTAACTGTATGTTTTCATGGAGATACTGGTAGCTACTGTGCAGATTGACATAATTACTATCTTGGCAGAATGGGTACTTTTTTTTTGCAAATGTTATTAATGATGGCCTAATCTTACTGCCTTATCTGAACTGTCACATTACATAACCAAGGCTCCAAATTAAACATGTAAAGAAGCTGGCACCAGGCTTGTGGCTTGATTTTGCACGTGAAGATGATGGTTTAAATACCAGTCCAAGCCCCTAAATGCCCCTGATAGCTACTAATAAAAGTTTGGCTCCTTCTCGTGTGGGAAAACATAAGTACTTATTTTATTTTTCATACTCTGTCCACCATCTTGGAATTTGGTCTCTTCTACAAAAGGTATGGCTACATTTGAAGCTGCCACAAATATGTTAGTTTTTTAAAAATTCTGTCTCCAGTTTTTCAGCAGTGGAGCAGGATAATAGGCTAAAAGTGCTGAGCAAAAGTCACCTTTTATGTTTTTGTAAATGCACCTGGAAACAGGAAGTAGATTATAAATAATCATAACTCTGTGAGCACTGGCGACAGAAGCTGCAACCTGGTATTTCAGAACACAGCATCTTCATTATATGATGCAGTGTTTACGTTAGCCACTGCAAAGCTTATTACTCCTCGAAATTTTTGAGGCTTCCCTGGGTTTCTGTTGCCTGCATTCAGGGTGTTAAAGTTGATTCAAGCATTTCAGATTCCTAATTGAACAGGCCTCTTAGGTCACTGCTCTTGGGTCATCATTTGACAGTATCAGTGTGTGATTTGTGGTCTCTGGAGATGTTGAAGTATTCTTTCTTAAATTCTAGGTTATAGTGGCAGCAGCTGTGCCGCTTTTCTGAGATGCCTCGTTATGGTTCATTCACAACATTACTGTTAACTTTGCTTCCTTGGCCGTGTTAGCAGCAACTCTTGAGGTTTTACATCCCTGTTTGACTCACAGATTTTGTTTCAATTTTTTGAAGCTTAGAGCAACTTAACTCATGGATTCTTAAATAGCAGTCTGTGGCTTTGGATGGGCTTCAGAAAGCCCGTGAATCCCCTTAAAATGAATCCGGTATCGTGCATGCATTTGAGAACGGGCATTGTCAGCTAAGAGGGAACAGAGCTTTTATCAGATTTTATGTGACATCAGGACCCAAAAAAGGTTAACACTGTTCTAAATCAACATCTTCATTTTATGAAGAGGAGGGAGGTCCAGTAACCCTAAGCTCTTTATCCATCTCATCCAGATTATTGGTGGCAGGGCCAGGATTAGTGCCTCAAGGTTGCCGACTTCCAGTCCAGCATATTTCCTACCACACTGCAAAATGATGATGAAAGAAAGTATGTCTAACTAGTGAAAAAGCGATTTAGGCAGCTAAATCATTGTGAACTGATAGCATGCAGTGTATTGTTAGGGCGTTCCTGCCTCAGATGCTTTCCAGCGAAGCTCACCCACGCATGCCCCTGGCTCACGCACACACTGAATAGATTCATCTTACCCACATCCCAGGCAGATAGAAAAACCACATTCCAGACCCAGGGACTTGTATTCCTGATTTAGTGGAGGTCTTGAAATGAATGAAAGCGCCTTTTATATAACCTCAAAAATTCTCTGTAGTGTTAATTGCTGTTAGGTCTGTTTCAAAAGGTATTGATGGTGCCTTTTCTTTTTAAGCAACCGCACAATGAGTTGGCATTTTGCAGGCTAATTTTGATTCATAGAAAATCATTGCATAACTGGTTCATTGAGTTAGATATCTGTGGAGGGAAGAGAGGAAGAAGCAAGGCTGCTTCCCTATTCAGAAGGATTCTATCATATTCCTACCTCTGCCACTGGGGGCTTGAGTTTTGGCTCATTCTCTGAGCCTCAGTTTCCATATCTGTAAAATGAAAGTATTGAATTAGAGACCACTGGGCAAAAGCTAGCTGTTTATTCTCTTAGTTGCTCATGTGTTGTATAATGCCTGTTTATGTGCATTTCTTTTTTTTTATTTTTGAAGGCAAATAAAGTGTTGTTGATGTCATTGAGGTGGATCACTTTCTCTCCAATTTTGCCTTAGTTCTATAAACACGCAATTGGGCTAGAGACAAAAGTAATGAAAATTATTATTTCTGTACTGCATTACGTTTTGCAAAGCACTATCACCTTCATTTTCTCATATAATCCTCCTAACACTGTGAGTCAAGTATCAGTTTCCCATGTTGTACGTAAAGATTTGGAGGCTCCGAGAGGTTAAGTGACTTGTTTAGTGCCACACAGCTGGTAGGAGGCAGGGCCAATGTGGTCTGGGTCCAAGTTCAGCATATTTTCTGTCATCTCAAAAGCCCATACCTGTGGGAGGTGCAGCATTATGTGTTTTGGTTGTACAAGAGGCACCTCTGACTTTGGTCTTACTGTTAATCCTGTCGTAGGTGTTTGATATCAGCTGCTACCAGGAATCCCTGGCACCGTGCTTTTGCCTGTCTGCTCATAGTAACATCAACCAAATCACTGAAATTATCCTGGGTGAGACCAAAGCCTATGTGTTCTTTGAGCGAAGCTATGGGGACATGCATTCCTTCGTCCGCACCTGCAAGAAGCTGAGAGAGGAGGAGGCAGCCAGACTGTTCTACCAGATTGCCTCGGCAGTGGCCCACTGCCATGACGGGGGGCTGGTGCTGCGGGACCTCAAGCTGCGGAAATTCATCTTTAAGGACGAAGAGAGGTAGGTCTCATCCTGTCCAGACCTGGGTACTGTGATGGACTGCTCCTAACAACAGCTTCCTAGAAAAGTCTTGAATGGACGTTTTTTTGCCGTCTGTGGTCCAGATGAGGGGAAGGAATCTTAGGAGGGCAAAAGGAAGTGAATATTGCAATTTTCAAGTGTTTGGGAAAACAAATAGCTACTATTCTAAAGGTGTCATCTGGTGCTCAAAGGACAGGTACCAGGATATTCTGTGACCCAATGAATATGTATGATTAGGTGTCTTGAATTCCGAAGGTGGCTGCAAACCTCTTTGACATTTTCAATGCCAGTAAAGGCAGGGCCTTGAAAATTCTACCCGCAGAACACTCAGCAGCCAGAATCAGTCATTTATAATTCATTCATCCATGCACTCATTCAGTAGCTCTTACCTAAGCTTATATTAGGTATTAGTCACAATTCTCAGTACTATTAATATCTAGATGAATTAGATAGCCAACGGACCTATAAAGGAAATGCTACCAGCTCAGAATAGAGGTCCGTGCTGGGTGGGATGAGAACTGGGGTGGTGGGGACATGTCAGTTCTCCCTAGGACTTGGAGAGTCAAGGAAGGTTTTACAGGAGGGGTGATTTTGGAGCCAAGACTCGAAAGATGACTGGATTTCAGGAAATGTGGGAAAGACCGCATTCCAGGTGAGGAAACTGCTGATGCAAATGCATGGCAGTGCAGAGGTCTTGGTTATTGGAGGAGACAGCTGGACAGGATGCAGGCAACTGGCTTATGCCGTTAACTCATTACCTTCTATTTAGCAGACTCTGCTGGGGCCCTGCTTTCTCTCCCAGCCGATTTTGATTACAAGAACTCCTTCAAGCCCTTTTTGTTCTTTTTAAGAATATGAGTTTAGAGGGACAGAGGCAACAAATCTGTATTCATTGCTCACCGTAGTTCCTGAATGAGGCCCCACATAATGTGGAGACCAGCTCATATCTTGATCTTTGCTTGTGAATGCCTTTACCTTTATTAACAAACTGAGAAGGGGCAGCTGTTGGAAGATTTAGAGTGTGGAACCACATTTACCTTTTCTCTTCCGCTCAGATGCCTCTGCCCCTGGAGCCTGGAGATGTTTCCCCTGGTTTTGCCTTCGATACCCTCTGTGATCTTGGATTGGTCCTTCGTCTGTTTCCACCCTCCCCCTACCAGCCTCATATTTCTCCTTCTGTTACCTTCTGTATGCTGTATTGGCTCTAAGGTCTTTTCAATTAATAATAAATTGGTGTATGTGCTTCTTTGAATATTCTCATTTAGAAGATGAATATATGTTGACCCCCAACGATACTGACAAAGGTATTCTCTCTACCCTTGTATGTTCCACCTTTCTTGGAGATTTAATAACTGCACCTACAAAAATAAGAGGTCATATTTGTTTACCTCTTACCATAAGGTTAAAGTTTAATTCTCTCTCCCTATTGAAGTGAATGTCATCATGTCCATTGTATAGACGAGAGCTCCAAAGTGCAACGTGGTGAAGTCCCAAAGTTACGGACAGGAAAGAGCAGAAGTAAGGCCACATTCACTAGTAAGTCAGCTCTCAAGAAATTCATTTGTCTGCCAGAGGGCATGGGGACAGCAAATGCCCTCTCTCGCAGGGATCTGTGTTTTTAAGTGTCGTCTTTGATTGTGTTTCCATAGGGAGGAACTCTCGGGCACCAACGAGTAGAAGGAATGGCCTATTCAGGGATAGGACCCCCATAGTGAATACATGTTTGTGCAAATGAGTAGAGCAGGGTGGAGGTCCCCAAGTCATAGAACATGGGAACAAAAGTGGACCCGGAGGTTGCATAGTCTGTGTGGCACTCTCTTGGTTTGCTGCCAGGAGGCAGAACTCCAGAGGTGAGAGCACGCCCCAGTGCACACAGCTAGCTAGGAGCCAGTGAAGCACAGCCAGGCCTCACCTGGGCTGTGGAGGGCTTTTACTCCCACCCAGCCTTTGCTTCTCCTTTATGAGTGTGTCATCACACGCCAAAATCCTTGATGTCCCAGGATCCAGGGAAGAAGCTTCCAACCTCAGGAGTGTGTGCCTCTGACATTCCGTCTGGAAGTTACGTTTGACTTTCGCGAAAGAGCATGACCCTGTCCAGAGATAACCAGAAAGGAGTATCCAGTGTGAATGTGAAACCGAAACAATTGCCTGGAGTAAACATGTCAAAGCAAAATCCTTTTTCATTTTCAAGAGCATTTTCCAAGGTAAAAAGAGAATGTAAAGGACTGTAGGGAGCTGGCCTATATAGTCCCTACAGCATGGTGGCATGTGTGATAGCCCCTTTGGCCATGCAGCCGTGTTGCCCCAGGGGCCAGCCTTGAGGCTGATGCCCTGTAGGACCTTGGAGAAAATGAGAACTCCTCCATCTGATCAGTGAGGTTACTTGGCCTCATGGCAGGGTCACCTAGCTGGCTTAATGTTACACAGCCAGTCTGAGGGTGCAGCCAGCCTGGAAATCCTGTCATTCCATCGAGAGCTCTTCTTCCAGCCCAAGTCACATGGAGGTCCCAGTGGGCTTGCTTTTCAGGAACATGACAAGTGTCTGTCTGGGCAGCTCTGAGAAGGTCACCTCTGTTTTCAAGGACATTTTGAATGTTCTCAGCAGTAGCTGATTGATAAAGAGCTTTTTTGTTTTTCTAAAATCCAACTATCAACTTTTTGTGAAAGGGGAATCATGCCTAGTCACCTTTTTCTTCTTGTTGTTTTGTATTTTAACCTCTCGATTCCAGAATGTGAAACTTCTGCTTTTTGTTCCACAATGTATTTCTCCTTCTCTGCCTCCTGGCAGCATTGAGTTTCATGGCAGATTCTCTTTTATTTGGCCTGCATGGTGGCCTACATGGAGCACATTGCCAGCACTTCCTGAGGGAAGAGTGTGAGGCCAAGTGTCAGGGGCCCAGGACCTCATTGGCTCCATGCTTGCTGCTGGGAACTCTCATCTTCCACCCTAATTGCATCACTTTTAGTGGAGCTAAAGCTTCCTTCTCCCTCAACAACATCGAAAGTGTAAGGAAGCAATGGGTTAAATTTTAAAGGCTTTTGGAAAGCTAAACCACAGAGTTAATGTCTGTTTTCTCACCTTTTGGGCATTGGTCCCACGGTGAAAAAGCAAAGAAGCAAATTTGGGAAGTGCTGCTTTATTCATCTTCTGACCATCACACACCTCTTTTGCGCATCAGTCTTCTTCTCAGTGATGTGCTTCTTGAACTCTGGTGATCTGGAAAGCAATCGAAAGTGCAGGCTTTACGTGTGAAATTGGCTGAGGCCCACCTGGTGCAGAAGAAGACCTGCCTATGGGCTGACTCCTTGTGCCTAAAGTTTCGATTGTGTGCCATCTGGGACTCTGCATCCATGGCCATCCATGGAAACGTTGTTAGTGGAACTGCCAGCGCCTTCAGTCCGGTCCCCCACTGGTGGTTTTGCAGGCAGACACAGATGACACCCAGCGTTATGTTTGGACCTAATGCCAGCAAGCCTTGTGCTGCTGGGTAGAAATGGCAGCAGCTCAGAGTCTTCTGTTTCCATTTTACTTTGATTTGAGTTTTAGGTTTAACTTCTGGCTCTTCTTAGCTACCTGATCTTGGATAAGTCATTGAATGTTTCTAAGCTGCGGTTCCTCAAAGCAGAAATAATAATGGCATTCCTGTCGGGCAGTTGTGAGGGTTAAATGAGATGATTCTGTGACTCACCGGGCAGGGCAGGCACTCATGAAGGGACAGCTGTTCCTAGAGTCATTGACGAAATAGTACCATTATGGGAGAGCAGTTCCCAGGACTCAGTGGGTTCTTGAAGAATTAAGTCGCTCGCCTGGGCAGCCTATTCAGTGAAGAGTGGCACCCTTGTGACATAGGGGTTCAGATTTAGGCCACATTCTCCTCTCTGTTTGGTTTAATTATAATCATTAAGTTAGTGCCAAAGGTCAAGTGCACCTGGTCTGGAACCTGAGGCTCAGAAAGGCCAGATTGACCATATGTGCACTGGAGTAGGCGGCCACAGGCACATGTAGGGAGTGGAGGATCATACCCCACCGTGCCTGAATCAGCTTCTGTGTTGCAGGCCTTGGACTGCTGCTTCTCCTTCGTTCCCAGGGATGTTTGTGCAGGGCAGAGCCTGGTTCTTTTTGTTTATACTGCTGAAAAGGAAAACCTCAGGGCCCAGAGGCATTGAGCAGCATTTTGAGGAAGTTAATCTCCAATCCCAGTTGAACTCACCTGGCCACACCCTGTGCATCCACAGTTCGTGTAGTAAAATCTCAGACAGTCTGTGTGTAGTAGCGGCCACCCTGCTGGTTATGGCTCAGAATCTGATAGAAGGCAGCACCCACATCCCCAAAGTGCGTGCCCTGTGCACTCCGCCTCCCCCTCTCTGCTGTGGCATTGGGGTGACCTGCTTGATCAGTCTATTCTTAGAAGCCCCATGTTTCAGGCCCCTCCAATTCCATTTTAATTCATGGGAAGGCCTGAGCTTGGGAGAAGTCCTGTTACTTCTATGTAGAGTCACAGCTGCCGTCTGGATTCCAATCCCTGTTCTTGCACTTTTTAGGAATGGACCTTGAAAAATTACCTAAGCTTTGTGCCCAGACTGCCTCATCTGCAAAGTGGAAATAACAACATGGCTTCCATCATGGAATTAAATGTATTAATACAAGGGAGCCCAATGCCTAGCACACAGTCAGCCATCAGCAGACGGGAGCTCCTACCTAGCACACAGTCAGCCATCAGCAGACGGGAGCTCCTGCTGATGGAAGCCTCCTCTGCACTCAGTGTCACTCTGTGGTCACAGGGCCAGTTCCCTGGCTCACTCAAGATGCGAAGAGCCCTTTGAGCAGGTGCACCCTTATGCTGCTCAAGGAAGGTGGGTGGGGCCTTGTTACCACAGCACTTCCTGTTTGCTTTTGCCCATTGGATTTCTCTCTGGGTTCAAGGCTTCCTGCCATCCCTCTGCCACTCTCTGCCTCAGTTTCAGTTCAGTGTTGACATTTCCTTGCACAGAAGGACCCCATGTGAACTGAGAAACATGCCTCTTTACATGTTTCTTCTTTGGGTAGAAGATCTTTATCTCTTGACGTGACAGGTTTCATTTCCTCCGCTTTGTGGAAGCCGGTCAGTACCCACTTCAGCAGGGTGGAAGCTGCGACTGTTTGCAGGAACTCAGTGGCCTGGGGGCTTTCGGTATAATAAACGCCACCTGCCCAGATTCACAGACCTGTGCCTCCCTGTGGGGTGGAGGCGTTTCTCCTTCCCCCACCAACAGAGGTCAAGGCACTCTTTCTCAGCTCTTAGTATCTTTATTGGCTTTTCCTTCAGATCTTCAAGTTGCACCCGCCTCCATTGAGGTCTCAGTATCTAACAGAGTACAGAGGGCAGGCATGGAAACCCTGGAGACCAGACTCAGCTTTTCTTTCATTAAAAGCTGTGTACATTTTTTCAAGTTGTAGGCGCTTTGTATTTTGGGAAAATACCTTTCGTTTTTGCTTTGAAGGAAATGGAGCTCCTGGAATTCCCTTATTTATGAGAAACCCCTTTATGTACTTGAGGTATTGCCAACCTTTGGGGAAGGCTGGCGAGCCTCCTGTTCCCCAGGGTGGATCAGTGATCTCTCTCCCATAGCACTCCCTTTCCTCATCAGAGCTCATCTCCTGCTGTATTCTGATGGCCCGTGTGTGCATCTGTAGACTGTCCTTGTCCCCTGCTGGGGGCTTCCTGGGGACATAGGCTGTCTCATGTTCACTGCTTCTGGAACAGGTTGGGCCTTGCTATTTGTTGACGGAATGTCTCCTTTTTTGAGTGGGAGCAGCTCAGATTGGATTCTAATGACAGAAAGAGAGAGGCAGGGGTAAGTAGAGTATTGGTGTCTAGGTCATTGCCTGGAATCAGTGGGAGCCCAGAAAACGTATACATCCCCTATGGAGACACCTTTTCAAAGAGAGCTATTTCCAAAGTTTCCCATCAAGTGAGAAATTTACCCATCATTTCCCTTTTAATTTAATGATTTATGCAGAAGTGACATTTATTTAAGACATTGTTTTCAGTGTCTATGGCAGGCTGTAATTTTATTCATGAAGGGCTTTTCTAATCACGGTTAGAAAGGGGAGAGCTTCCTCCAGGTTCCATGCTTATAAGTAGACTAAATAGTAGGTATTCTTCAGCAGGATTTCTTGCTGGGCTGCTTACTGCTTGTACTTAGTAACTAGTTGATGGGCTAGTGTGGGTCCTCAAGCAAACCAAGCAGAGGCACAGTGGTCAGATTTTTTTATTACTCCATTTAGCCCTATGGTCTTAGCCTGCCTTCTCTGAAATCATGAGAAGAGACAATATATTAATATGTTAAGTGCCCAGCACAGTGCCTGGTGCACTGCAGCTACTTGAATACATAGCCGTCATTATTGCTATTGGGCATCCTCTGATGTCATTGAGCCTCATAACCCAACAGCCCGGAGATTCAATTATTTATTTAACAAATACCTATTGAGCATCTATTATGTGCCAGGCACTATTCTTGGTGCTGGGGACACTACAGAGCCCAGTGAGAGAGAAACCCTGTTCTCATGAGACCTACATTTCAATGAAATAATATCTAGGGCCCACCATGTGTTTTACTCATAACATGTGATTCACCAATTTAATTCTAATTAGCTACTGTATTTAAATTAATCAATTTAAACCCAGTGAGTAAGATACTCTTATTTTCACCATTTTACAGATAAGAAAATTGATCCTCAGAGTCTAATGGCCAACCAGTGGCAGACCTGGGGTTGGTACCCAGGCCCCTGGCTCCAGAGCCCAAGCTTTCAAATACTAGGTTGTCTCCAGGAAATAGACAACAGGTAAAATACCGTCTCTTATGCCCAACCCTGAGAAAGAATTTTCTCACGCAGTTAGGCAACAGGTGTGCACCAGGAGGACCTGACTAGCCAGGGTCAAAACTCAGCTCACGACTCAGTTTTCCTGAGCAGTCATGGATTGGGCCACCAATGAGCCAACCCTGCGGGCAGTCCTACGTCCTGTTGTTCCATTCTGTGGGTTTTTTTTGTTTTGTTTTGTTTTTGTTTTTCCCCAGGGAACTATACAATGGGCTTCATTTCTTTTTCTATCCTCCATGCCTAGCACTGGACTTAGCAGTACTTAGGAATGTGTGACCATTGATGCCATGGATATACAAATAGCCCCTTATGTCCCGTGGCGTGAATATCATAAGAAAAATCAACTAGCCATATTGACAGTGGAATGCAGTGGATGGAAACTCATTTTCAATGTTGTTTTCTACTCAATACTCTTGGGAGTTTCTCTAAATCATGAAACCGAGTCCAGGCTATTTGAAATTTCTTTGGACTCTAGACATTGCCATGCATAAGAAGAGTCTTGCCTAGATGCCGTGAACTCCAGATAGAATGTTGGAGTTGGGGAGTCTTAGATATGGGGGTCATTCTATCTCGCAAACATTTATTAAGCACCTACTCTGTCCTACGGTGCTAGGTGTTGATGGTACAGGAATCAGTACAAGAGAGTCCTTGCCTAATGGATGTAATCATTATTCAATAGTTATTTAGCTGTAAGCATTATTTAACAGTTCCAACAGTGGAGTACGGTGTGGAGAATGGTCACCTCCGGGAGGTGATGACCTCCTGCACGAGGTTGGCTTGAGTGCTGTAGTAGGGATGGGGAGGTCCCAGAAGGCATGAGTCAAGCCAGAGGCACAAAGAGCCGTGTGTAGGGAGGGCTGTGCTGCTGGAGGGTCCCCTGTGCCAGGACAGAGATGAGGCTGAGTCCAGGGCCTGAAAGACACACCCCTCACCTCCAACTTGACCTGAAGCCCAGAAGGAACCATTGAAAGGTTTTTCTGGATGGCAGGGATGGGTTTGTGATTCCGGAAGTACATGTGAAAGATGAACTGGGTAAAGCAGCCGGGCATGGGTTCTAGGAAGAAGTGGCTCAAACTGAGACTGTGGCAGTGGGATTGAAGAATTGGGGGCAACAAGTGGGGGTTTAAACCCGACACTTTTATCTTTACAAACAATGAGGAGGAGAGTGGGCTTACTCAAGGTTTCAAATGTGTTCATGGCACAGCCAAGTGCAGGACCCAGGTTTTTCGACTTGATCTCATTCATTACGTGCCTACGCGCACATCTCCACAAGCCTGTGTGGGGCTCCCTGTCAAGTGCAGCGTCCCTGTCTGGCCCTGCGAGTGGGTGCAGAGATGCACTCACAGGCCTCCCTGAACTCTGTGAACTCCCACCCCACACCTGGAACAAGACTGGGAAAATTCTGGACCCCGAAGCACTCCTAAGCCACCGGGCAGGGCAGCAACACCATCGCTGGGTGCCCCTGGCCAGCACTGAGCCTGCGGAAGCTTTGCGGAGAGGCCAATCCACTGATATGGGGGAGGAGGGATTCTTCAGGAGCCATGGCTGAAAGTCTCAATGCAGGGAGTGAATGGAGCATTGATGAGGAATTCCTGTCAGCATGGCTTCCTCTTTCTTGGGTTTCCCTTTCTGTTCCTATGGCGACAGGATGGACTTCCTCTGTGAAGCCCTGGCGGCCTGCAGGCTGTGCTTGTGTGGTGTCTGCATGGGGGCGTGGGAAGGTGTTCGGGTACAATGAGACTCCCCTGTTCATCCAGGCACCATGGATGGGAGTCGGGCAGGAATGTGCACCTGCATGCGGACAGGGCAGGGATTCCGTCGTGGCCGGGTAGATGGCACTGCAGAAAACCCCTGAGTATTTGAGTCAGATTGGGTTTCCCATCCCAACTGTGCTATTTCCAAGCAAGTTCCTTCATCTGTCTCTAAGCTGCTGTAGTCTCCTGCATCAAATCGGTGTGGGCACACCCACCTTCCAGATTGTGTGGTGTTGTAAGGTCACAAGAGGCATATTCTCTCCCTATAGACATCTCTCCCTCCACCACGATGCCCTGAGATGCTTCCCCCGTGGCTCACCTGTTGCTCTCCCTGCTAATTTGTGGGCCATTTGAGGTAGGAGTTGGGGTGGTTCACTGACTCTCCAAGACTTGGTGCAGAGGTGGCTCTCAGAGGTGACTGTTGGAAAAGTCTGTGCATACATGAACCAGAATTAAGTGAACGACAATTTATTTGGCATCGTTTAGTGGCCTGTGACGTTCTAATGCAGCTGCCAGGCCGGCATGATGGTGCCAATGGTGCCAGGTGGTCCTTCCCAGGCCCTTGGTAGCAGCCGCCCCGGGCGGGACCCTGGCTTTCACAGCTGGACTGGCTGCCCAGAGGACTTTTTCAGTAACAGTCAGGGCAAGGTCAGATCTGGCAGCAGCTGACCTTTTCACTTGACCCTTAAGCCTATCTGGACCGCCTGACTGGACGGCCTTCAGTGACTTCTCTGGATTTCACTGACCTTAGGCCACCGGACTTCCCATCCCTGCCAGGCCCACTTTGTCTGGCTGAACTCCCAGCTCAGCCCCACCCTGGCCCACCCTGTCCTGATCTCTTCCTGCCAAGGGCCCACAGTGCTGTTTAAAGATTGGAAAATACGGCATGATTTGCTTGTGGATACTATTTTTGATCTTGTGGATTGAGCACTAAACTTGGAGTTAAAAACCGGGGTTTGAATCCCAGCTCTGTCACTGGCTTGCGAGGTGGCCTTGGACAAGTCACATCTACTTTCTGTTACCTCAGTTTCTTCATCCGGTAAATGGGCAGGTCTAGTCACCTGTATCTACCTCATGAGCTATAGCAGTTAGCTGTGAATGGGATGGTTTTGTACCAGATCTAGTGCTGAATAAACTGCACCAGATTTGCCTCCATCATCTCAGGGTCTCCCTTTAAAAGTTTTTCTTTCTTTGGCCCTAAGTAAATCAGTGATTTTAGTACCAGAATGTATTTTGGAAAGGACAATGGCGTTAGAGTCCAGATGTAGATTCAGAGCTCAGCTTGTTCAGTTTCTCTGTGTATGGCCTAGGGCATTTAATTCCCTGTGCCTCAGCTTCCTTATATATTAGGTAGCATGCATATATCATACTTGTCTTTTACTTTGTTTTGAGAAATAAGGATGCAAGCTGTAGTAATCTCAGCATCTTATAGATGCTTCACACATAGTTTCTATTATTGTTACTATAATTATTATTAGGATATCATATGGTGTGTTGTAATCACTAGAGCTTAAGAATTAAAGGAAACTTTAAAATCTGGAATTCTGAAGCTAGACGAGCCCTTTTCAGGCCCTGTAGCTATTTGTTCTTATTTTACAGAAGGGAAACTGAGGCCAAAAGAACCAGGGGCCACACTGGTAGTTCAACTTAGTGGCGCAAGGGAGCTCTGGAGCCTGTGCTGAGAGTGGATGGGGGTGGGGGGAGAATCGGGGCTTTCAGTGCCGACCTGTGCTGTTCCACAGATGCTGGGAGAGGAACCACACCCTGCTGCTTTTGGCTTCCTCACCTGGCACCGGGATCCGGTGACACAAGGCCTGGCACTGGGCTGGGCCGTCATTGAGTACACAGGCTGCCCACGTGTAAGCCTTGTTCATTCAGCAGGTTGAGAGCAAAGCAGGCTGTTCTCTTCCTATGCCAGGCACAGTTTGCAAAAGGCCTGCAGGGATCCAGCTTCTCTGGCCAAACCAATCCTGCCCCAGGCTGGTGGCTGGCAGGGAGATGTCTCTTCCCCTGAGAAGTTACTGGAGATAACCATTGTCATTTACAGCGTTTTAGGCACAAAAATTGCCACCACCCTCCACCCCTTGTCTCTTTGGGAAATGTTTATTCTTCTCGGACTGTTTCTGGTACCACCACTTCCAGGAAGCATATCCTGATTACTGTAGTCAGAACTGAATAAAGTGAGGGGACTGGGCTGGGCACAGAGCTGGGGAAAAGCATTCCAGCCCGCGGGAGGAACAAGTGCAAAAGACCCAGGAAGGAACGAGAATTCACATCTACGGCCGTATGCTGGGGACTTGCATTTCGTGCTTCCTCACCTATCTTCTCCACTAGGCTTTTGGGTTGAGGGTAGGTGCAAAGGTTCATTCTTAATAATAAGATCGATCATTATTGTTGCCCCCAGTTTTTTGCAGATCTACCATGCTAGGCTCCTCGGTAGATACCGTACTTGCATTATTACAGTTAATTCTCACAAAAACTGAGAAGGTGGGTGTTACTTGTCATGTCTGTCTCCCCAGTGCCTAGTTGGGGAACTCAAGCAGAGTAAATGCTCGGTAAATGTCTTTTACATGCCTGCATGACTAGTGGGACATTTGAATTACTAGGTCCACAGATGCTTCTGTTGGTTTTTATGGAAATCAGCTCCTTTGCCTGGAAAATTCATAATGCCCAGACTGTGAGGGGACATGAGCCATTGCAAGACTGTTCATTCATTTCTGCTCCCATTTCTGACATGTGCTAGAGCCCCACCAGGGACTCCCCATACACATTCTTGAGACCGTGACTGGCAGCCCTCTTTCCCAGAGGAGGGAGCCAAGGCCCAAAGACCTTCAGCAGCCTCCCTGCAGTTACACAGCAAGTCCACAGTGACCAGAGCTGACACTCACCCCCGCCTGTCAGACCTCCCTCCATTCCTCTCGCGTGGTATGCATCCTGAAAGGTCCTCGTTGAAAGACGTAATCCAGACCAGTTGCCTTGACCCTTGCCTAGAAGTTTTGTAAACAAGTTCACAGTGTTCTGAGAAGGAAGCAAGGTCAAAAGAATGACCTACCAAGGCCAGCAAGCCTGCATTTCCTCCCCATCCTTTCTCCCGGCTTCTCTTTTCTTTTGCCCCTCTCCTGCCTGGGATGCAGATTCTCCCCTAGAGAAAGAGCAGGCTCCTGCCCCAAGGATTGGCTGTCCCCTGACACTGGGGAAGCACACGTACAGCGCACCTTGATGGAGCCTAGTGAACTGAGCAACCCTGGTGTGGTTTCCTCCGCCAGCTGCTTGAGTAGGTGGGGTCAGGCCTAAGGAAGGTGAGCACCCAGCCACTGCCTTGCCTTGCCAGCCGTAGGAGCCTACTCAGACTCTCTGAGCATTAGGCTCATTGTCCATGAGAAAAGGAATCATAGTACCTGCCTTGGAAATGGATCTCCTAAACTTTAAAGAGACTATATGTGTAAGTGCCTCGCATGCATTAGGTACATAGATGACATCTGCCGTTTGGTACTTTGTAATTTTCAAGGCCTGATCTTGAACCCAGGTCTCTGTGGCCTCAGGACACTGCTTTGCTCTCTGACCTGGGCTGGTTTTTGTGGTTGTCCTTCTGCAGCATGTGCCGAACCAAATGTGACAAGCAGACCTGGGCCCTCCCCACTAAAATTTCAGCCTCTGAAGGAAAGGAGCACGTAGTGTTGGATACATGAGCTTAGGGGCAGCTGGTATTTGGCAGCATGTGGGATGGTCTTTTCATTTTATTCTCAAATTCACGAAGTATCGGGCCTAGATTCTGGGTGCTCATCTTGAGGTAGGAAAGGTGAAAGGTGAACTCCAGCTTGGGGGAAGGCCAGGGTTAGTGGACAGAGTGGAGGCCTTAACCATTTTCTGAGGCTTCCAGAAAGAGGGGTTAGGATGCTTTGAATGTGGGGACACCTGGGGGCAGGAGGAGGTGAAGGAGAAAGTCAGAATCTAAAATTGTGACCTGGAAGGGGATAGGAATGGAAAAGGGCCTCAGATTTGGTCAGAGATGCGACAAAAGTGAGCTGACACAGTCGGGGAAGCACAATCCGGGTGGGGAGACACTGTGGCAAAGGCCTCAGAAGGACTGGGGTCAAGCAGGGCATGTGAGGAACAGCAAACAGGCTGGGAAGGAGGGAGAGGGAGATGGTCGAGAGTCCCTTGCACGAAAAGCTTGAGGTGGTGAGCTCTGCACCCTGACAAGACTGAGCGAGGAGAAATTCAAGTCCCTGTAGTCATATCTCCCTCCCACCTTTACTGACAGATGCCTGATATCCCCACCCCCTTATCACTATGGGAGATTCCTTGATGCTGTCATTTACAAAGCCCATCCTCTGTAGAGCTCTCATTGACTGCCACTAAACCCTGGCCAGGTAGGCAGAGCACCGGCCCTTGTTCCTTTGCCGGTGAGCGCACTGAAGCTCACCCCCTGGGGTCGACAGCAGGACAGTCCCTGTCATTGATGGATTGTGTATCTGCCCTGTGCCAGGTACTCGTCTAGGTACTCAAGGTACAGCAGCAAACTTAAGTGTTGTTCTCTGCGTACAAAATGACATCAACCACATGCCCATGGGCTCTTGGAGGTGGGAAGTGAGGTGATCATCCCAAAATGATCACCATAATGATACATAGTAAATCATGAAATGTAAATGTACGATATCTCCCATGCTGAAAAGAGGAGGAGGGCGTGCTCCGTAATGTAGGATGGACAGGATCAAGTTTAATAACCTTCATTCGAGCAGAGGCAAGACAAAAGTGAGCTGTCACACAGTTGGGGAAGCACAATTAGGGCAAGGGGACACTGTGGCAAAGGCCTCAGAAGGACTGGGGCCAAGCTGGGCATGTGAGGAACAGCAAACAGGCTGGGATGGAGAGAGAGGGAGTGTGGCCCAAGAGATGGTCGAGAGTCCCTGGGGGTCACCCTGCAGCCGTGACCAAGCCCTAGGCCTCCACCTGGATGAGCTGCATCACCACTGCAGGTTTGGGGCAGACGAACCTGGGCAAAACCTGGGCCCTTTGATACCAAGATCCATGCTTGTTCCACTGGACCGCCCCTTGTCCCACAGATGGGAGAGCTTGTTTTTCTTCTTACTATTATTTCCACAGTTGTAATTCTTTCCATAGCTATTCTGCTAAAACAGTGAAATTGGAGATGAGGAGTCTGGCTTGCGCTGGGTGAGAATGGGTAGAGGAAGCTGTGGAGAGAACTCACGGTGCCTGTGGTTCGAGATCCCCGCCTTCCTCCTCCTTTCCTCTGCCCCTTGGGTTTCACCTTTTCACCTCCGTCACATCTCGACAGCTAGTAAGTCTCGTGGGCCAGCTCCACCTGCCACCTTAGATTAGGAAACGCAAAAGGACAAAAGAGATTTGTTTTTAATCAGCTCCATTCCAGATTAGCACATGTAGATCCTTCCTGTTTTTGTAGAACATTAGCTATAGGCGCAGAAGACTATGTATTCTATAGATTATAATAGAATGTGAGTGAGCACACAAAAAAGGGAGAGATGGGTATTACAGAATCCCAGAATGATAAAACTGGCAGAGACTTTAAGACTGCCTTGTCCAGATGTTTGCATGACAGTGTAAATGTACTTAATGCCAATGAAGTACACTTAAAAATGGTTTAAGATGGTACATGTTATGTTGTGTCTATTTTACTACATAATTTTTTTTTTAAAGACTTCCTTGTCTAGTGCTCCTCTTTAGGTCTGAAAAACAGAGAAGTTGAGTGACTCAGCCATAGCCACACAGCAGGTGAGAGACAGAGCCTAGCCTGGAAACTGCCTTCCTAGCTCTTAGCCCAGTGCCTTTTCCCACGACCACAACTATTGTTTGTTCGTTGGTGGAAATTAATACGGAAAGTAGTCACTCCTTGAGCTTTGAACTCCTGTAATCCAAATATGAGGCATTAGAGTCAACCCAGGATTTCACTAAACCTTTTGCTGTAGAGAACTCCCAGCAGCAATCTTTTGGTTAATTTGAACCTTGCCCCGCTTCTATGGCTCTTAGTGGCGGTGGTGATCACGCTGAAAGGCTAAGACCTTCAGGCAGACGGAGGAAGAGAAACAGCAGGAGATGGACTTGAGTCACAAGCTCTGACTTATGACCCAATGTGGTTTTTCCAAGCTCTTTCTTATTCAATGCTTACTTGAGCTTTTTTTGCACTTCGGGGCAAACAGGGCAGATGCTTGCACGTGCGCTTGCATGTGTGCTTTTGAGATGAAGGAAATACGTGATGTGAGTGAGACAGCCCTTGTGGATGCTGTCTTAATCCTAACTCCAACTCCTCCCCATCCCTCCTCACCTTCTCTGCAAGCCTCCAGGGGTGTGATGATGGGATAGATTAACTGAGCTTTTGAGACCCAAGGACTACCTACAACTCTCTGAGGCAGTGCCCTAGCCAGGAGAGTCAGAGGAAGATTTCAATTTTGAGCACGGGAAGGTAGCAATTCCTAACTTTCCACTCAAAGAACAGTAGGGCAGGAAAACAGGAATTCTTAGGAGGCCCCTGAGCTAAGGAGAGGAGGCTGGTCTAGGAGCTTGGGGCGCTGGGTGGAGGAAGCTCTCAGTGACTTTCACCATAGCCTTGAACAAGTCACCGCGCATCCTGGCCCTCACAGTAGATTAGGTATAGTTAATGATAAGAATTCAACTCACTTCCAAAAGTATTTCCTGAGCACTTAATTTATGTCATACACAATGATGACATCAGATCTTACTGTGTAAGGATGCATGCTGGGTTCCAGGCAGTTTAATGCAGGATTTCTTACCTCTTTTCTTGAGCATACCCTGGAGAGTCCTACTTTCCTGTCAGCAACCATGATGGACCTTAAATGGGAGGGAAAGACTGGGGGTAGGATGCCTAGTTTGAAAAGGATCTTGGGCTCATGGTTCTGTTCACACACACCCTATGCACGCAGACACGTGGGAAATTGGAATCACAGATGTGCACAGACAGAAGATGTGGGTGACCTTCATCAGATGTTAGAACCTGGTCAAGGACAAGGCCTTGGGAGTATGAGGGGCAGGACAGAAGACAAAGGCGGCAGGAAATCTGGGGAAAGAAGATGGTTTTGTTTTTCTTTTTTGAGACAGAGTCTCACTCTGTCACCCAGGCTGGAATGCAGTAGTGCGATCTCAGCTCACTGTAACCTCCGCCTCCCGGGTTCAAACGATTCTCCTGCCTCGGCCTCCTGAGCATCTGGGATTACAGGTGTGCACCACCACGCTCTGCTAATTATCGTATTTTTAGTAGAGATGAGGTTTCACCATGTTGGCCAGGCTGGTCTTGAACTCACCCGCCTTGGCCTCCCAAAGTGTTGGGATTACAGGTTTGAGACACTGGGCCTGACCAGGGAAAGAAGATGGTCTTGATACGAGGGTGTCAGCCTCAGAAGGACCAGGTGATAGGAGTCCACTCCTGCTTGAACATTCCCTGCTTCCTGCCTGGTCCTAAAGAGAGGCACCTGGTATAGCAGAAAGAGCAGCAGCATCAACTTAGGAAGATGTGGGATCAAGTCTTCTCCATTTCCCAGCTAACAGGTTTGGGGAAGTTACCCGAACTCTCTGAGTCTCGATATTCTCATCTGTAAAATGGGATGTTAATATCCTACGTGTCTAATACAAAGGGCTGTAGTGAGGCCAAAATGCAAGTAAGGTGAAAGGTCTTTGTGGACTGTGGTCTGTCATGTTAGTTACACGTCTGCCAAAAGTTGTAGACAAAGCTGTGGGCTTCCTGGTTGGTTAGGTCTCGGTTTGAATTCTGTGGTGCCCTATCATTATGCAAATGTGACTTTGAGAAAGCTAGTTAATCTCTTGTTCCCTCATCGCAGGGGTGATGATGATGTGATTCATGGTTCGCTAAGGTGCTCAAGGTTTGAGCTCCCCAGTGGATTATCAGCTGCATGAAAAGACCTTGTCAGTCTTGTTCACCCATGTGGGTGTCCTCAGCCCTGGAATAGTAGCTGGCAGCTAGAAGGTGCTCAGTGAGTAATGTTTGGCTGGTCAGATGAATGCGTGAATGAATGAATGTGAATGAGGAGTCTTCAGAAACACTATAGTCGGTTATGTTATGATGCTGGTGGTAACGTGTCTCTGAGCACCCTCAGGAGCTTATGTTTTCCTCCTTTCTTGCAGGACTCGGGTCAAGCTGGAAAGCCTGGAAGACGCCTACATTCTGCGGGGAGATGATGATTCCCTCTCCGACAAGCATGGCTGCCCGGCTTACGTAAGCCCAGAGATCTTGAACACCAGTGGCAGCTACTCGGGCAAAGCAGCCGACGTGTGGAGCCTGGGGGTGATGCTGTACACCATGTTGGTGGGGCGGTACCCTTTCCATGACATTGAACCCAGCTCCCTCTTCAGCAAGATCCGGCGTGGCCAGTTCAACATTCCAGAGACTCTGTCGCCCAAGGCCAAGTGCCTCATCCGAAGCATTCTGCGTCGGGAGCCCTCAGAGCGGCTGACCTCGCAGGAAATTCTGGACCATCCTTGGTTTTCTACAGATTTTAGCGTCTCGAATTCAGCATATGGTGCTAAGGAAGTGTCTGACCAGCTGGTGCCGGACGTCAACATGGAAGAGAACTTGGACCCTTTCTTTAACTGAGCTCATGCCCCACGGAGACTTAGCAGGTTCCAGGAGTGAGCGAGGGCAGCGGAAAGGAGTTCTTCCGGGGGACACGAATTGCCTGGCTGAGTAGCAAGAAAGACACACTCTTAAGTTTCTTGGTTCAGAGCAGGAAAACCTTCAAGGAGCTGACTGACCACGTAGCATGGGGGCAAGAGGCGTGGGATGGGGATTGGGGTGAGATGGATGGGAGCCCGCTGGAGCTTGTCTTCCCTAACATAGCCTGGGAGACCACCCCTTGCCACTTGGGCCACTTCCGCCTACCCCACTTTTCATTTTGTTCCAAAATAGTTGCAGATCCTGACAGAATCAAAACTCTCTGCCTCAAACACACATCCTGGCATCGCACTGTTAGCATTTAACTTCTTGTTAGGATTCAGGGAAGGAACAGTTGGCCAAGAATTTTTTTTCTTTTAAACAAGCCAACCACCTAGCTGGTAATTAATGAGGTTCACTTAAAAAAAAAATTCGGTGCACACAGACTGACATGAAACCTGGGTGCTACAGTAAAAGAAAACAAAAGTCCAGTTTGTGTCTCTTAATCGCTCACTTCAACTCATTTCTTCTAAATAAACTATTTAATATCCTGGTCAGGAAATGACATGTTAATGCTTTGCTCCCTGAAGGGGGAAAAAATCTGTCCTTTAACAAGCTATTCTGTTTTGTGTCAATTGGTTCGTGGCAGGAAGCTATTAGAAGTCAAACGTCCAGATGCATTACTGCTATCTTAGTTTAAAGGGGGAAAGAAAAGGGAAGAAGAAAGGAAAAGAGAAATCCAACTCCTTTTTCATGTTTTGCTTTTGAACAATGAGGGTTTGTGTGACAGGCATTCCTCTTTGCTGAGATGATAGCAATGGCCTGAGATTTTAGCAAGCTCCTGGAGTCTGATGCTTTTGCAGTACTCTGATCGCAACTAAACATTTGTCTTTGTTTTATTAGAAACTAGTGAAACAAAGCAGGTTGTCCCACATGTATAAAATACAGGGCAGCTATTTAGTTTTCTTTACAGAGAATGATCCTTTTAAGGCTTGTAAGGCCCTCTGGTTTGGACAAAAACCCTCAGTAGAGACAAGCGGGAAGGATAATTAGCTGAAAGCTATGATGATATAAATAAAAACAGCTCTCTATCCCAATACGCACCTTTGTATTTTCAAGAACTCTTCTATTTATTAAGGAAAATGTCACATTGTGATGTATTAAGCCAGTACTTCAATTACGGGTTGACTTGGGATGACATATTACATGCTGTAGTTAACATTTATAATTCTTTTTCCTTGTTTGAGTATTTCTGTCTCTGAAATAACCTTTTACTTGGCTTTTCTAGATAGCTTTATTTGATTTCGAGTGGCAAAATGTTTTTTATTACGGCTTTTCTATTGCTGTATGATACAGAACTCTTTTGGCATAAATATTTGTGTTCCCAGTACCTCACTTGTTCGGATTTGACTGCCTGTATATGTTTTGTGAAATGGTCCTGTTTTTGGGTAGGTGACACGTGGACTCTAGTATGTAAATGTTACTTGAATCTGTGCTTCATAATAGTGTGTGGCATGTATGTGCAGACTCTTGGATGCTTTATGCCTGCGCAGCAGGAGCCCTGTCCTCACGTTCCCAGGAGGGCGGCTTCACCCTTCGTAACCAGGAGACAAGGCGGCCATGGATTTGCCCTTGATTCTATTTTGCTAATGGAAGATAGAAAGGAGAGAAGGTTTTTTTTTTTTTTAACATTCTGAAGATGGTGCTGTGTCAAGAAGGACCTTTTTTTTCCCCTCTCCCCTATTTTTTAAGTACCTTGGAGGAGGAGAGGTTGGTGACATGCATGGTGGGGATCTATGGCCTCTGGTGCTTTGTCCTGTATTTGGTTTAATGTTTTTGTCCTAATCTCTTCAATCAATAAAATTGTGCGTATTTAACTAAAATGCTGGAGTCTGGAAAATGATGATTTTTTTGCCACCTGTGCTTTGTGGTCACCACACACCGGGCAGAAGCTCACATCTTACAGGCATTTGCTCTTTCAGGGTGAGCCACTGCTACTACTTTTAAGACATGGAATCTCCCTTTCATCGTATTGGGGCATATGCTGTCCAATCTGGATGCAATAGCTCACACTGAATTAATCGTCACAACAACTGTAGGTGACCTAACTTACGTTCCTAATACAGATTAGGAAATAAACCCAGAAATGTGCATGCCTTGTCCAGGGTTAAACTTGTGAGTGCTAGGCCCAAGACTGGACCCCATGTCTGGTTAGCCACAAAGCTTGTTTACTCTTTCTACAATGTTAAGAGTCCAGATGTTCTCAGGGAGAGTGTAGTAATAGCTCTAGAGTAACCAGGATTACGTAGGGCACAAGTAATCCAGGCCTACACATGGTTTCCCCAGGAAAAGCCCTGTGCTGCAAACTTGAGTGGAACCCTCCTAGGAGACCACCCAACTCCCAGCAACAACATCTGCCCAGCAGCCCTTACTTGAGTCTGAGATCCGCAAATATCAAGGTTGCTGGGGCTCGATAGACAGTCGCATCCGTAGTGCACCTTACTTAACAGAAATAACTACGGCCCAGAGAAGCTCAATTCTCTCCTGAAATGTTTGCTAAGCACCTCTGTTATTTCAGTGTGTGCTGGGAAGAGACATGGAAACAGACAAATGCAATGAGTAGAATCAAGTGGTGGGGTACACACACGCAGGATTGATGGAAGCCCATCAGATGGACAACTCCTGTCTAGGTCCGTCAGAAGGTGTCCTGGAAGGGGTAGCACCTGAAGCAGAGTCCGGAACGAAAAGAATTTAGATAATAAGAGAGACAGCAGCAGCACTCTATGCAGGGAGGATGGTGTGAGAAGTATTTAGAGACTTATCCCAGTTAACACCATGAATGCCAAGCCCTGGATGGAGTTCATAAAAGATCTTGCAAAGACTGGAGTTTGTGGTTTACAAGAGGATGTGGCTGAAGCAGAGGCTTCCTGGCCATTTGGACCAGTCTTCTAAATTCACAAAGTGCTTATTATTCAGTGACATCCCTTCTGTGTCCTTAGCACCTGGCTCAGCAGCAGACACCTGACCCAGTGCCTGGCACATGGAGGTGTTCAGCAAATAACTGTTCATGGATATAATTTGTGCCAGGAGAGGGTGGCCTCTATATGCTCCAAAATTTCCTTCCAACCCCAGGTGTCTAAGATGCACATTATTATAACAGGAGCAGACTTTGTAAGTATTGACACCTATCATTGGCTTTTGCTAGGGCACATATAGGCTGATCCAATTTTTTTGTTCTTTTCCCTGCCTGTGATTAAGCAGACATGGGTCTGTTGCCTAATGAATGCCCGTTTGAATTGTGCACTGTCGACCATTCGCCTGTGTGGTTGCTGGGGGCCGGGGGTGGGTTGCTGGCATGCACACCCCAAGCCACTATATAATGAGCTTCCACCGCGGTGGAAACCCAGACCCAGCAAGCTCCTGCTCCCTTGCCCTCTGAAGACTTAGCCAGTAGAAACCTTTCATTTTCTAATCCCCTTGGTGATAAGACACTTTATCCTTTTTTCTACCAATCTGGACCTGGGGCAGGTCAAGGGGCCTGGGCCACAGGAATGAGGGCAGAGGTGTGGCGAGGTAGCAGGCCTGGGCTCTGAGTTTCTACGCTGCTGTGAACTACTTGCCTATTATGAGGACCAAGGCTGTTGGGAGGGTCGACTGAGCTAAAGTGTGTGAAGGGCTTAGCCCTGCCTAGGCTGGAATAGCGACTGTTACTATGATCAGCCACAGGGATTCCAGGGCAGAGTTCTTTTGACTGGGCAGTGGTACCGGAATGGAGGATCTATTAGGATCCGTCAAACACAGGTTACAGAGACCCTCCCCTGCTGCAACCGAAGCAGCTCCACTTTTACCAGTTTTTACATATTAGTTGTTATGTAGACTTTTAGGAAGGAAAATGAGAAGTTTCGCTTGTATATATGTGCTATGGTCTGAATGTTTGTGTCCCTCCAAAGTTCATATGCTGGAAACTAATACCAAATGTGATAGCATTAAAAGGCAGGGCCTTTTGGAAGTAAGTCATGAGGGTTCTGTCCTCATGAATAAGATTAGTGGCCTTATAAAGGAAGTTGAGGGGAACTGCCTTGTCCGTTCCACCGTGTGAGGACACAGCAAGAGGCACCATGTTGAAGCAGAGAGTAACCCTCAACAGACACTGAACCTGCTGGCACCTTGATCATGGACTTCCCAGCCTCCAGAACTGGGAGAAATACATTTCTATTATTTATAAATTACATAGTCTAAGGTACTTCATTGTACCTTACACTGAGCCTGAATGGACTGAGATAATATGTTTGAAAACCACTATCAAGTCCAAGTCTTACAATTTTTGATAAAGCAGCTAAGGTCTAGAGAGGAAAGAAAGGCCGAGAGTCACCCAGATGGTGGAGTGTGACCTGAAGGACCGAAGTGTGCAAGAGCTTTGTAAACGATGGCCCTGCACAAACTCTAGGGGTTCTTGTTATCCCGACTCTTTTCACTGTAATCCTAGGTCCCTTTCATTGTGGCCTTCTTCCCTGACCCAGCCCACCCTCTTTGGTGATTAGCTCAGTGACCAATATCTTGCAGATATTATCTTTCACAGGTATCAGATATTATCTGCAATAATTACGAATTATCAATCACACATCAAATGTCTTAAAAAGTGTGCCTATTCATCATCTGTGGCTCTTAGATGTATACAAGTTGGATAATTGTCCAGTGTCCCAACAGCAAACGAGGGCCAAAAAATTCAAATTTGGAGCCTGCATCCCTCACTGAGCCCATAAATGCCCCTTGTCAGGTAGGTGTCATTTCTGTGCACTTGAATCCCCATCCATATATATGACACCACTGTAGGAACCAAACTCTGAAACAAAGACCTTTCCTAAGAGATGAAGGGAAAGACAAAATAGGAACCAAGATTCATTTAACCCACAGATCAGTCTTTCAAGAAAGGTAGCAAGCTTCACAAATGAGTAAAGTGAGCCTGAGAGAGGTTAAACGAATCGAAGGAGGCCATACAGCTAATAAATGGTGAATCTTTTATTTAAACCCAGTTGTCACCATCCCCAAAGCTGTTCCACGCTGATACCTCTCGGCAAAGAGACACAAATACTAAAACCTGGGAGCTATTAACAGAACCCCTCCTCTCTTCTTCCCACCCATTCTGGGAATGTTTTCTGGAGCTCCCAGACCCAAGGGAATAGAGAGGAGATGAAAATATCATTGAAGCTGAATGAATTTTTCAACTTTCCTTGAACTTAATCACAATTCAACCAGATTTGGACAGAAGCCTTTGAACACCTAAATCTTCTTCCTTCTTCAAGGAGAAACTTCTCTTCACCCAGACTGTTATAGTTTTTAAAGGATAAGCATGATTTTAGTCCACTCGGGTGGTGTAACAAAATATCATAGACGAGGTGGCTTAAACAACAGGCGTTGGTTTCTCCCAGTTCTGGATCCACGAAGTCTAAGATCAGAATGAGGGCAGATTTGGTGTTTTTTGAGGACCAGCTTCCTGGTGGATAGACAGCCGTTTTCCCGCTGTGTCCTCACATGGAAGAGAGAGAGGGGGGAAGCAATCTCTCTCCTGTATCTTCCTGAGAGAGCACTAATCCCATTCATGAGGGCTACACTTTCTTGACCAATTACCCCCCAAGGCCCCACTTCCAAATCCCATCACCTTGGGGATTAGGGTTTCAACATACGAATTTTGAGGGGACACACAGATTCATTCTATAGCAAGCATCTGATGTAAGGAAAAGAGAACAGGATTCGGAATTGGAAGACCTTAGCTCCATTTCCTGTTCTGCCCATTTATTTACTATGAGATCCCCCAGGCAAGTCACTTCACCTGTTGAACCTCTGTTTTCTCATATGTGAAATAGAAACAAAGGGTCGTGAAGATAACTAACTTCTTCTAAATTGCCACACTGCATAAACTGTAAAGTGGTCTACAAATGCAATTATAAGGACAGATGGCCTCAGCAATATGGCAGCTTTTAGGTATTAAAATTAAAAATCTAAGTTGGATTTAAGGGTGAAGGTAAACTAGGACTTGACTGGAGGTGAGTCAACAGCAGTGGGAGATGGCCCCTGGGGTGTCCCATCCAGCGAGCATAGGTATCCCCATAGCCCCTAATCTGCAAACCCAGGCTCTGAAGACCCACATGAGATTGATAGGTAGAGGCTGAGGAAGGGCCTCACAGAAAGGAGCCTGACCCATCATGCTAAGCCTCCCAAACTGTACTGTCTATTATATTAACCTCAGAGACCTCTAGCCCAGACTGTGCCTGCAAGAACCTCCAAGAAATTGTCCCAGCCCTTCATTCATTCTTGTATTCTAGGCACTCCTATCTGCATGCAGACAGACAAAAAGTGGAGTACCTTTAATTTTTATTCTCTATTTTTTAATTAACTCATAATATTTGCTGGTATTATGGGTTGAATTGTTTCCACCCAAAATATATGCTCAAGTCTTAACCCTGAGAGAGCACTAATCCCATTCATGAGGGCTACACTTTCTTGACCAATTACCCCCCAAGGCCCCACTTCCAAATCCCATCACCTTGGGGATTAGGGTTTCAACATATGAATTTTGAGGGGACACACAGATTCATTCTATAGCAAGCATCTGATGTAAGGAAAAGAGAACAGGATTCGGAATTGGAAGACCTTAGCTCCATTTCCTGTTCTGCCCATTTATTTACTATGAGATCCTGACTATAAATGTGACCTTATTTGAAAATGGGCTCTTTGCAGATATGATCAAGTTAAGATGAGGTCACAATTAGAGTGAGCTTTAATCCAATATGACTTGTGTCCTTATAAGAAGAGGCAAAGAAATAGAGATACATCTAGAGAGGAAACAGCCATGTGAAGATGGAAACAGGGATTGGAGTGATGCTGCCATAAGCCAAGGAAAGCCTGGGACTACCAGAAGCTTGAAGATGCAAGGAAGGATCCTCCCCTAGAGGCTTTGGATGGAGCACAGTCCTGTCAATACCTTGGTTTCGAACTTCCAGCCTCCAATACTGTGAGTGGACAAATTTCTGTTGTTTTAGCTGCTCCGTGTGTGATACACTAGGAACGAACACACTGGGGATTCTCCTGGAATTCCAGAATATTGCTGAACTATAGGGCTACAAAGAAAAATAAAACATGATTCCTCCTATAAAAACTTGCATTTCATACTAGTTACAGTATTCACAAGTAGCATAGCCTTGACTGGTCTAGTGCTCCTGTGGAATAATGGAGAGTACTCTAAATATCACCCTGCTACCATTGCTTGGGGATCAGCCTAGAAGACACAGGCCATGAGGAAAGTAAACATCTTCATTTTTCAGGCAGATAGTATTTACAGAAAGTGATATTGACAGGTAAAACAGGAGCTGCTATGTGTCTGTGCAGCTAGGGGTGCATACCAACGTCCCAGGTAAGTTTCACATCTAGAAGTGCAGTGAGCAGAAGTTAGCCCATTTATAAGAATTCTTTTCCTCAAGACCTCACCCCTTGTTTCTGGCACAAAACTCTCCTGTGCTCTCATATCTTTTCCCAAGACCATGTGGGGCTCTACCTTTAATTACTATTTACTAAATATTCATGAAGTTTTTCTCATTATGATATTTTCATACAGTAGAGGTCCCATTTTATAGGCAGGTGTGTGTGCATACTTGAACTTCAATTATCACATTCTCTGCTGCATTCGTTCAATCTTCAACTGATTTCTTGGTATACCCCACTTGTGTAGTTTAAAAGTCTGACTCACTCCACAGTTCTGCTAGCTATTCCTCCCTTTTGTATTTGCCTCTTCTTAATGTCTTTCAGAAACATTTTTTGAGGTACCATTGACACATGGTAAAGTGTACATACTTAAAAGTATACAACTTGGTAAATCTGGCATATGTCTAGACTCACGAGACTATTAAATTTTGTATTTGACGTGGTATTCTGCAGTTTTGTTAAACTTACTTGTGTTAATTGCTTTGGGGGAGTTTCATATGGTTTCTTACACAGATGAGCATGTTGTCTGCAAATGGATAGTTTTATTTCTTTCCAATCTTGATGCTTTTAATTAATTATTATTATTATTATTATTTTGCCTGTTGCACTGGCTCAAGCTGTCAGAACAATGTTGAATAGACATAACAAGAGCAGAGACCATTTATATATTTCCTAAATTTCAGCCTACTAGTTCTACCAATTATCGAGAAGTGAAGTATTAAAATCCCTGACTATAGTTGTTGGTTTTGCTATTTCTCTTCGCAATTCTATCGGTATTTGCTTTATGTGTTTTGTAGCACTGTTATTAGGTGCCAAAATGTTTTGTACTGTTCCATTATTTTAATGGATTGACCACTTTGTAATTATGAAATCACCTCACTGAATTTTGATAGCAGTCTTTGCTCTGAAATTTATATTGTTTTATATCAGCATAGCCACTCTAGCTTTCTTTTGGTTAGTGTCATCGTGATATATCTTGTTTTCCATTCATTTACTTTTAACCTATTTATATATTCATATTTATGGTAGTTTTCTTATAAGCAGTTTATAGTTTTCTCTTGCATTTTTATCCAATCTGACAATCTCTGCCTTTTGGTAACATTTAATGCAATTATTGGTATGATTGGGCTTGAATCAACCAATTTGCTATTTGTCTGCTATTTGTGCCATTTGTTCTTTTTTTTCCCCTTTTCTCTCTCTTATTACATGTTTTAAAAAGTTAATTGAGCATATAATTCCATTGTCTCTCCTTTGTTGGTTTATTAGCTATAGCTGTGTTTTGTTATTTCAGTGATTGCTGTCAGATTTTCAGTATACATCCTTAACTTATAGCAGTTTACATTCAAGTGATATTATGCCACTTTACATATTGTATAAGAACCTTATAACAGTAAGAAGTAAACTTCTAATGTTTCTTTCCATATCTTGGGCTCTTTTTGTTATGCATTTTATGCCTTCAGGTTATAAAACCCAGAATACATTGTTATTGTTTTTACCTAAAACCAATGATTATTTTTAGTGTATTTAAAATAATACAAACAAACATCTTTACATTTACCCGTGCCATTACCAGTTTTTATTTCTTTGTGTACCTAAAAAGGCCTGGTAGACATTGTGCTTCCTTTTGAAGTAGGAGATGAAAGATGCAGCCATTTACATTTTATTCTGAAAATAACGTCCCTGACCATTGGATCTTTAAAACTTTGCTTAAGTGGCAGGCCCTGAATTGTCTTAAGGTTTATCTCCCACCCTCTGAATGACAGTCATCTTAATAAGGCTAGCCAACACTTGCCCATCCATCTTGATCAGCATAATGTTATCAATGTAATGGAATAATGTGATGATCTGTGAGATGTTCAGATGGTTATATCTTTTCAGACTACATTGTGAAAGAAAGCAGTAGACTTAACCCAGTCCTGGGAAAATTGGTGACTAAGTATTGTTGTCCATTCCATGTCAGTGCAAACCGTTTTTGATCTTCTTTTGTGAGTTTGATAGAAAATAATGCAGTTATGAAATCAGTGGCCTCATATCCTGTGCCTGAGGCCATTTAATCCGCTCTAGCAATGACATTACATTTGGCAAAACATTTTCGATTGAGGCTAATGATTGGTTAAGCTTGCGGTCATCCACAGGCATTGCCCAGGATCTATCTGGTTTCTGCAGGAAGCCAATTACTCTATCAAATGGAAATATAACAGAGACCATCACTCCTTCATTCTTTAGACACTTGGGGGTAGCATTGGTTACCATCATCTGCCTGAAAATGCAATGTTATTTTTTATTTGCTTTCTTGACTCAGGGAGGAGGGATGGGTAACCAATTTCAGCGCCCTTTATTTGGCCATCTCTACTGTGCTGGCCACAGGCCAAGGAGCCAGTGTGGGGATTATTATTACAACTGTTTAATATGTCAAATCCAATTATACACTTTGGTAATGGAGAAATGACCATCGAATATGCCTGCAGAGCTGGTGGCTCCAATTTGAGCTGGGCATTGGCAAGAACTCATGATTCTTTGGCTCCAATGTCTCCACTTTAATAAGGAGCCATGATCGCACTTTGGGTTTCTGAGTATCAGTGTTAATCCTGCCCTGTGTTCAGAGGTCCTTGAAATGTTTCAATATTGCTGTTTCCTCAGTGATAGTCACCCAGATGAATGGCTTTAGTTCCATTTGGAAAGAGACTTAAGAATCATTACAGTATATACTTCTTGTGGTGTTCAGGGCCCTTTCTCCTGAGGATCCAGCTGCCTTTAATGGTAGTGGGTCTGGGTCTAAAACTTTACTCAAATATGGAAGCTGGGCAAAATTTTGTGACATTCTATTGAAGTCATTTTATTGCCCTCAGTCTCTCCTGCTCGTCATTCTTACTTTCTTTTTAATGTCTTACAGACATCATGGTAACTGTGGCCTGTTAGGTTTTGGCAACTCGTTGTTAACAACTTACCTCTACTGATTCAGGCGCCATCCTCCCTATCACTGTCTGAAATTTAGCCCCATAGCAGCCTCTTTTCCACCATTAGCTGAGACCTCTAAAAAAGTGCTACCAAGGATCTTCTTAGTGACACCTCTCATCAGCACATTTCAGTACCAAATAGCCCTATTACCAGTACACTCTTGATAATCTCGATGGACCTTTGAGCCACCATAAATCATAATCCTCTGGTGAATTTTCTGGCCTCACATAATACATCTACTCCAGCAGCCTCTCTTCCCTGAGGCTTTAGCCCCTTTTCTACTGTGCCGTAATAATTCAGGCATTTTAACGTGGCTCATTCTTGGCCATTACCTTCTCCAGGTTTCCAGGAACCTCCCTCTCAGCATGTTTTCACCATCCCCTAGGATCCTTAATGAGTGTGTTTTAGCTTTCTACTGCTGCTATACTGAATGATGACAAACTTAGGTAGATTAGAAGTCAAACACAGGTCTCACTGGGTTAAAATCAGGGTGTTGGAAGGGCTGTCTTTTTTTCTGTAGGCTCTGCAGGAGAATCCAAAATCAAGTTGTTGGTAGGGCTGTCTTTTTTTTCTTACGCTCTACAGGAGAATCCATTTCCTTTTCTTTTCCAGCTTTTAGAGGTCAACTGCATTCATTTGCTCCCCTTCTCCAGCAACACAGCATCTCTGATCCTGCTTTCATAATCACATCTCTTTCCCTGACCCTTCTTTTGCCTCTCTCTTCAACTTTTAAGGACCTTTGTGATTAGATTGGGCCCACTTGGATAATCCAGGCCAATCTCCCTATTTTAAGGTCAGCTGATTAGCAACATTAATTCCATCTGCAACTTTATTTTTTATATATAACCAAACATATTTACAAATTCTGGGGATTAGTACTTAGACATCTTTGAGGAGTTATTGTTTTTTCATTCACAGGTAGCAAATTCTATGTTCAAAGAAAGTGTCACCAAATCAGTGCACTCTTCCTTACCAACTTTTATGTCCTAACCACCTTGATCCAAGGTTCTTTAAAATCCAGAAACACACATATTTGCTGGTCTTCACTAACATATGGTAGCTAATTATTGTAGCCAGTTTTGGATTGTACAGGCAATCTTTGGCTTACATGTTTCAACTTACAATTTTCCAACTTTATGATGGTGCATTCAGTGGAAATCATACTTTGAGTACCTATACAACCATTCTGTTTTTCACTTTCAGTATAGAATTTAATAAATTTAATAAATTACACAAGATATTCAATACTTCATTATAAAATAGGCTTTGTGTTAGATGATTCTGCCCAACTGCACACCAATGTAAGTGTTCCAAGCACAGTTAAGGTAGGCTAGGTTAGCCTATGATGTTGGGGAGGTTAGGTGTGTTAGATACATTTTTGACTTATGATATTTTCAACTTACAATGGGTAGTTAAGTAAGGATATCCCCCACCGTAATTCAAGAAAAAAAGTAGTCCCTTTCGTCCCTGATCAGATGCTGTAAGGAGCCATGATGGCACTCTGGGTTTCTTGGCATCAGTGTCAGTCCTACCTTGTGTCCAAAGGTCCTTGAAAAGTGTAGCTATTCCTGTTTCCCTAGTGTACAACTGCCCACGTAAATGACTGTAGTTCCCTTGGTGGAATGAGTGAGAAATCATTAAAGAATATATGTATATAGATTATATACCTGGGTTATGTGGCTATTAACATAAACTATTGGCCTGACATCCAAAAGAGGAGGTTTTGAAAGAAGCCATGTTGTCTTGCAAGGGAAATGCCTTTGCAAATGTCTATTAGGTTGGTACAAAAGTAATTACAGTTTTTGCCATTAAAAGTACACATGAGGAATGCTAGCTCTTGTGTGCATGGGAAGGGAAGAGGCACTTTTTTGGGCTTTGAGTCTCCAGGATTCCCGGGAGCTAAAATCTTCAGAGAAAATTCACCAAGATGTATCAGGAATGCAGGTTTTCCCAAGTAGGGCCATGAGTTTGGCAAAATAGACCTGCGTTGGCTGAGTGTTCAGTTGTCTTTGAAGCTCTGCACTAAGGATTAAATCCTGAGTTTGAACTCCAGCATTTTGTGTTTTCCCACCATAAAAAACTGAATGCTCATGTCACTCCAAAATGCATATGTTGAAATCTTAACCCCTAAGGTGATGGTATTAGGAGGTGAGGCCTTTGGGTTATGATTAGGTCATGGGGGCAGAGCTCTCATGCCCTTATAAGAAGAGACCAGAGAGCTAGTTTGCCCTCTCTTCTTCAGGTGAGGATACCCTTAGATATCTGTCTGCAAACAAGAAGAGAGGCCTCACCAGAACCTGACCATGCTGGCACTCCAATTTCAGAAAACTTCTGTTGTTTATAAGCCATCCAGTTAAAGGTATTTTTATTATAGCACCCTGAGTGGACTAAGATACCCACTAAACCATTTGAAGAACTTTTCTGTGAGCTACCCAAGAGATGTTCTTAACTTCACACTTTGTTAATGGTCCTCGATTTTTCATTACCCTTTGGTACTGCAATGCAATCCCATTGTCCTTCTATGCATTGTTTTTTCCCATACTTTTAAAATGCTTGAATCAACGTGTTGGCCATATCTCTTCACCAGAACATCTTTCTAAAGTTACCATTAGTGGAAATGTTAGCAATTGAGCCACCCCTTTATGCTAGGGATTATCTGTGCCCCACATACTACCTGGTGTGGGGTCTTCACTGCCCACAGACTGGCAAGTGTTCCAGTCTCCAAAACCCATCTAACCACTTGCTTTCTTGGATCATCCCACTTTGCTGCCACTGTGTCAGTTGGGTCTTCTCCAAGTAGAAGCTAAGTTGCAATCGTGTGTGCAGGTACTCTACTGGGGAGAAATACCTGTGAATGAAAGCCAGAGGAAGCAAGGCTGGGCAGGAGTCATCAGACATTGATGCAGAGCTGAAAAAGTCTTTATCATCCCAGAAGGGAGCTCCACAGCAAATATTGCCCATTAGAGACAGGGTTTTTGTAACATCATCCCTCGCTTGGTCATTGGTGGGGCCGCTCTGAGAACAGCACAACTTTAGCTCCAGTGCTGAGATGGACCTGAAAGAGTTAACTGCTAGAGGTTGCTAACTAGTTACACTCAACCTATCCTTTCTTGAAGTGGAACCTGAGCTTCACCTTCGTGGGTCTGCTGCGTTGATCCACACTATTTGTGGAATATGTCAATGCAGATAATTCTTAGGAAAATGTAATTTCCACCCTGAAGATTTCGTTTCCCAATTTAAATATGTCCCGCTCGTTTCTGTGTGAGGCTGGTGTGAGGGATGGCTCAGGTTCTGAAGGGGCTTAAAAGCTAGTTAAAGCGACGCAAGTTTAAGGCATTATGTTTTCAGAGCCAATAGGATTCCAAGGTCGTGATCATTTCTCATTAAAAAATAATCATAAAAAATTAAGACTTCAAAGGGAAGTTGAAGTTCCTTCCTGGAACAACCCGGCCCATAGGAAGGAGAAACAATGGAGTTAGATCCTTAGGCTAGCTTTTCCTCTTCTGGGAAGGAAGTGTGAGATCTATGGGCCTGGCAGTAATCTGAGACTCCAGGTCCTCCCTCCGCCCTGGCTGCAGAGGCAGAGGCTAGAAAGGTAGCCTATGGAGAATCTCCTGGGGCTGACCCTGGAAGGGGTGCGGAGGGAGAATACCCATCTATGCATGACAATTGCTGAAGTGTATCCTTTTTTGCTAGCACCGCTCCTATCCCCACAGTGCCCTGAAAAGCAGAGACAGGGAGATGAGGAGATTTACCCTGTGAGGCCAGCACGCCTGAGATGTTCTCTGTTTCTGATCCTTCCGCAGAAGTCACAGAGCCAGGGTCAGGGGCCAGGTTTTTTAACTTCAAGTATATTGCTCATCTAACAAAACCAGACTAAGGACATAACAATTTAAAAATATAATATCCTTAATAACTATAAAAACTACCACTGATCTTAAGTCTTCTATGTGTGTTACCATGCAGGTGCTGTCTTTAAATAGTCCCTATCTGGCAAAGGAACTTAAGAGTTATCTAGTTTGGACCCCCATTTATAAGGATGAGAACACTGAGGGCCGAGGAAGGGAAGAGACATAGTGGCTTGTTGTCACATCATTCTTCTAGACAGTTGTGCAGCTGCCTCCAGAAAATCATGCTTGCCTTCATCTCTGTATTCCCAGAAGTCCACATGGGTCCTGGCACTGCAGCGCTTATCAAAAATATGTCAAATGCATGAAAAGAAACCAGAGATATCCTTAGTGTCAAACCAGAGAAATGAGTCTAATAGTTACTCGGAGCACGGGAGTCTGATAAGAATCTCATGGCCAAGCTAGTTATGCCAAGGGCAGGAAGGCAGCAATGGAGGAGGAAAGCAATAAGCAACTGGTGAGTTGGAGACTGCACACAGCTTTCTTCATTATCTAGGAGACTTTGTCATTTTTAATATATTGGATTCTGCTGGCAGCTGGGATGGTATACAAAGCTGTAAATACTATAAAGTACAGTCATGATCTGATTGAATGTCTAAGCTCTTTATACCAGTTAAAAGACTGAAATCTAGAATATCTGAGCTTCCTAAACAAGCACCTGTAACATTTGTTTCTGAGCTTTCACATAGGATCTGGTCAATGGCTGGCCATCTACAAATATATGTAGAAAGAGTGAATATTACGTTTAACACATTGCTGCACCTTCACAAAGCGGTTGTGGCTTGATATCTTTTCGCCAGGAACAATTTTCAGGAGAATAGTTCAGAAGTTGTCTCAATGTGAGTAAGAAGGGTATTTTGTATGGTTTTTACATTGTTAACCAGGGTCAGATTGAAATTTCTAGAGACACTTAGAGGACTGGTTCAGGGAGGTTCAGCCCAGTGGCTATATGCAACTGCTCCTGGTAGCCAAGCCTCCACTGGACTGTTCTCCTTTAAATAAGTTTAACAGTCTCTCAACTCCACCCATCTAGCTGGATTTTCAGATAGTTCCCCAGAGAGTTTATCTTTAGCTTATAGTCATTACAAGGAGAATTTTGTCAAGCTTTATTTTCTGTAATTTGCGTTTCTTAGGTTGCATATCTCTCCTTTTCCAAATACAAACATGCAATGTTTTTTAAAATACTTTTTTAAGCCATACACATATCATCCATCTCCAAAGAGATTCTGACTTTACTCCATGGGAAATGCTTCTGTGCGTCGTAACCCACCAGAAGGCCAGACCAGACCAGTGGACTCAATAACCCATATCACTGAGTCCTACAGTGGTGGTCCTTGGCAATTAAAAGGCAGTGTGTTGTAGAAAGATCAAGGATTTTAGAAAGAGAAAAGCCGTGTCTCATATTTCAATACTGCAACTCTCTCAATATGTGAATTTGGCTGTCACTTAGACTCTCCGAACCCAACTGTCACTTATAAAATTGAAATACTGGTAAGTTTCTCCCTGGTTTTAAAAATAATCTGTTGACAGGATTAGCTTGGTAGGCGTGGTGGACCAGAACTACAGAGATCAAGGTGTGGGGAAAGGGCCAGGCTGACACATGGCCCTGCCTTGTTCTTTAGTTTGAGCTGTTTAGTTGCAGATTGTCCCAAGAGGCAGTCTCAAAGTCTTCAACATTCCTATTGGCTTGCAAATACCTTTCCCGGGGAGAAGGGCCTGGAAAATTGTATCTTTATTATTGGACACAGCTTCGCAGTTCTCATCCATGAAGGCTATTGACTCAGTTTCCCTGTGGCCCATTTGCTAACAATAGCTTAACTCCCATGGTGTAGGTGCATAAATAATTCACTTCCATGTCCAGTTAGTTCTGGGGTTTAGCAAAATTGTCATTGTATTTATCATGATACCTAAGTCACTCCACGGAGATCTTATACATATTTATAAATATATGTGTTACTCTACTCTTTTCTTGATTAAATAATTATATATAACTTTAGGAATAGAAATCAAAAGATCAAAAGGATAAAGGGGGAAAAAGTAAATAGCTTAAAAATCCAAGGTGATAATCTTTAGGACTGAAGATAAATTTAGTTCTTTCTCTTCTCTATCTTCGTTTTAAACTTCATCTCCCTCTTTCCTTTCCCTCCCTCCCTTCCTTCCTTTGTGTATTTATTCAGTCAGACAATCAATCAGCAAATATTCCTGAGAAACTTTTCTGCATCACACATTGCACAGGAAATACAGGCAAAAGAAATAGAATATCCAGAAAATTCTTGAGCTCAGGCTATAATGGAGAAGCTGACAAATTACATGACCACTGTGCTCCGTGAGAATTTCTGTTCCGTAGGTACACCTGAGGAGTATGGGAAGACTTGATCCAGCCTGCACGGAGGTAAAGAAGGACTCACTGGAAAAGATCATGGCCAAATTGAGTCCTGGAGAATGAGTAAGCGTCCATGAAGCAAAAATGAGTATTTTTAGGTAGAGGTATCAAAAGCCTATAGGTATGAGACTATGGTATGTTCCAGGCAGCTGCTATCCAAATCCAAAATCAATAGGCTGTAAAATGCACCATGTTTGAGTCAATAAAAGTTATTCAATAGTCAAAGAAAACACACTTTCTTGTTTTGAAACTCTGAACAATTCTTTTTCAGGAATTATAAAGAGCATACAGTGATATCATAAGCAAAGTTCTTAGAATAAATTTTGTTATAGACATAGATATAGATGTTGCCTAATTACATCTTATAGTCTTTTAGGGGGCCTAAAAAGCATGTTCTTAGCATTAAATGGGTGGTACAACATGCCAGAGAGTATAAATTCTTAAGGAAGGGAGATAGTTTCATGGGGACTGGGGCTTTCTAGGAAGACTCTTTGCAAAGATACCTCTATCCTTGAGTATTGATTAATTTCCCAAAATTAAAATATGTACCAAAAGGGGTGATAAATGACCCTTTGCTTCTGGGTTTGCTGACAGCTGGGCCTGAGCCTTGAATTTTGAGGTGTTCATATTGTAGAGCACCCCAAAAGGCTAGCCCCAACTGGGCAGAATCAATGCAGGCGCATTGACAGTGGATTCCATCTGATGTTATCAGCTCAGGGAGTTAAACAGGACTTGGTCCACTTGGGCCATGTTCTCCCTGGATCCCAGGTCTAATGAAGTGGCTGCTTTCACCAAGATTCATGCTTTACACTGTCAGTATTATACCACCTGGAGAAAATTGTTTCTTCCTTTTAAAAAATAATTTCCAGAAGCTTATTTCTTTATACATACTAAGGAAAACATGGCTTCACATGTCTACAGACATGATAGGGGATGCAATTCATATGTTTATATCCTAACTTCCTAAGTGATGGTATAGGAGGTGAGGCCTTTGGGAGGTGATTAGGTCATAGGGGGGCAGGCAGAACCCTCATTAATGGGATTAATGCCATTATGAAAGAAACCCCATTGCAACCCGCGACCCCTTGAGCAATGTGAGATGACAGTGAGAAGACGGCTGTCTACGAGGAATGGGCCTTCACTGGACACGGAATCTGCTGATGCCTTGATCTTGGATTTTCCAGCCTCCAGAACCATGAGAAATCAATTTCTGTTGTTTTATATGCTACCTAGTCTATGGTATTTTGTGATAGAAGCCTGAATGGCCTAAGACAGGGGTTGAAAGCATAGGAATAGGGTAAAACGTTCTTGGTCTGAATTTTGGTTTCGCCTCTTTGAAGCTGAATAATGTTAGGCAAGTTATTGAACTTTTCTGTGTTTCAGTTTCTTCATTTGTAACTTGGGGATGATATGTGTGTGTCTAATGTAATGTTTTCCTAGTATAGTGTACACAAGAGATGCAATAATGACATTATTATTATTAATTGATGGCCATTTTAGTTTATCTTAATTTGCTTCCTGGGAACCTCTGGGACAGACATTTCCTTAGAGGAGAGAAAAAGGAGTAATTACAAACTGGCTGCCAGTGGACCCATAAGCTCCCTGGGAGTCCATTGTAAGGGAATCCTTGTGTTCCATGTACCTAATGGGCCTGATAGGCAGAAACAACAAAATGCAGAAGGTATGCTCAACCGGTGGAGCCAGGGCCAGGGCTGGAAGTGACCTCAGGTGTCCCCATGCATGGCAGTTAAATCGCTCAGGAGAGATCCTATGGAAACTAGGATGGGATGCCAGGAGGTGTTGCAATATTATTTTAGAGGATTCATCTGCTTAGTATTATGCTTCCCCTCATTTAACCCTCAGAGGTTTTGGATTCTGTCTGGTGTGAAAATTTTTTTCTGTTTAGAAAGAGTTCCGCTCATTACTTTAGCAGACGGCACATGGGGAGAACTTGTTTATCCTGCTAAGTGAGTCATCAATATCCTGCTCTATACTAAGCCATGGAATGGCAGACTTGGAAGGGACCTCAGGGCTCATCCAGCTCAGCTCCCTCATGTTACCACTGCAGAAATGTGTGCCCTGTGAAGAGAAGGACTTGCATAAAATGACACCATGATGGAGCTGACCCTAAAATACAGGTCTCCTGATTCCACCTCATGTGTATTCTAGTAAATGCAACAGACACCTACTGAATTTTGGAGGGATGAAGGGCAAAGGGAACAGTGCTAGACATCATACACATTGTTTTCCAAATTAACCTTTCAGCAGCTCTTGAAGCAATTCATATTTAAGAAGGGAAACACGCCACTTTGTTAAGAATATGTAAATTAAAAAATAGCACCATCATTCCCTCTACATACAAAGTATTTGTGTATTTACACCCAGCCACTGTGCTAGGTGCAAGAATATGGTAGAGAATAAAACAGGTACCAACTATGGTTTTGCCCTCATTGAGTTTATAATCCGGTGAGCTCTAGAATCTATACTACTATACTGGTGGTTTTAAAATTGGTTACATGAAGTACTAGAGTCCCACAGAGATGCCTCAAGGTCTACTTTGAGGCCATTGAAGTCAGAATTCTTTTTGGTTAATCCACTAAATGAGTTCCTGCTTCTTTCCTTGTATTACTCAGAAAATCTTCAGCTGTAAGTGCAAAAAGTTAAATTCTCTTGACAACAACAATAGAAACAATATAATATATTGGAAATCTTCTATCAAATAAGTCAGGATCCAATAACTTGAATGAGGACATCAGGATTTTCTCTTTCTCCCTTTCTCTCTGCCTTGCCATTCTGCTTATCTCTGCTTGGCTTCACTAGTCACAATCTACCTCCAAATAGCAGATAATATGACTGTTGGCAGCCCCAGATTTACAACCTTCCAGCAGAAAGAAACATTCCCTCTTCCTATATCTATATACCACTCTCAGGAAAGAATCTTGTAGGTTCTGCTTGAGTTGCTTGCTTGTCTCTGGACAAGTCACTGGAGGCAAGCGTATAGGGATACCCTTACTAGTAGCTAGTGCTCAGGTGTCAACACCTGTGGAGGGGGTACAGGGCACTATTATTGACAGTCCCACCAGGATAAAAAAGAATGGCAACAGAAAGACAGGATGAGAATGTACAGGCCGGTGGGAGGACCAAAGGTCGATTACACATTTTCTTTCTCTTTAAGTTGATATAGATCTCTATGACCTTATTCTACTTATTGTTTTTTTTTCCAAAATTAATTAATAGCAAAGATGATTCCTGGCAGCTCAAAATAACACACAGAAAAAATGAAATTCAAATCCCTGACCTCAGGTAAAAGGCAAAAAAGGAGTGATCATTGTATGATACTAGATATCCTAGCTGGGAAAAGACATGAACATTGAGGACACAATTTCAGCCCTGAGTTTCAACACTTTAGGCAAAAATAGAAGAGTGGGTACAAGATTCTCATTGTCTTTGTTACACACTTTGCTTATACAACACACTTTTTGCTAATACTGAAATCTTGTTTAGTTTGCCATAGCCACTTTTGTCTATGAGGCATTCATGTATTATTTTTTTTTTCTGAATCAGCAGATGGTCCTTCCCTGCCACCCTTGGTGGCCTTTTTATGTCTTTTGTGAGTCTTTTTTGAAAAATGCACCCATCCATCATCTTTTAAAAATGTTATTCAAATGAGAGAGCCATGCTATTAAGAGCTGAGAGTGTTGAGGAAAAAATGACTGTGCTGCAAATTAAATAATCAACTTAGATGTTATCAGACCCTGATGAAGATCAGCTACAACGATCTTCCCTTCGATGCGACTGTTTCCTTCCTGTCTCGTAACGAGATGGGACCATGACGACTCATAAATAAGGTCAATGTAATTGAGAAAGTCACTGTAAAGAAGTTTTCTTTAGAAAATTTTGACATCAGTGATGGTGATTTTGGATGCATTATTGCAGTATTATCAGAGGCAATCCCTCCACTTTCCAGACAGGAGAATCCACAAAAATTTTATAAAAAGGCAAAAAGAGCTGATGTGCCTAAAAATGAATGATCCTAAGAGCCAATTAACCTAAATTCTGTTTCTAGTTCAGCTTCTTATTTGCTATGTGGACCTGTCAAAATCCCTTCCTTATTTGGACTTTGTTTTCAAAATCTGTAAAACACCAAGTCCTGGTGTGTATAATTAATGACTAGGATTTCTTCTGGCTTTAAATGATCATATATGGATAATATTTTAAGAGTATTGGTCTTAGAACCCTATGCCTATTTGATTGTTAAGTGACAATATTGTTTTCACATGTAGTTTTTGGAAATTAGTCTTAATAACAAAGTCTCATATTTTTAAAAATATATTCCTTTTATCCTGTTTTTCTTAACAAAACTTACATTTTTCTGAGAAGGTTGTCGAATATTCCTCACTCCTACTAGTTTGCTTTATATGAGTAATCATCTTCCTTAATATACAAGAAATAATGAGAGATTTAAAGTTTCCTTAAAGCAATTTTTCTCTGTAGCTTGTCTTTATGACGTGTACTTAGGTCTGTCAATTGTCAAGGAGACTTGTTCTACCCCATCCACCTTATAAGAGTGGATTCCAAAGTCAAGGTTACCTTTCCCTGCCTCCAGAGAAGGGGCCAGAGATCCCTACATGAGAAGAGGATTTAACTTTGTACATTTGGTTCTTCTACCTTCATGAAGGTGGTGTGTTGAAAATGGGAAATGGAGGATTCGTCTAAGAAGGCTGAGAGTCATCTTCCAGTTCTGTCAATAAACTAGGTAAATATGTAAGAATTATTAATACCAGTAAACCATTTTGTGGTTTACAATACCCTTCTATAGAAAATATTTCAAATGACCTTCACAAACAACCAGGCAAATAGGCAGTATTTGCTGTATTTCTTAGATGAGGCAATGGAGCCCCAGGTGGTTTGACTGAAGTGCCAAGACAGCTAGTAAGAAGCAGGGAGCCAGGCCTGAGTCCAGCTGTCACCAACCTACTGCAGGAGCCTGGGCTAGCTCTGTGTAGCCTGAGAGTCAGTAGCCCCACAGGTAAACCAGAAACCATAATCCCAGCCTAACTCATTCACAGGTATGAGTGTCTTCTGAGAAAACAAAAATATCATTCATTTGTTATTGACGAAAACCCAAGTCTATTTCAATAGCTCCGAAACATGGTCAAATATCAAAGACCTGAATTTAGCAACTCTTAAAGTCAAAACAAACCAAGCGCCACACAAACTCTGCCTTCTACTTGGAACAAGGTAGTAGTATTAAGCCCAGAGCCTACCTAGGATTCTATCCAGTGGGGCCTGAGAGGGGTGAAATGAACTTTACATTTGCAATTTTGGTGAGGTTTGAGACTCCATTTGCAAAAAGAAGTTCCTTTCAATGGAGGAGAGACATTCTTGTGGACAAAAAAACTGGAGACAAAACGGGAAAAAAAAAATCACAGATTTGAAACCCTTACAAAAATAACAAATGAATAATTTACACTTTCCCTTGGTTTATTGAAAAACATTGGAACATTTTCTTACTCAATGCAACTCTTGAATTTTCTTCCCGCAGCTATTACTCACTTAGTCATCTCCATTTTTTAAAGACATTTATTTGGAGTCTGTTGCTCCTGGCTTTTTGTAAGACACCATCAGGCAAAGTGTGGATCTGAGCACCCGCCTCCAGACTCCTGCCAGCCAAGGCTGAAGCCTTCAGAGGCAGTGTCTTCTTGTCTCTGTCGTCTCTCAGGCTCCCCTTCTGCTGTCTCTAGCCCACCATGTGAAGCTTATATCCATCCCTAGGCTTAGATCAGTATGAATTCCCCTTTCATCCTTCCTGCTCTTCTAAAGTTCCCAGGTCTTATTCCCGTGCCCCAGACTGCCCTGCATGTTACATTTGTTGATCCCTTTAGTTTACATAGAGTTGCTAGATTTAGCAAATAAAAATGCAAGATTTCTAGTTACACTTGAATAAGAGAAATCATTTTTCAAGTTAGTACATCTTCTGTATATTTGTGATCCAGCACTTGCAAGAGAAACGAGAAGGAATTCGTTTTTCTTGCTGCAGAGTGAAAAACTGAGATCCAGGAGAGTTAAAGGAGTGGTCCTACATCCCACAGCTGGGGAGTGGTATCCTTGGAATTAGAACTAAGTCTGGCTGACCTCAAAGCTGGTGCTTTTCCATGGCAATGCACACTCCATCTATTAAATATAACAGAGTATCTACAGTACTTGACAGTTTTCAAAACACTTTCAAATGCACGATCTTAATTAATCTTCACAGGAACCCTCGGGGGTAGGTGCCATGTTTCATTTGTTCTTAGACATTTTTTTTTCTTTTTTAAATACTTTAACATCTCTGATTTTAGGATATATTTTATTGTCAATAGTGTCTCAGTCTAACTGGCAGCATTGCTTTTTTTTCTAAGGTGGCATAAAATAATGGCATCTTGGATTTAAGTAATGCAATATTATTATGTACTTTCTACACCTGAGGAAACAAACTCAGGGAAGCTGGTCTCTAATCTAAGGTGGTATACACTGTAGTTAAACCTATGTCTTTCTGACCTTCTACTACTCCCAGGCTGAAAGGAAATTACACAGACTTTCCCCCCAAGACACACAATGGAGCCAGTGGGTTCGGTGAACGATGCCAGAAATCAAATTCTGCTTCTAGTAGGAGGGAAGCATTGTGTATCCCCACCCCATGTTTCTGTGTAAGCTTAGATAGCTTAAAGACTGGGTAGGGAAAGAACCTGGCAAGGGAGGGCTTCCCCGCATACTGCTCTAAATCTTCCAGGGGAACTTTACAGAGAAAACCACAGCCAGCTAGTTGCAATGTCACACAAATGAAGGATTCAAAGAAACAAGAGGTGGAAGTCCACCTTGGTAAAGTCATCCTGTGCTGGACCCCTCCAGCTGCAGAGCACTCCTAACAATGTGCAAACTGCTTGCTCTAAGCCTGGGTTCTGGCACAGTTGCCTAATGACTCAGGCAGCACTGCTACCACCACTTCCCCTTGGAGGCTGGCTCTACAGTCTAGACTGTGCTGGAGGCGATCATTTTTGATACTGGGCCCACATTTTCCAGCATGTATTCACAGAACCTCATTCCAAGTGCTGATTTCTTGGGCCCCAAACAGCTATCAGCAGGGAATCTTCATTAGAAAAGAGAAACACATTTTGCAGGAAAAAGAAGAAGAAAAGCTAGGCATTGATTGCAAGCAATTGATTGAATCAACTGCAAGCATTGATTCATTCTGCGGTTGAATTGATATACACTTCCAGAGCCTATACGCGAGGGGCATCGCCTGAAAGATGACCGTTGCAAAAAAGATGATTTGAGTCCTATAGGATTAAAGACATTCAACACGGTCCTTCCTTTAAAGAAAATGAGAGCCCTCCAGATCAAAACCATATCTGCAGATTGCACTGTATGTTAGTAACAATGGGATGCCTTACACTTCACTTAGCTATCACTAATAAATCACATTACTTGAGCCTTGCATCATGCATACAGGGGTCAATGTTAATGTTCTCATTTTAGAGACAAAGAAACCAAGGCTCAAAGACCTCAGTAGCCTTGTTCAAGTTGACAGACTATTAATGGCAGAGTTGGGAGCAGAGTCCAGGTCTCTGACTCTGTGAGCTGTTCTTTTCATTCCTCCAACCCTCAGATAGCAAACTTCAGGAAAATTAGAATGGAGAGCAAGTTTTGTTGTGTGAATTTGGGAGAAATTTGAAGGCCAGTGAGGTAGAACAGAGAGAACAGAGTAGAGCCTAGAAGTGGCTTACAAGTTTATACCACTTTCCCGCAGGCACTGACCTGATGGAGTCTGTACAATGTCTACGAGGAGGAAAGATGAGCGCTAGCATCAGGAATGCCACAGTCTTCATCTAAGAAGCTAAAGGCTTAGCCTGGGGACAAGGCCTTAGAATAAAAAGCCTCTCAGTGTGAATTAGGGTATAAAGAGGATGATTATCTCCTCACTCCAATAACCTTGATACAGAATTTTCTTTTAATAGCATCATGCTTCCCCCCATAAAGCCAGCTTTGCTCAAAATGGTGGAATGGAAAGAGAAGAACCTTTGGATAGAATACAACTGGGTCCAGGCTATACCACTTCTTGATTTTTGACCTTAGGCAAATCATCCAACCTTCCTGAGCATCAGTTTCCTCACCTGTAAAATAGAGTTAATATTACCTCTCTCAGGAGGCTTCCATTAGCTCCTTTACTTAAAGCTGATCAGTTGCTCTCTCCCTGGGCTTCCTGAATCCTGCACTTGCTCGGAGATAGCCTCACACGCCATGTCTGAGTTCCCTTTTTGTTTCTGCCTCCCTTTTACACTTTTGGTTCCTTGAAGATTTCACATCATTGTGCCTCTAGCACTTGCATCAGTGTCTGGCAAAGCAATGCTCAGAGTCTCAGGGAGGAGGAGCACTGGGAGAGTAGAGAGCAGGGAAGATGGGAAAGAAAGAAAGTTTAGCAACCTCCAGAAACCTAGAATCTGCCCCCATTCACTCTGAGACCTTTAGCCTCCTCTCTCCCTCTAATCTCTTGAGCCCTTGTCACAACCCCTGCCTCCAACCCACATTCAGGTGACATCTAAAAGGAGTAGTTTTAGGAAAAAAGAAAATATCTTCACGGGGGTTAGTAAGCTATAATCACTAAAAACTGGTGTTTTACAGTGACAAAGCTCTTTCACTGTCATTATTCTCTCTTTTGAGTCTAGAAACAACATTCGATGGCAAGATGAACAGGCAGTACTATTGTCATTGCACGGATGAAGACAATGAGTCTCAAAGAGGTAAAAACAAATGTCCAAGGTCACACAGTTACAAGCGAGCAAGTCAGAACCTGAAGCCAAGCTGCCTGACTGCCTCTCTCTATGCCTTCTTTGTGCTTCATCTCTCAAAAACAATGCAAAGCTAATAAGGCTAAAAATAATGACAGGAGAAAAATTCCACCGACATCTCAGATGTGAGTTGGCTCTCCCGGAGTCTCAGCTGGGAGGACTTCACAGCCTACACTTCCTGCTCGCTCATTAGACAGGCCTTCCAGTCCTTTGGAGGAGAGTGGGTCCTGCAGAACTGGAATGGAAGCTGAATCATGGCAAGCCTGACTGTTTGATCAGAAGAGAATGGTGTGGGTGGTCGCATCCCAGACAGAAGATGCTTGGCCAGATGGAGACGCGCCTGCACACTTGGATCCGGATCCGCCGGTGCTGCTCTCTTTTGACTGAATAGACTGTGCTGCAGCCAGGGAGCCACTCGCAGCTCATTGAGTCCCCGGAATTGTCATGTAGGGACGTGTCCCCTGGGGTGACCAGAGGCCACAGCCAGTCAGGGTGAGAGGCTGGGGCACCCACAAGTGCAGATGCAACCTGGTTCTTGGTAAGGAAGTTTGGGCAGTAGCAATAGTGTGGCAAAGACGCTATTTATACAACACCCATCTGGTGAGCATTCTGTGTGCTTCCCGTCAGGCACACAAGTCAAAGACAGCAGGTTCTCAGGCTGAAGTGCAGGACTCACTCTGCCCATGCCCAATGGCCTGCAAGAGCGTCCACTCCAAAATCCTCCCACTTAAATGGAGGACTACGGAAATGGCCCTCCCTTGTCCCTCTGTGTAATAACCATTCTGCACTCCATGCCAATAATTTCTGATCTTCATAACAATCCTGCTAAGTAGGTAGGTATCATCAAACTCTTTGTATGTGTGAGGAAATGAGGATTTACAAACATTAAGTAGCTTACCCAAGGTCCACCTGACTTGGTTGGACCTGGGACAATAAGGCCAGCCAACCTACCAAATGCCTCTGCTGGGGTCACTCAGGTAGTGGGTGACAGAGCTGGAGTTCAGATCAGGTCTCTGGTTTCAAAGCCCAGTCCACATTTGACCTATGTTTCATACCCTGCCTTCTCCTCTTTGCCCCCCACTCCACTTCCTTGAAGAGAAGAACCCCTGAAATTCATCTCCAGGGCAAGGCAAGATGATGGTTGCTCTCATCGGCCCAGCACTGAGATTTTATATGGCTTCAATCCACTGGAATTTGTAGGCAAATGTTACCCTTTTGTCTTTGGCAAACCCAACCGCACATTGCATATTCACAAAGCCAGACTGAGACACTGAGAACTGGGAACTCCTCCTCCTCCTACCACCTCCATCTTCCTCAGCTCTTTCTCTGCCTATCCTGTTCTTTCTCCTGAGCGCACCCCGGCAGTGCCAGCAGTGCGGCGTCTTCAGCATGCCAGGAGCATGTCTGGCTCCTTGGTGCTCCTTCCGGAGTCCTGTGGAAGCTTATGCAGGGTTTGAACATTATCTGGGAAATCATTTGTTTAGCTTCGCCCCCACTCTGTGTAGAATAGAAAGAAAAGAAGGTCAGAGAAAGGACCTCAGAAGCCCTTTCAGTACATTTATAGACATGAATGAAAGGAGAAAAATATAGATCTATAAATCTAGCCGAAGTTGGAAAAATCCCAGGCAAACAAACACTGAGTGCTTATAGCTCACTTTAATCTGAGGAGAAAAAAGGAAAGGAGAGCAAAAGGAGGGAGGAAGGGGAAAATGAATGAAGACACCAGCATTTACTGACTTCTGTGTCTCTCACCCAGTGGTTGGTGTTTTGAGACCGGAACAAGAGACAGACTTTGTTTTCAGTTTAGATTCATCACTAAATGATGTGTGACTTTTGGCAAGTCATTTTGCTCTCTAGGCTTTGTTTTACATTCCAAAAATGTTGGGGTAGATATCTCTAAACTCCCATCTAGGCTGATGCATGTAGAGATATAGAATCTTTACAGACCAATGCTTCCTCCTGCAATAACTCAGTGAAAAAGAGCAGTCCCCAATACCTCGTGATTGCACACAAAGGCAGCTGGAGTCCCATGATGAATGTTTGCTCTGGGGCTCAGTGCTGGCTGATGGGGTTGCCTCTTGTGTTTTCATTCTAGCATGATATTCTTTCTTCTTATTCAGGACAAAGATCTGGCTAGGTGTTGATGACCAGTAGACTAGGAAGGCCACCATATGTCATTGGCAGATCTGAGCCATCAGCTAGGATAAGGGAAGGACTAAGTCAGTGAAGAGGAGATCAGGTAGGACAAGAGGCAGAGAGGGAGAATAAGGAGACACGAGTGTGAGGTGGCAGAGGAGGATTGTTGCGGAGTTGTATTTGTGTGGAAGGCCTTTAGCCAAGTATTTTGGTAAGACCAGCTTGCTTTATTTCGGGGGATGAATATTTAGCTGAGTGCAATGGACTAAGGTAATAATAACTATTAAGGGGCTTGAATTCTTGTCTTGGTTCTTGCACTAACGGACACATACCTTTCCCTTTCTCTGCTCATCTACAAAATAAAGACAGTGCATGGTCTTTTCAATGATCTTCCTTCACAATAGCATCTCGGTCACTTGCCCTGGCACCCTAGAGAAAACCTAGGACCACTTAATTTTCCCAGGTCACTTTGCCATGCCAATTTTAAAACCTGTCAGCTTTTCTACAGATCCAAGTGATTGTCGAGAGAGAGTGTTCAGCTTAGAGTTGGCTGCCTTCTGTAAGGCCTCCACTCTTCAGGGGGACATGGGTGCTATGCTGAGCTGCCTGGCACCCCCTCATCTCTCCTTCTTGTATTCTCCTCTGCCACATTTGCATCCATTTGACCACTATCTGGAGAATACCTGTTGAGGGTGTTGTCAAGGTGATTCCTGCACCAGCTGGGAATTTAACTAGGTGTTCTTTGGAGCTCCCCTTAATTCTGAGATGAAGACTTAAATCATTTCTAGAATCAGAAGGAAGAGATAGAGAAGAAAGAGCACGACATGGCTTCTGAATTTTTTTTTAAATTATGGTTGTCTTCTCTTTCTTTTCTTCTTCTTCTTCTTCTTTTTTTTTTTGTAAAACTGGGCAATGTGTTGTGCAGAACATTTTAGTTGTGGGGTTTCAGAAAGCAAGCAAGCAGGCAAGCAAAAAGACAGAAAAAGAGAAAGAAAAGAAAGAGAAGGAGGGAGAAAAGGAAGAAAAGTTAAAGGAAGAAAGAAATGAAAGAAGGCAAGAAAAAAAGGAGGAAGGAAGGGAGAAAGGGAGGGAGGAAGAAAAGAAAGGAAGAAAAAAGGAAGAATAACTTGTCGCAAAGATGTAAGGAGGCTGAACAGAAGAGACGTAGATGGGAGAAAGGGGACAAAAGAGAGGAGAGAAAGAGAAAAAAGAAGAGAAGAGAGTGATGAAAGGAAATCAAAGAGACAAATGTGGATGGGTTTCCAGGCAGCTGCAGTCCTGCCCGCCCCCATACGCGGCGATGACTTCCTCCAAGGAAGAACTTGTGCAACTGTGGAGCTGATCAGGCCGCCCGGGCTGCCTTTCAGCTCACAGTCACTGCTGTCTCTGAAGGATGCTGGAAGTGGAAAACTTCGCACTTGCTCCCTTGCCAGTGCTGTATCAGGAGAAATAGGCAGTTGGAGAACACTGTTGGGTTGATGGTTTTCTGACCTCTTGTGCTGCCCCATGGCTTGTTTGTGCATCCAAATTTCTCAGCAAGCATGGAGATAATGCAGGAGCAGAAGGATGCAAGTGGGCACTGCAAGCCCACACTTCACATTTCTGTAAAGAGTCCAAAAAGACTAAGCAAGGCAATGAAATGAAGTAGAGAAAATTTTGAGAAGATAGCAAAGCTCTGTCCAAACTTCTTTCAGAATCATCTTGATTAATTTTGTTAAAATTACTTTAAGGGACCTTTTCTTTAAAAAAAAAATTAAAGGAGTTTTCTTCAGCACCACAAAAACCCGGATGCAAATCCTACTGTATTTTATTCAGAGCAGGTCGTTTAATCTTTCAGTCTCAGTCTTCTTGCTTCAACTGTGGGATAACACTACCAGTCTTGTAGAAATTGCTGCAAGAATGAGAGACTTAGGTTTTCTTGACTAAAGCAGATCTGTTTCTGGAGGGTCTTGTTGCTTCTTTGTGTGCTGTTTGGCATTTGGCTGGCGCTCAGCGACTGTCAGTTCTAAGCTCTTTAAGCTTCTGATTCCACTTCTTTCTTCATTTTACCATTCAGTGAAGTTCACCAAAGCATATGCATTACTAGAAAATGATAATTTATTTTGAAAAGCAAACAAAAGAAGGTTTTATGTGGCAAATACATTCAGAAGGAAGAAGAGATAATTAGCCACCACAGAGGCCCCATGACGTTCATTCACTTGCAAAGAAGTTGGTGGCATCTCAATGGCATCTATTTTCTGCCGACTCTGTGTACTTAGCT